>NC_000008.11:25920708-26223738 GCF_000001405.40 Homo sapiens | reverse complement strand
TGGATATAATCATAGTTCTAAGCTACCTTCTTCTCCCTTCTCATTATGTAGCCCTTTCTCCTCTAATTTGCTAGTATCCTCTGGGGTAAAAAGTAGACCTAGACAATGAATGGGGCAGAAGAAATTACAACAAGCATTTGTGCATCAAACTTTTATCGAATATCTACTAAAGCTAGCATAATCTGTATCAGCAGTCTGGATGTGCAAATGTGATCACGTCTCTCCATTTTTCCAATGAATCATTGAAGATCCCACGTGCCCAACTTAGCAGGAAGTACATCTCCCTCTTGAGGCATCTCTGATTTGTCTTAGAGCATCAGACACCTGCTCAGCCCCAAATGCTAGACTAGTCTGCCAGGCAGAGAGAACAGTAGCCGAGTCAGTGTACCACTGGCACTGCTTCACAGACTCACTAGTGCTGATGAAAGCTGGTCCCTCTCACTCCCGTGGGTGCTCATCCATGATGCTGAGGATGCGCTGCTTGTCCAGATCTCTCACCAATGGCACTGGTGCCTTAACTTTGGACTCTAATTTAGAGCTCTTTTAATTCACACTTAGACACTCAGGCATTATTCCAAAGCAAGACCCTAATGCTGAGAAGCTTGGATCTGGAGGTGTTTCAGGACATTAGACATGCTCTTAGGAGGCAGCAAGTCCCCAAGAACACAGGTTTAGCCCACAGTTCAGAACTCTTCTCCTTGTGGTAGTACAACTCTGGGGATTCTTCTTTCCTGTTTTTTTTTTTTTTTTTTTTTTTTAGAAGCAGAGTCTCACTGTTGCCCAGGCTGTAGCACAGTGGCCGGATCATAACTCACCGCAGCTTCCAGCTCCTAGGATCAATTGATTCCTTCACTTCAGCCTCCCAAATAGTTGAGACTACAGGCATGTGCCACCACCCCTGACTAATTTTTTTATTTTTTTAGAGGTGGGGTCTTGCTATGTTGCCCAGGTTGATCTCTCAGGCTCACTATGTTGCTCCTGGCCTCAAGCAATCCTCCTGCCTCCACCTCCCAAAGTGCTGGGATTACAGGTGTGAGCCACCACGCCCAGCCTCCTCTGAGGATTTTTCTACAAGTGTCTACTTTATCAGAGAGTTCCTAATAATGTTGAACTTTAAAAAGAGAAGAATTGAGGTCTCAATTCATTTGCTGACTCTCAAAAGGGCCTTTGAACGCTTGCAGATGTGTTTATTTCCTGTCTTCTTACCTTCCTCCAAACAACAACAAAAACAACAAACAGCTCGGCAGACCAGGGGGCCCTTAGTGAAGGTAAGTACATGAATGAAGTCCATTGGTTGACCTCCCGGTCACATGAAAAGGTCAGGTTTTGAATCACCAGGTACCCCCTTGTATCTACTATAGCCCAGGCTCTAGAGCTAAGGAGAAAAGATGTGATTTGGCCTTTAAGAAGTGTGCAGCCTATAAATTAATGGTTTCAGTGAAGTGAAATATTTGAATATGCAGCTTGCAAAGTGTAAATAGGGTGCAGACAGCCACAAAGGAGGGGTGCTTGAATCCACTAGGCTGAGCAGCAGTGAGTGACAGGCACTGTGTGAGCTCAGAACTGCCTTCCTCTCCAAGAGTGACCCACTGTCTTTGAACAAATGTATGCACCTATACTCATTTCCTGGAGGCTCCTTAGACCCTCATCATAGAGGGATCCACCCAGGGCTAAGACTATAGGGAGGGAAATTTTAAGGGGGCCCCCAAACCTCAGTCATCAAAATTAATCTTATAATCTTGTAATATATAATATATTATATATTATTTATATATATAAAATATTATATATATTATATAGAATATATTATATATTATATAGAATATATTATATATTATATATAATATATTATATATAATATAGAATATATTCTATATTCTATATTATATAGAATATATTATATATATAATATATAATATAGAATATATTCTACATTATATATAATATATAATATATTCTATATAATATTATATATATTATATTAAATATATAGTGTGAGTGTGTGTGTGTGTGTGTGTGTGTGTGTGTGTGTGTGTGTATGGCAAACCATGGACTATTCACCAGCTGTCTGGTTTTATAAATAAAATTTTATTGGAAAGGAAACAACATCAGGATTAGGGTGGGGTGATTGGGAGAGGGTCATGAAAGTACAAGTTCAGATTTTCATCTTTATTTATAATTGTGATATTTGGATCACCATGGGTGTTTTTTTTTTCTTGTATTTTGTCATTTTATTTATTTATTTATTTATTTTTTTGAGATGGAGTCTTGCTCTGTCGCCCAGGCTGGAGTGCAGTGGCATGGTCTCTGCTTACTGCACTGTCCACCTCCTGTTTTCAAACTATTCTCCTGCCTCAGCCTCCCAAGTAGCTGGGATTACAGGCATGCACCAACAAGCTTGGCTAATTTTTTTATTTTTAGTAGACATAGGGTTTTACCATGTTGGCCAGGCTGGTCTCAAACTCCTGACCTCAAGTGATCTGCCCGCCTCGGCCTCCCAAAGTGCTGGGATGACAGGCGTGAGCCACTGTGCCCAGCCTGTTTTGTCTTTTTAAATTGTTATATTAAAATTTTATATTGCATGTCTTTTTTACATTTTTATTAAATTTTATTAAATAAAATTTTATATTACTTGTCTTGATTTCTGAGTTTTTGGTGGCCCTGTACATTTGGTGCCCAAGGCGAGGGTCTCCCATGTCTCTTGCTCATCCGGGCCCTGGGTCTACTCCTACTGTCTCTCAGGTATGTGTGGTCACATGTGAGTCACAGGTTGAACATGGCTGAGACAGCTGCTGTGTGCCTAGAACTCCATAGTATAGCAAGATCTATGCCTAAAAAGAACAGTTACCTGCTGAGAAAACAATACTAAGTCACTACTTTATATCTGGTAGTTAGGGAAGACCTCTGAGAAAGGGGCATTTGAAATAATCTCACACCTAGAGAAAAGTTACAAGAACCACCCAAACCTTAGTATATTCTTCCTTGATTCAACAACTTGTAACATTTTTCCATTTTTGTTTCCCTTCCCCCCAACCCACTCCATGCACACACAAACACACACGGTGTGCATGTGTGCACACACACATTACTTTAAAAATAAAAAGTTAAATATGAAAGATAGTAGTTACTGGCACATCTTAGAATGTTCACAGAAATAATCAAGAAAAGAGATTGAAGACTAAAGAGAGAGAGGTAATCAACAGTGGTCTGGAGTCTTGGAAGAAATGAGAGATGGAATTGAAGACTCACTTGGAACTGGGTTATGGAAGGAGAAGGGACTCTTTCTTCCTTGCAAGAGGAGTGGAAAGAGATGGGTATAGTGGCAGGTAGGTCTATGGATTTAGTGGTAGGAAAGTGAGGCCAATTTTGGTGGGTTCTACGTTATAAATTAGGAGTAAGGTAAGATTATTATCTGAGGGTAGAGGGAGATTTAGAGAAGGTAAGAGACAGCTTTTGTGTTGAGAAGAATAAAAGTTTCATTAGGAAAGCACAGAAACCTTGTTGAGTGGTCTTGATGCCCATTTGATGTTGGTGATCAAGAATTTAGTGCCAGGCATGGTAGCTCACACCTGTAATCCCAACACTTTGGGAGGCCAAGGAGGGAGGATCACTTGAGGTTAGGAGTTTTGAGACCAGCCTGAGCAACATAATGAGATCCCATCTATTCAACATTAAAAAAAAAATTAGCCAGGTGTTATGGTGCGTCTGTAGTACGAGATACTCAGGAGGCTGAGGTGGGAGGATTGCTTGGGCCCAGGTGTTTGAGGCTGCAGTGAGCTATGATTGTGCCACTGCACTCTAGCCTGGGTGAGAAAGCAAGACCCCATCTCTAAAATAATAATAATAATAATAATAATAATAATAATAATTTAAAGAGCTACATGCATGCCAAGTTGTGCTGGAGGCATGGTACAAGTGAGGCAAAGCAAATTGGTGGCCTCATCAGGGCTGGAGTGCCACAGAGAAAGAACAGTGCTGTGAAGGAGAGAGGATTGGAGGGAGGATAAATGGCACACCCAACCATGGCATCTGAGCAGGGTATTGCCTTCACGCCCACATTCCTATGACTGGCTAGCCTGATACTCTGAACCAGTGATTGGAGGCTGGTATACCATAGCCAGGGAGGGGAATTGCTTTGGTAAATTTATGATCTGGAGGAGGAGGCTTCCCTGACAACAGAAAGAGTTAATAGAGCTTGCTCTCCTTTTTCAGCCTTTGGAGGATATCTGTATTTTTATTTGTAATAACAATAATATTATTCTATTTATCATACACATATAATTGTTTATGTCTTTCTTAGAAGAGCTTAAAATATTTCCCAAAGATGATATTGTTCATCTTTAACAAGGAGCGAAGAATGTAAATTGATCATTTTCAAGTGGGGAAATTCAGTACTGAGACAACTTGCCCAATGTTACTGAGCAAAGCAGTTCCAGAGATGGGGAAAGAACCCAGACATTCAGCGTTTTAGTGTCTATTTACCAGCTCATGTTTCCATGCAGAAAAATTCAGAGAACTCCAAACAGATGCTGAGCCCAGATTCTATTCCTGAAGATACATGTGGATTGTGTTCATCAAGGTTTGCAAAGCTTTCAGAGAGCTAGGAATGACTTTGGTGGGGGCGTGAAAGACGAGGTAATTTTTAGTTCAATTTTGGAAAGCATCCCATCCCACTTGGTAAGAAGCTGAATTCAGTGTCAGTTGGGTGTTTTCTTGGTGGAGATTTTCTATCACACCATGTCAGCCCAACCTCCATGCCTTTCCCATGGAATCATCCCTTTCTACCCATTCTGTGCTCTGTTTCTCTTCCTTTATACAGATTAGCTTGGCTGCTTATTTGAGAGACCCTCTTCCCAAAAACTTTCCCCTGAAACTTTGCCATGGTGATCTCCCTTTTTGGGTGACACTTGATTGCCCTCTATGCTTTTTATTAAAGGACATACATTTGTAGCCCTCTGTATTAGTCCATTTTCATGCTGCTGATAAAGACATACCCAAGACTGGGAAGAAAAAGAGGTTTAATTGGATTTACAGTTCCACATGGTTGAGGAGGTCTCAGAATCATGGCCAGAGGTGAAAGGCACTTCTTACTTAAATGGTGGCGGCAAGAGAAAAATGAGGAAGAAGCATAAGCAGAAACCCCTGATAAACCCATCAGATCTCATGAGACTTATTCATTATCACGATAATAGCACAGGAAAGACCAGCCCCCATGATTCAATTACCTCCCCCTGGGACCCTCCCACAACACGTGGGAATTCTGGGAGATACAATTCAAGTTGAGATTTAGGTGGGGACACAGCCAAACCATATCAACCTCCTAGGGTATGGTTGGAGGTGGGGTCCAATTAGTGGTATGATACAAAATGTTTAAACACTGAACTCTTACTAAAAAGAAAAAAAAAAAGGAAACTCTGATTTGGAGGGTTTGCCATTTTTCATGGTGTAAATCCTCCCACCAAGCTACTAACATGATTGGTTGCAAGCTACCAATACGACAACACTGAACCCCGAGTTTGGAAGGGTTGTGCATAATTGGCTCTAGTGAGCCTGTACGAGCTGGCCCCAGTGCACCAGCGGTGTCTTAAAGATACATATTGTATGCCTCACAGATTCTCTTGGCTTTCTTCATCTTCTGAACTCACAGTTGCTCTCTCCACCCCAGTTGCTACCACTGACTCCACGTGAGCTGTGTGGTTTTCCCAACTGAGGTTGGCAAAACTCCTATCCTGAGTACCCTATTTAAAACTGATATTCATCATTCACTCCACATTCCTTATTCCTTCACTCAGTTCTAGTTATTCCACACCGCTTAAAACTTTCTAACATATGGTATCATTTATTTATTCATTATATTTATTATTTTTTATCTGTCTCCAAATGTAATGAAAGTTTAAGAGGGCAGGGATTTGTTTTTTGTTTTGTTTAATGATGTACCCCAAATCCTTTGAACAGTCCTTTTTTTGAGACGGAGTCTCGCTCTGTCACCCAGGCTGGAGTGCAGTGGCGTGATCTCAGCTAACTGCAACCTCTGCCTCCCAGGTTCAAGTGATTCTCCTGCCTCAGCCTCCTGAGTAGCTGGGACTACAGGCACGTACCACCATGCCTGGCTAAGTTTTTGTGTTTTTAGTAAAGACAGGTTTCACCCTGTGACCCAGGCTGGTCTCAAACTCCTGAGCTCAGGTGATCCGCCCATCTCCACCTCCCAAAGTGCTGGGATTACAGGCATGAGCTACCGTGCTCAGAATGAACAATATTTTTGAATAGAATAGGTGCTCAGTGAGTATTTGTTGAGTGAATGAATGAATGAATGAATGAACGAATGAGATACTATGGCTTCTACTGTCTCACTTTTTACCAAGCACCTAGGGTGGTGCAGATAGCTCAGATCTAAACAAATACTTGTTGACTGATTGCTTTTGAGAGGTTAGAGAGGAGTTGTTGACAACTAAAGTGGGAACAGACAGTTTCCTTAGTTTCTGAAAGGGCTCTTACTGAAGAAGCCCACGATTCTTCAGCTGGGAAAATCCAGTGCCTTCTCAGTATCAGAGCTCAGCAAACAGTTTTTATTCACAATGTGATTAAAGCATTATCTGAACACCCTCCCTCGCCCCGCCCCCGCCTCCCCAGGATTGGAAGAAAGAATTCACTGAGATCTCATCAATTTAAATTGTGTTCAGGAAGCCAAAATCAACCTGTCATCCTTAAAACTCACTTGGGCATGCACATTGAACTGTTCAATCCTGCAGAATCTGCCTGCTGCTGAATTGACTAGATCTAGGGATGGGGAATACTGAATTTGCTTCACACAACCCCAGTAGAATATCCAAGGACCTGCCTGGCTGGAAAGCAGGAGGGCTGTGCTTTCCTTAGATGAGAGGTGGGGAAAATGAGGGATATTCTCAGAATGAATTAGTAATATTTGTTTTGTAGGGTTTTGTGCTTATTCTGATGCAACATTTATTACAGGTGTCCTATTAGCTTAGTGACTCCAAATGTCTGCGGGGAAAAAATTCTTATCCCAGTTTAACAGATGAGGAAACAGGCTCATATTGAGGCTCTAAAGTGCTTATATCCATTAGCTATTGCTGTGTAATAACCACATCAAGATTTAGAGGCTTAAAATTACCACCATTTATTTATTTCTCAATTGGCTTATCAGAAATTTATGCTGGGCCCAGTGAATGGTTCTTCCATTTTATATATATATACACACACACACACACACACATATATATATATATATATATACTTGTATATATACATATATACGCATATATATATATGAAATTGGGTCGGTCTCACTCTGTTGTCCAGGCTAGTCTCAAACTCCTAAGCTCAAGCAATCTTCCTGCGTTGGCCTCCCAAAGTGTCTACCTTGAGTACCCTATTTAAAACTGATATTCATAGTCCATTCCACGTTTCTTACTCCCTCACTCAGTTCTAGTTATTCCACAGCACTTAAAACTTTCTAACATATGGTATCATTTATTTATTTATTTATTTGAGATGGAGTCTCACTCTGTTGCCCAGGCTGGAGTGTAGTGGCGCGATCTCAGCTCACTGCAACCTCTGTCTCCCAGGTTCAAGCAATTCTCCAGCCTCAGCCTCCTGAGTAGTTGGGATTACAGGTGTGTGCCACCACATCTGGCTAATTTTTGTATTTTTAGTAGAGATGGGGTTTTGTCATGTTGGCCAGGTTGGTCTTGAACTCCTGACCTCAGGTGATCCTCCTGCCTTGACCTCCCAAAGTGCTGAGATGAGAGGCGTGAGCCACCACGCCTGGCCAGTATCATTTATTTGTTAGACTTATTACTTTTTTATCTGTGTCTCCAAATGGAATGAAAGTTTAAGATGATGGGGATTTGTTTTTTGTTTTGTTTAATGATGTACCCCAAATCCTTTGAACAGTAGTTTTGAACAGAGTAGGTAGGGATTACAGAACAGTAGGGATTATAGGCATGAGCTACCATGCCCGGCTTGTTCTTCTGTTCCTCATTGGACTCTCTTATGCACCTTCAATCAGCTGCAGAGTACTCTGGCCATTGGCTGGGTTAATGGGGGCAACTGGGCTATGTGTTTTTCCTCATCCAGCAGGCTAGCCCTGGCTAATTCACATGGTAGCAGCACAGCTCCACAAGAGTGGATCTCTTGAAGGGTAGGCTCAGCACTGGCACATAGCCACACCTGCTTCCTTCTCTTGGTCAAAAAGGTCACAAGACAAGTTCAGATTTAAGAGGTGGGGAAATAGATTCCATCTCTCGGTGAGAGTGGCTGCAAAGGTACGTAACGAGGCACTTTACTCCGGAGAGGAGTGAGGAACCCACCAAAAAATACCATAGTGCTTGGCCAGCTGAGGGCTTTTGCAGTTATCTTGTCTTCTACTGGACCCTCCTTTTCTGAATTTCTAATGCATTATGGTCTTTGACACCCCGTTTAGTTAACTGCATTGTATGTTATGCAGTAATCAATGAATGAGTTGCTGACCACCATCTCAGCTTTGGACCACACTGGAAAGCCTTTCCCCTTCTTCCTTCTTCTCTAACCCCATCATCTCCCTCCTGGCCACTAGCGTGCGTCTCAGCCTTATATTGTTGTTTCTAAGAATAGTGAAGTTATAGGAAGTAGCTGTGACCACAGAGAGCTAGTGACCTGCTTATACCATTCTCAAGTTTCTAGCTTCTTGGCATGAGTCCCCTATGGCCTTTAGTCAACCCACAGTTTAAGTTGAATACTTCTATAGCCTAGGCAGATTATTTAGAATTGACATGGGCTTAGGATATGCAATGAAAACGGGAAAAAGTAATTTCTGAATTGCTGGTAAGGAGAAATTTGACAACAAGTGAATTAAAAACACTTTTTCTATTACAGAAAGCCTCGGCTATGGAGTCTAAACTGGATTTGAATCTATCATTTACCAGCTATGTATTCTCAGGCAAATAATATATTCAAACTTAGTTTCCCCATCTATAAAAAGAAGAAAATAATATGCACCTGCACAGTTGTCAATAAATGAAATAAATATATGTAACACTCCTAGCACACATGAAGTGTTTAAAACCACTTTGTTTCTTCTCTCTCCAGCTGTTGTGTTTGCCTTAAGAGGAATCCTCAAATTTCTAACTTTCTCATTTTAAATGCTACATTAGTTGTTGCAGAAAAATTTGACTCAAAGAAGGGAAAGTTCCTGCAGGGGGTCTCTGAAAGATAACGATGTTGAGTGTTTAGGATGAGAAGCAAGGCGCCGCTCTGGGAATTCTACGTGAAAATCACAGAGCATCTCAAGGATGGGGGAAGCAGGCCTCTAGTGAATAAATGACAAAGCAACACTCCAGGAGTCAGTGTTAGCTCAGACTCTGTGTCCTGGCTGACCAGTTCTAGACTCTTCTGGGCTCCTCCTCAATGAATGGTAACCCTCTGTCCCTGGGTGCTCTGATAACCATGAGAGAGAGGCCATCAGCCAAGTCTTAGGGGCCCCTGCAGGACAAGAGGAGGGGGAAGAAAAGGAAAGCAAGAGAGAGTCTGAGGCAGAAAAGAGGGCAAACCAAGAACCGAAAAAAGGAAAGAGTTGGAATTGGCACCACGTGGTGATTTGCAGTTTACAAAGCTACATAGACATTATTGGAGCTTATTCTGCATCCCGCTCCCTGTTTTTTTGTTTTTTTTTTTTAAGACAGAGTCTCGCTTTGTCACCCAGGCTGGAGTGCAGTGGCATGATCTCAGCTCACTGCAACCTGTCTCCTGGGTTCAAATGATTCTCCTGCCTTAGCCTCCTGAGTAGCTGGGATTACAGGTGCACACCACCACACCTGATATATATATATATATATTTGTATTTTTAGTAGACACAGGGTTTCACCATGTTGGCCAGGCTGGTCTTGAACTCCTGACCTCAAGTAATCCACCGCCTTGGGCTCCCAAAGTACTGGGATTACAGGCATGAGCCACTGTGCCCGGCCATATTTTCCCCACTTTTTAGATGAGGAAACTGATACTCAAAATGTGTAAGTGGCTTTACCAAGATCACATAGCTAGTAAATGGCAAAGACACAACTTAAACTCAGCTCTCCTGATTTCCTGCCTGTATGCCTGGTGGTGCATTGCACATATGTTGTTAGGGAGAGGTTGGAAAAGGGCCACCCACGTTGTTGCAAGAGTCACTAACAGTGTCACAGGCCACTTAGGATAAAGAGCAGCTGTTTGTTTGTTGCCCATATATGCATTTAACCATTATTTGGTGACTTTTATGGTCTAAAGGTGGAAAACAAACAGGCAATTATAAACAGTGTGATAACTGTCAGCAGAGTCACATGTTTCTAGGAGAGTAAATTGGAGGCAACCACCCTATCTAGTTTGGTGGCATTTCTAGGAGAGTAAATAGGAGGCAACCACCCTATCTAGTTTGGTGGCAATCAGATAAACTTCCTAGTGCCAGTGACATCCAAGCAGTGAGCTGGAGGACCCGGGTGGTGAGGTGAGGAGGTTCTAGAAGAAAACACTGGATACAGAGGCTCCAGAAAGCAGTATCTAGAAACAAAGTGAAATGAGTTTGGGAGTTGACTCTGGAGAGGAAAGCAAAGTTCATACCTTAACAAGCTTTGCAATCCAATTAGATAATTGGACTTCAGCCTGAGGGCAAAGCGAAGCCCTCAGGGAAATCACTGGATTAGATGCGCATTTTGGACAGTCACTCTTGCTGCAGTGTGAAGAATGGATTGGCCAGGGACAAGACTAGAGGCAGAGAGATCAGGAGGAAGCTTTGCCCTAATGCAAGGAAGAGGTGTTGCAATCATCTCCAGCTTCTTGTTTCTCACAGTTTTGGAGGCTGAGAAACCCCAAATCAAGGCTCCAGCAGATTTGGTATCTGGTGAGGGCCCACTTCCTGGTTCAGAGACCGCCGTCTTCTTACTGTGTCCTCAGGTGGCTGAAAGAGCTCCGGAGCTCTCTGGGGTCTCTTTTATAAGGGCACTAATGCCATTATCGAGGGCTCCACTCCTATGACTTAACTACCATCCGAAAGCCCCACCTTCGAATACCATCACATTGTGGGTTAGGATTTCAACATGTGAATTGAGGTGATAACACAAACATTCAGTCCCTAACAAGACACTTACAGGCTGGAACCAGGGATGGAAAGAAGTAGATTGATTGGCAAGGGATTAATATGGCCCAGCAGCTAGAACCTGGTGATTGCTTGGATATCGGGGGGGAGGTGTGTGTGTAGGAAAATGGGAGCATAAAGACCCCATCTGCGGAGCGAGGGAACATTGGAGGGGAGCAGGCTTTTCAGAGTGAGACAAAGAAGTCCAGAGAAATAAGCTCAAGTTGGGATGTAATGATACCAAACAATATTTTCTCCACACTCACTATGGGCCACGTGCTGTTCACTCATTGTCTCCTTTCATTCTGACAATAATAACTCACATTTACTGAGCCCTAGTATCACAGGCCAGTAAGAGGCCATGCCAATAACTTTACATTAATTGACTTATTTACCCAGTTAACTAATGAGTTGGGATCTCTTATTATCCCTCATTTTACAGATAAGGAGGTGGAGGTTCACAGAAATCAAGTAATTTATCTCAGCTCCATCACTAATAATAAGCCAAGAGATGAACCAGGGGCCAGGCATGGTGGCTCACGCCTATAATCCCAGCACTTTGGGAGGCCAAGGCAGGTGAATTACTTGAGGTCAGGAGTTCAAGACTAGCCTGGCCAACATGGAGAAACCCCATCTCTACTAAAAATACAAAAATTAGCTGGGCATGGTAGTGGGCGCCTGCAATCCCAGCTACTCGGGAGGCTGAGGCAGGAGAATTGCTTGAACCCAGAGGGCAGAGGTTGCAGGGAGCCAGAATGGGGCCACTGCAGACCAGCCTGGGCAACAGAGTAAGACTCTGTTTCAAAAAAAAAAAAAAAAAAAAAAAAAGACTTGAACTTGAACCAAACCATTTGGCCTAGAACCCTTACTTTTTTTATTTTTTTATTTTTTATTTTATTTTTGAGACAGAGTCTGGCTCTGTCGCCCAGGCTGGAGTGCAGTGGCGTGATCTTGGCTCACTGCAAGCTCTGCCTCCCGAGAACCCTCACTTTTAATCACTTACTATATTGCCTCTTTATTGAGTATTCAGGGGCTATGGGATCTCCAGGACAACATGTCTAGTGGGTAGTAAGAAAGAAATACAAACTAGGAATATAGACTTGTGATTTATCAATAAGCCATGGGAATGAATGAACTGTGCAAGCTAAGAAGGAAGGGAACTGGGCCGGGCGTGGTGGATAATGCCTGTAATCCCAGCACTTTGGGAGGCCGAGGTAGGCAGATCACCTGAGGTCGGGAGTTCGAGACCAGCCTGACCGACTGTAGGGATGGAGAAACCCCGTCTCTACTAAAAATACAAAATTAGCTGGTGTGGCTGTACATGCCTGTAATCCGAGCTACTCGGGAGGCTGAGACAGGAGAATCGCTTGAACCCGGGAGGCAGAGGTTGCGGTGAGCCGAGATGGCGCCAATTGCACTCCAGCCTGGGCAACAAGAGCGAAACTCCATGTCAAAAAAAAAAAAAAAAAAAAAAAAGAAGGAGGGGAACAGACAAAACCCAGGGAAACCCCAGCATTCACAGGCCGGGGGAAGGAGCCTGCCAGGAGCAGTGGTTGGAAAATGTGAAGACAGGGAAACTGCTGGGGAGGAAACTTTGCAGGTGGTGTGGCCTCCTGTGTCAATGCTGCAAGGACCTTGAAGATGAGGAGGCAAGAAGACGGCTTTGGCACCATGGCAGTGACCTTGGCAAGAGCCATTTTAGTGGAGTGCTGAATGGGTTCCAGAAAGAAAATTAGGTAAGGAACAGAGAGAGTGAATGTAGCCCTCTCTGTCACTCTCTCAAAAATATCATGTATAAAGAGAAACAACAGCATGTGAACCTAAGGAGGATGTGGACCAAAGGAGAAGCTTTTTCTTTAAGGTAGACGAGGCCTGAGCATGTCTAAATGCTGGTGGGAAAGAGCGAGTGTAAGGAGGGAAGATGCAGGGCAGAGAGAGGACCAGAGATGCAATGAGGTCTTTGAGGTGGTGGGCAGGGGGAGTTGGGAAGTGATAGGACCTGGAGTTCAGGTTCATTGCTTTTTCTTTTGTTAACACATCTTCCTCAAGTGTCTGCCACGAGGAGACTTGGGTCTTCATCATGCACTGTTCCCAGACCAAACCGAGGGTCAGGCTGCTTATTCTCACGGCCCAATAATGAGATACAGATGAACTGGGAGAGAAGAGAGTTTATTTCTGTAGCCGGTCACAGGGAGAAGGCCTGGAAATTATCGCCAGACCAACTCAAAATGACAAAGTTTTCCAGAGCTTAGATCCCTTCTAAGCTATATGCCTACGTGTTTAAGTGTGCGTCCATCTAAAGACATAAGTGATTAACTTCTTTTCGTCTATAACTAAGTCCTGAAGACCTTCCTCTGGAGCCTCAGTAAATTTACTTAATCTAAATGGGTCCAGGTGCTGGGGTGATTACCCTTATCTTGTCTCCTGCTAAATTATGGAGGTTAGGGTAGTTCTTTCAGAACCCAAATAAACTTGTTTGTGGAGGCCTGGAGAGTTTCTTCAGACCCCCAATAAAATGTTTTAAATCCTAAACGGGTCCTGTTCGGAGTTCCTTCATTATCTTATCATGCTCCAAGGCCCAGGAAAGGCCTAGGCAAAGCTCTGGGTGGATTTTGTTACATCCCAGCCTTTGGATAAGGGCGCTGGCTCTCTCAGCTTTTAATATTTAACTTAACCACTCAGTCAGTGCTGAAACAGTTGTTACGGAGGCCTGTGTTAGTGACAGCTGGCCTGCCACAGCACCTCTTTGTTGCTTCATCTGTGACCGAAGAGGACGAGTGAGGAGTAGGACCCTTGCGAAGGTTTTAGATGCAAGCTTAGGAGGATGAGGGGCGCTGTCCGAGGTCTGAGAGGTAAGGAACCAAGGGGGAATGTGGTCACAGTGTTGAAGGAGACTGAGGGAAAATGGGCAATGCTCAAAACGACCATAGCGGAGACTGCTGATTTGGAAATAGAAGGAGGCTGTGCTGTGTTGAAGGCCCACTGAACACCGGAAGCTGTGGGCACTGTTCAGCAGACCCTGGGTGTGATCGGCTCCATCAGTGCTCCCTGTCTGGGTGATGGAGGCTGGGTGGACAGTTGGATGGAACCAAAGCCCACCCCCAACAATGGAGGCTATACAAGGATGATAAAAGAGTGAATAAAAGAGTGAGGATAGGCCGGGCGCGGTGGCTCACGCCTGTAATCCCAGCACTTTGGGAGGCTGAGGCAGGCAGATCACGAGGTCAGGAGATCGAGACCACGGTGAAACCCCGTCTCTACTAAAAATATAAAAAATTAGCTGGGCGCGGTGGCAGGCGCCTGTGGTCCCAGCTACTGGAGAGGCTGAAGCAGGAGAATGGCGTGAACCTGGGAGGTGGAGCTTGCAGTGAGCTGAGATCACGCCACTGTACTCCAGCCTGGGTGACAGAGGAAGACTCCGTCTCAAAAAAAAAAAAAAAAAAAAGAGGATATTGGCAAGAGAGTAGTTGAACTGATGGACCAGATGGGGTCTCAACTGTATGCAGAAGGGAAATAAAAATGGAAAAGGCCCATAGAAATTATTATTATTATGTTTGAGATGGAGTTTCACTCTTTTGTCCAGGCTGGAATGAAGTGGCATGATCTTGGCTCACTGCAACCTCTGCCTCCCAGGTTCAAGTGATTCTCCTGCCTTAGCCTCCTGAGTAGCTGGGATTACAGGTGCCCACCACCACACCCGGCTAATATTTGTATTTTTAGTAGAGATGGGGTTTTGCCATGTTGGCCAGGCTGGTCTCGAACTCCTGACCTCAGGTGATCTACCCGCTTTGGCCTCCCAAAGTGCTAGGGTTCCAGATGTGAGCCACTGCATCCAGCTACCCATAGAAATTAGAAATTTTGATAGGGTGCAGTGGCTCATGCCTGTAATCCCAGCACTTTGGGAGGCCGAGACAGGCAAATCACTTGAGGCCAGGAGTTCGAGACCAGCCTGGGCAACATGGTGAAACCCCATCTCTAGTAAAAATACAAAAATTAGCCGGGCATGGTGGCACATTTCTGTAATCCCAGCTACTTGGGAGACTGAGGCACAAAGGTCACTTGAACCCAGGAGGCTGAGGTTGCAGTGAGCTAAGATTGCGCCACTCCAGCTTGGGTGACAGAGAGAGATTCTATCTTAAAAAAAAAAAAAGATAAATAAATAAAAAAGAAATTTTGAGGATCGAAAAATCTCAGTGAATCAGAGAACAGGTGTAGTGGGACTAAGAAAGGAAGAGTAGTTGAACTGATGGACCAGATGGGGTCTAGATTGTGATAGCTTCAATTATGTTCACAAATTCTTTGGTACTCCCTTCAAAAGATGCAGCCTAGTTCACCTCTCCTTGAGCATGGGCTGGACTTGGTGCTTCCATTCTAACATGGAGAAAAAATCAGAAGGAACCAGGTTATAAAGACACTCTGGCTTCATTGTGCTGTCTCTTGGATCACTTGCTCTGGGGGGACTTAGCTGCCATGTCTTGAAGACACTCAAGAATCCCTCTGGAGAGGCCCATGTGGTGAGGAACTGAGGTCTCCTGCCAACAACCAACTCTACCTTGCTAGGGGTGTAAGTGAGCCATGGAGGAAATAGGTAAGCATCTTGGCTGCAACGTCCTGAGAGGCCTTGAAACAGAACCACTCAGCTAAGCTGCTCCTGGATTCCTGACTCTCAGAAACTGTGTGAGCTCATAAATTGTTGTTTTAAGCTGCTAAGGTTTGGGGCAATCAGTATTGCCACCATAGACAAATACAAAGGCACTGAAAATGAGAGAATAAGCATGGATGGTAGAATGTTTGAATCCCAAACATCAGAGGTTGAACAGATGTGGACATACAACAATGAATGTCAGAAGTGGCTTGGAAGAGAGGATGCTGGAGCTGCAAAATTCAGGAAGTTGAGATATTGGGCAGCTTGTCGGAATTAGAGTAAAGTTACCCAAACCAAAGCAGAACTCAGCTCAAAGAGAGACCAGGAGCCATGGATGAGGTCTTCGATGAGGAGGAGTGACAGGCATGCAGGTGGATGGCGTCACTGGGTAGGGTCAGATGGCATGAGTAGGAGCCTTCACATAAAAGTGAAGGAGTAATGATTTTGATGCAGGATTTTTCTCTGCCCCTTTGCCAGACTCCCAGCAGGGACGCCCCATCTACTCAGCCTGCTGTGCTCAGCCCCTTGCAAGTGGGAATACGTGAGTGAGCGAGTGTGGGATCCAGCCCACCACAGGAGCAAGCTCCATGCAGGGCCCATGGCCAGACCAGGAGTGTTACCTCAAGAGGAACGTGGCAGTGCCCAGGCAGGGGTACCCACCACCTGAAAGCCCCAGAGGGGGTGTTAATATGCTAATTAGCTCTCTTAGTTCTGCCATCCATAGCCAGATGGACAGTGGTGTTTTAGCAGCTCGGTCAGTCCCTGGCCCCATTGTGTGAGGGAGCTGCCCTCTGCCAGTGAGGGCAAAGGGCCAGTGTGACAGTCTTTCTGGGTACCCACACTCGGTGGGTCCTGAGCTCTTTTCCAGCACCCAAGAAGAATGAGGTGACGCTTGATGATTAAAGGATGGTGAGGGCGGAGAAATTTATTGAGCAATGGAACAGCTGTCAGTAGAGAGGGGAGCTGGAGAGGGAATGGGAAGGGCAGGTCATCTTCCCCCGAAGTCGGGAGTTCTCTTCCCTGAAGTCAGGCTGTCTCCCTGTCTCCCCTCTACCGACTGAGTCTGAGATCTGTATAGGCACAGGATGGGGGTGGGGTGGGTCATAGGTAGTATTGGAAAAGGCAACATTTGATTGGTTGAAAGGCATTATTCAGAAAGAACCAATCAGGAGAGAGCAGGCAAACAAGAATAGAAGTTCTCACTCTGGTCTGCGGGTTTTAGGCTGTTTTTGGCTTGAAGGTGGGGTTTCACTGGGGACCCACCCCTATCTTCCTAGGATTTCTTTGCCTCCTGCCTCTATTAATTTGCAAGCAACACAAGCTCATGAAGGGGCTCCAGTCCCTCTCCAGATTCCAGGGCTTTGTGGTGTGGCAGGATGAGTGGCCACACTTGAAAGACTCAGGAGACAGCGAGGTTTAACCTAAAGCCATGAGCTGGGAATCCACTCAAGCAGGAGGCTGAAAATGCAAATATAGGAAAGTACAGTGACTGTGGAGTGGGGATGCTGCAAGGTATGGCAAATGTTTTGGAAGAAAGGGAGTGGAGGGGTGTGTGTGTGTGTGTGTGTGAAATTAAACCTGAGGCACACTGAAGAGGATTCAGGCAAGGCTAACTGACTGCTTGTGAGTTTTCTGGGATATCCCTCCAGTCCCTGTCACAAGCACTAATTCAATTTCTCAGCAGTTCATGCCTATAATGCACACATTACTGGAGTCACACAAACACAGCATCCCTGCATGTTAAACATGGGATCTGGGGGGTCACAGGCATTCAAAATATAAGAGATTTTTCTCTTATAAAATATTATTCTTGCAGAAGGCTGATTTATTCCTCATATTGTTTGAAAGGATATAGTTAGATAAAAGGCTTATAAAGGTAACTTTCTAATCCAGTACAGGGAGATAGTAAATATTTGTTGCTACATGATTGATGTCTTTTTTTGTTGTTGTTGGGGAGGTTATTCTTTTTTATTTCTTTTTGTTAAAAATAAAACCTTAGCTGGGTGTGGTGACATGCACCTGTAGTCCCAGCTACTTGGGAGGCTGAGGTGGGAGAATTGCTTGAGTCTGGGAGATTGAGGCTGCCATGAGCCATGATTGTATCACTGCGCTCCAGTCTGGGTGACAGAGCAACACCCTGTCTCAAAACAAAACAAACAAACAAACAAACAAATCACATTCTCTACATCTGAGGGTATCCTATAGAAAATAGTGTTTGGGATTTATTCAGGGTTTGTAGAATAAGTAAACATTTCTGAAGTGTACAGATTAATGCTTACATAGCTGGGCACGGCGGCTCATTCCTGTAATCTCAGCACTTTGGGAGGCTGAGCCAGGTGGATTGCTTGAACTCAGGAGTTTGAGACCAGGCTGGGCAACGTGGTAAAACACCATCTCTACAAAAAATACAAAAATTAGCTGGGCGTGGTGGTGCACACCTGCAGTACCAGGGCTGAGGTGGAAGGATTGCTTGAGCCTGGAAGGCTGAAGCTGCAGTGAGCTGTGATCATGTCATTGCACTCCAGCCTGGGTGACAAAGTGAGACCCTGTCTCAAAAAAAAAAAAAAAAAAAAAAGGCTTACATAACAGGAATATTCTGAATTGGAGTTTACGAAACATGGAAATCTGGGCTGGGCATAGTGGCTCGGACCTAGTAGTTCTAGTGCTTTGGGAGGCTGAGGTAGGAGGATCATTTGACTCCAGAATTTCAAGACCAGCCTGGGCAACATAGGGAGTCTCCATAGCTACAAAAAAATTTAAAAATTAGCCCGGCATGGTGGCACAAGCCTGTAGTTTCAGCTACTTAGGAGGCTGAGGTGGGAGGATTGCTTGAGCTGGGAGGTGAAGGCTGCAGTGAGGCATGATTGGGCATGATCGGGCACCACTGCACTCCAGCCCGGGTGTCAGAGCAAGACCCTGTTTCAAAAACTAAATAAGGAATTTTGAATGTCTTTAAAGAATGAAAACGATGGTTATATGTGTGTGCACTATATAAAAACATATATTATTTATGAAAAATATAAACAAGTTTCCTGAGGAGTCAAATAACAGTTCTGAAAATGAGTAGAAGGGACGAGATGTGTGTGTGGGGTGGGGGGGTTACTCAGCATTCACTTAACCTCCAGCAAGGGCAACAACTAAGGAATCCATTGAGTCTTTTCTGAACTCAGAACAATGTAGCATTCTAGGCTCTATGACATCATTTTTTAAAAATAGCTGCTTTCATCAACAGATATCAGTTTATAATGAAAACGTTTTTTCATTTCTTTTGGGAAGAGGGAGGGGAAAGTAGGGGGCAGGAGTGACCAGTGACTAAGTGAGATAAACGTTCTAATTGTCCCCAGTCTCTATGTAAATAGAAATGTAACTGGCACCAAGCTGCAAGGTCACGTGCACATTCTCTCATAAAAATATTAAGCAAATAGTTTGTTCCATTGTTTGGGTTTATGACTAGTAAGTCATTAACATCATGAGTTTTATTATTAGTTGACTTTTAATAGATTAGAAACAATCGGCAATCACAAGATAAACATCTCCATGGATGCTTCCGTGATGACTTCGATGAGGATGATAAAGGTGCGGCCCAAGAGACGTGACCAGGGCCAGGATGTCGCATATGCACAGAGGCCTGGCGCCCACCCAGACTGGCCTCTGCCGCGGGCAGATGGGGCCTCTGCTTTCAGATCCCCTCTGTGCCCCACAGTTTTCTACCACTCAGTATGCAAAATTTCACTGCTTTCGGAGTCACAGAGAAGCCTTGTTGCCCGTGGTGTGCTGGGAAGTGCTGAACAGCTGGCTCTGGGAAATGTTTCCGTGGTGTAAATGTCTCCTAACCACTGGTCAATTTCAGACTTCCCAACCCTGGCTCTGAATGTGGGCTTGGGAAGAGTCGTGCATAATCAGCTCCTGGGAGCCAGTGGGAGCAGACTCTAGCAGGCGGATACTGTTCCTACCTTCACCCCAAATGGTCCCTTCGTGATAGAGGAAGCCTGCTAGTCTGCAAGCTTGATTTATAAGGTTCAGATTCCCTTGAAATATAAATCTCCTGGGAAAGGCTGGAGGACGCTCTAGTCCTTCCTTCCTTCCCTCCCTCCTTCCCTCCCTCCCTCCTTCCCTCCTTCCTTCCTTCCTTCCTTCCTTCCTTCCTTCCTTCCTTCCTTCCTTCCTTCCTTCCTCTTTTCTTCCCTCTCTCTCTCTTCTGTCAGAATTTACTGATGACAGCTAATGTGCTAGACATTGTTCCAGGAACTGGGATACAAAGACTGGTCAGAATTCATCTCTGGCAGTGGGAACCTGTGGTCCAGGTGGTGGAGACGAAACTACAAATGTCATTGATGTTTATAGGCTGGGTACAGTGGCTTATACCTATAATCCCAGCACTTTGGGAGCCCAAGGTGGGTGGATTGCTTGAGCTCAGTAGTTCAAGACCAGCCTGGGCAACATGGTGAAACCTTGTTTCTACAACAACATATGAAAAATTAGCCGGGCGTGGTCGTGGGTGCCTCTAGTCCCAGCTACTAGGGAGGCAAAGGTGGCAGGATCACTTGAGCCCGGAAGGCAGAGGTTGCAGCGATCTGAGATCATGCCACTGCACTCCAGCGTGGGTGGCAGAGGGAGACCCTATCTCAAAAAAAAAAAAAAAAAAAAGAATGTTTACAGTTTACATATTCTGTGATAGAAGACTGTACAGGGCACAACTGGACTCAGAGGAGAGCGATGACTTCCAACCGTCCAGGAACAAATATGTAAGGAAAAGCTTCCGGAAGGTGCTGGTGCTTGAGCTGCAATATCAGAAGTGTCTGTGTCTGAATTCATACCAAGTAATGGACAAACAATAGCAGCAGCTGTGGCAGCAGCAGGCTTGTACTGAGCGTGTTCTGTGTGCCAGGCACCCTTCTAAATTCCTCTATTATGTTGTGCAATCCTGACAGTGACTCTCGAAGATTATACTCTTTTTACTCCTATTTCAGATGAGAAAATTGAGGCACAGGGAGGGTAAGTAACTTGCCAAAGACCACAGAGCTAGTAAAATGTGGAGCCAAGATTTGAACTCAGGCACTGTGATACTAGGGCCACAATTTCAACCATCCACAACATAGTGCCTCAAATAATGTCACAGCTACAAATGAGAGTTTTCTAGTTGTTCAAATAGGGAAAGTGGGATGGGGCTGTGGCGGACATGGCTTAAATCAGGGGTGTCCAATCTTTTGGTTTCCGTGGGCCACATTCAAAGAAGAAATGTCTTGGGCCACACATAAAATACACGAACACTAATGATGGCTGATGAGCTAAAAAAAAAAATTGCAAAAAAACTCATAAAGTTTTAAGAAAGTTTACAAGTTTGTGTTGGGCTGCATTCAAAGCTGTCCTAGGCTGCAAGAGGCCCGTGGGCTGCAGGTTGGACGAGCTTGGCTGAAACCATTACTTATCCTAAAATAGAACGGGCATGTGCCCTCAAAAAGCCCTGGGTCAGGGCATCTGTCTTGTCTTTGCAGAACAATCAGATGTTCTACGTGGAATCCATCGCTGAGCACACCAGCTTGGCAGCAGTTCATTACCTACGGTGTAGTAGTAATTGCACCATGAAGAAATTTTCTGTAACCAATTCCAGCAATAATTAGATTAGATACTTATTTAGTGCAGATTTCAATAAAGCTGCAATGTTAACTTCATGTTCAAATGAACAAGACTGTTTTGCAGAGATCAAATGACACCACATTAAACTGACACTGAAGAGTGCCTGTTGGCAGAGTTTTGGCTAAGCAATGGGGTTGGGTTATCTTGAACTAGCAAACAAAGTCTTGAAATCATTAATGCCATTGTGTTTACTAAACTGTGTAAACAGAGGTTCTCTGCCCAACGGAAGTCAAAATATAGGCCAGTTAAAGAGCTGGACTTCAGGCTACAGGCTATTTTTATATGTGTTAGTTTAGCAAAACAGGATCTATTGTGTTAGTTTAAAATATTATTGGGTTTATATCTTGGTTAGGACTTAACATGTATGTTGCCTTGGTTTTACAGTTGTATAAGAGGCATAAGGAATTTATTTTCTTTAAATTAATACTGCAAATTCCAAGGTTCTTTTTTCTTTTTGTCTTTTTTTTTGGTTACAGATGGGGTCTCACTATGTTGCACAGGTTGTGCTCTGACTCCTGGGCTCAAGGGATCCTTCTGCCTCAACCTCTCATGTAGCTGGGATTACAGGCACATGCCACTAGGCCTGACTGCAAATTCCAGCTTCTACCTCATCATTCATTTGAAAGTTTATGATTTTCCATTTTTTCAGTCCTGGAGAACTGGGACTTGGACACTTGGCTAAGACAATTTGTGGACACCTAGAGAGCATTGCTTACTTGTTCTTTTTGAATGCTTTCTGTCCTTAGTGCTTACATATTACCTACTGTCAGAGACAGTGGTTTTCAGTTTCATATTTCATTTAGTGTGTAGATAAAGCACTCAGAAATACACTTAGGCTGCAAGCAACAGAGAACTCAATACCCAGCTCCCAGGGAGTTTGGGAAGGCAAGTGTTTTTAGTTGACAGCAGTACTATCCTAAACAAAGTCTGGGTGTTGCTGGTCAGCAGGAAGGGGAGATGGATACAGGGTAGGAAACTAGCAGAGTCAGCTAAAGTGAATGGGTGAAAGAAAAGTCAAACCTTTTCTTACATTTCTCCCTGATCAGTCCCTCCTTCCCACTCTTCTCTCCTTGGCTCTTTCGAGGTAGTGTTTTGCTGATATATGTTGCGCGTTGGGTTCTCTGAGAGAAAAAGCTCTGGTTTACGGTGTTTGTCAATTTCCACGGTGTAAATGTGTCTACCACGGTGAGTTTCAAGCTACCTGTACTGAGCACAGCCTTGGGAAGAGATGCCCAGCAGCTCACCATCACACAGTTTTTCCACCTGATACATCCAGTAGGACTCACAACCTCAAGCGTATAGGTAATAGTAAAATGTTTTATTACTCTGCCAGGGCTGCCATAATAAAGGACCACAGACTGGGTTGCTTAAACCAGCAGTCCCCAACCTGTTGGCATCAGGGACTGGTTTAATGGAAGACAATTTTTCCACAAACCAAAGGTGGGGAGAATGGTTTCGGGATGATTCAATCACATTACATTTATCGTGCACTTTATTTCTATTCTTATTACATTGTAATATATAATGAAATAATTATACAACTCACCATAATGTAGAATCAGTGGGAGCCCTGAGCTTTCTTTCCTGCAACTAGATGGTCCCATCTGGGGGTGATGGGAGACAGTGACAGATCATCAGGCATTAGTTAGATTCTCATAAGGAGCATGCAGCCTAGATCCCTCGCATGCACAGTTCACAACAGAGTTGGCACTCCTATGAGAATCTAATGCCACCGCTGATCTGACAGTAGGCAGAGGAGGGAGCTCAGGCAGTCACGCTCACCCACCCTCCGCTCACCTCCTGCTGTGCAGCCTGGTTCCTAACAGGCCATGAACTGGTACCGGTGTGTGGCTGGGGGCTTAAACAACAGAAACTTATTTTCTTACAGCTCTAGAGGCTGGAAGTTGACAGTCAAGACATCAGCAGGGTTGGTTTCTCCTGAGGCCTCTTTCCGTGGCTTGCGGATGGCCACTGTCTTCTTGTCTCTTCACATGCTTGTCCCTCTGTGCACGTGGACCTCTGGGGGTCTCTCTGTGTGACCAAATTCCCTCTGCTTATGAAGATACTATCCTGTTGGATTAGGGCCCACCCTAATAACCTCACTTTACCTTCATCAACTCTTTACAGACCCCTCTGCAAATACAGTCACATTCTGAGGTACTGGGCGTCAGGGCTTCAGCACAGGAATTTAGGGGAGGGGGACACGACTCAGCCCATAACAAACGTGGTAAAATAATTAAGAAGCAATCAACTTTAAGTATTTCCTTTGTTTCTTAATATGTATTTAATTATACATTTATAGTGTTTAAGTTTGAGTAATGTCTATGTTTAACAGCTGACTTAAAAAAATAACTGAAGATTTAAAAATAGGCTCTCATGAGCTGGTATGAGCTGATTCTGGCACTGCTTTAAAAGAAAATAAAAGCTTATACTTTTATCTGGTTACTACCCAACCTGAAAAACAAAGTGCTGTGTGGCAGAGTGTCAATTTTCTTAAGGTTTCTTTGCTGGCAACAATCTCCTCATTATTGTGAGAAAATGAAATAATCCCTAGGATGACTCCAGTGGTAATATTCTTTCATTTTAAAAAAGACCCTGGCCAGACATGGTGGCTCACACCTGTAATCTCAATATTTTGGGAGGCCAAGGCAGGCGGATCACCTGAGGTCAGGAGTTTGAGACCAGCCTGGCCAACATGGTGAAACTCCATCTCTACTAAAATTAGCTGGGTACAAAAATTAGCCAGGTGTGGTGGTGCGCGCCTGTAGTCCCAGCTGCTCAGGAGGCTGAGGCAGGAGAATTGCTTGAATTGGGAGGTGGAGGTTGCAGTGAGCCAAGATGGTGCCACTGCACTCCAGCCCGGGTGACAGAGCAAGCCTTGGTCTCAAAAAAAGAAAGAAAGAAAGAAAAAGAAAAAAAATCCTAATAATAACTAGTGGTTCCGTGATGCTTTGCAACTGAAAAAAATTTTTTTACCTTATTCCACACTCTATTTAAAAATTGCATAACTGGTCTAGGCTGACAGTGCCCCTCCCAAATTCCTATGTTGAATCCTCCATGTGATGGTATTAGAAGGGGGGACTTTGGGGTGATTATGTCATCAGGGTGGAGCCCTCATGATATTAGCACCCATAGAGGAAGAGACACTTGGAGCTAAACGATGAGAACTTATGAACACAAAGAAAGAAACAACAGACACTGAGGTCTACTCGAGGGTGGAGGGAGGAGGGAGAAGAACAGAAAAGATAACTACAGGATACTAGGCTTAATAACTGGGTGGCGAAATAATCTGTACAACAAACCCCATGACATGAGTTAACCTATGTAACAAACCTTCACATGAACCCCCAAACCTAAACATTAATAAAAAAGGAGAGTCACAAGGCTGGGTGCAGTGGCTTGCGCCTATAATCCCAGCACTTTCGGGGACTGAGGCAAGAGGATTGATTAAACCCAGAAGTTCATGACCAGCCTGGGAAACATAGTGAGGTTTCTGTCTCTATAAGAAATTAAAAAAATTAGCCCAGAGTGGTGGTGCATGACTATAGTCCCTGCAACTTGAGAGGCTGAGTTGGGAGGATCTCTGGAGCCCAGGAGTTTGAGGCTGTAGTCAGCTATGATCATTGCACTGCACTCCAGTCTGGGTGACAGGGTGAGACCCTGTCTCTAAAAAGAAGAAGAAGAAGAAGAGTAAGAGGAAAAGGAGGAGGAGGAGGAAGAGGAGGAAGAAGAAGAAGAAGGGAAGAAGAAGAAAAAGAAGGAGGAGGAGGAGGGGGAGGAGGAGGGGGAGGAGGAGGAAGAGGAGGAGGAGGAGGACGAGGGACATATGAGAGGAGGAGGAGGAAGAAGAAGGAGGAGGAGGGGGAGGAGGGGGAGGAGGGGGAGGAGGAGGAAGAGGAGGAGGACAAGGGACATATGAGAGGAGGAGAAGGAGGAAGAGAGACATATGAGAGCTTGCTTTCTTTCTCTCTGCTCTCTACCACGAGCACACCAGCAAGAAACCAGCATTCTGAAAACCAAGAAGCAGGCCCTCAGTAGATGCTGAATCTGCCTGCATCTAGATTTTGGACTTCCCAGCCTCCAGAACCGTGAGAGATAAACGTTTTTTGTTAAAACCACCCCGTCTATGGCATTTTTGCTATAGCAGTCTGAGCTAAGACAGTGCCCATCAGATGTCAAGCACTGTGCTGGGAAACAGGGGACATTAAGAGGACAAGACAGCCATGATCACTCCCCTCATGGCAGTTACGTCTTTCAGGTGAGATGATATCAAACAAATAGTCATTTAAATACTAATTATAGTAGTTCTAAATGCTAGAGGAACATGTATGGGGCACTATGGAAGCATTTAATAGGAGGAACCAGCTGGGTGTGATGGCTCGTGCCAGTAATCCCAGCACTTTGGGATGCCAGGGCAGGAGGATCATTTGAGCTCAGGACTTTGCAGCCAGCCTGGGCAACATAGTGAGACCCCACCTGTAAAAAAAATTTAAAAATTAGCTGGGTGTGGTGGTGCACACCGGTAATGTCGGCTACTTGGGAGGCTGAGGTAGGAGAATAGTTTGAGCCCAGGAGTTCGAGGCTGCAGTGAGCTATGATCTCATCACTGTACTCAAGCCTGGGCAACAGAGAGAGACATTGACTCTAAGAAAAAAAAAAACAAACCTAACCTCATCCAGGAGATCATGTTTATCTTGAGAAATGAGATTTAACCTGTGTTTTGGGCAGAATTATGTCCTCCCTCCCAAAATATGTGTTGAAATCCTAATCCCCAGTATCTCGGAATGTGACTGTACTTGAAGATGAGGCTTTACAAAGGTGACAAAGGTAAAAGGAGGCCATTAGGTGGGCCCTAATGGAATCTGACTGCTGTCCTTAGAAGAACAAGAAATTTGGCCACACAAGAGAGCCACCAGGAAGGCACACGCACAGAAGGATGACCATGTGAGGACACAGGGGAAAACAGCTGTCAACAAGCCAAGGAGAGAGGCTCAGGAGAAACCAACTCTGCTGACACCTGGATCTTGGACTTCCAGACTCCAGAATTATGAGAAAATACATTTCTGGTGTTTAAGGCCTGTAGTCTGTGGCATTTTGCATTGGCAGCCCCAGCAGACTAATACAAGTGAAAACCCAGGAGTCAGTAGGAGCTGCTTAGACTAAGGGGCATTGTAAGCCAAGGAAAGAACATCTGGTGTGATCCTCAAAGCCAGGAATAAAAGGCTCAGAGAAGAGTGTTTAGAAGTGTGGGCCCTGGAGGCCAATGGGCTGGATTCAAATCAACTGAACCTAGGGAAAGTCACATCACTCTCCGTATCTATTTTTTTCATCTGTAAAATGCAGTGGATTCTAGATTCTATTGTGGCATTGTCTGAGGGGGATTAACGAGCTGAGCTGTAAAGCGTTTAGTGCAGTGCCTGCCTGGCACGTAGTGCTGGAAATGCTCAAAATATCAATTATTGTCTGAGGATAGCTCGTCATCCTCAGAGTTTAGCTGGAATGTTACCTACCGTGGCGCGTCTTGACTGGTACTGTGCCAATCCAAGTAAAATCATTTTCTTTCCCTTGTTGGGAAGGAAGACCATCTGTCTTTAAAATCTGGATTCTCCATTTTGTATTACTGAAGTCTTGGATTTTGTCCTAATGTCTGTTGCTGTAGGCCTTGGAAACCTATCATTTGAAAAAAGAAGTAAAATTAGGCCTCTGGGGAGGGAGGACTGACTATGCTTTGGGAGGACTCATGAGGGTTTACAGGAATGGGAGCAGGGGAGGGGACACTGGCTCTGACAGGGATCTGGCCTCCGTTCCTGAGCACTCACCGCCTAGGAAGTGCTGGAGATGGGGCGGGAGGAGGGTGGGCAGGAAGCGGGATCATGCTGGGGCCACCACTAAGAGCCAACAACAGCCTTAGGGCCTCTGGAGGGGACACTGCCTTGCAATGCCAGGAGAGTCAGAAGTTCCTGGCCGGGTGCGGTGGTTCATGCCCGTCACCCCAGCACTCTGGGAGGCTGAGGTGGGTGGATCACTTGAGGCTAGGCGTTTGAGACCAGCCTGGTCAACATGGTCAAACCCTGTCTCTACAAAGAGTACAAAAATTAGCCAGGCATGGTGGTGGACGCCTGTAATCCCAGCTACTTGGGAGGCTGAGGCACGAGAATCGCTTGAACCTGGGAGGCAAAGGTTGCAGTGAGCCGAGATTGCACCACTGCACTCCAGCCTGGGTGACAGAATGAGACTCTGTCTGAAAAAAAAAAAAAAAAAAAAAAAAGAGGACTGGAAATCCAGCAGAATGGCAGTGCTAGGGGTACAGGTAGGATGGAGAGAAGCTCTTGCACTTCTTCCTCTGAGCCAGGTTGGGGTACTTTTTATGCATCCCAAATTAGAGACTTCAGGGGCAGAACAGCATGTTACCAGATAACCACATCATTATATCTTGTTCATCTGTAGATTACCTCACTGGACTCAGATCCTTAAGGACAAGTATTATGTCTTTTCTCTCTGCATCCTCCATGGCTAGCATAATGCGTAGTCTCTATTTATTTATTCTTATTTATTGTTATTTTTAAGAGACAAGGTTGCACTCTGTTGCAGAGGCTGGAGTGCAGCAGCACAATCATAGCTCACTGCAGCCTCAAGCTCTTGGGCTCAAGCGATCCTCCTGCCTTGGCCTCCTGAATAGCTGGGGCTATAGGCACTTGCCACTGTGCTGGCTTCTATTTGTTGCATAAAACCCTAACTTACAGATAAAGCATTTGAGGCTGAGTGATTGAGTGACTTACTTAAGGTCACATACCTGGTAGTGGAGTCATATCTAAAACCCAGAGTATCCACAGTGGAGCCTCTGTTCTTGCTGGCAAACACTTGAGGGCAGGAGTGTGTCTTATTCTTTCTCCCTGGTACCATGGCTAGGCTGCAGTTCATGGATCACAGGAAGAACCTGAGCAGTGTGGTAGGATCTAGAAGATTGGTTAGTGGGTTGATTGATAAAGCTGTTTGCATGAAGTCCAGAGCAGATAAACCATCCTCATCCTTCCAGGGCAACACCTACAGCCATTCTCATTCATTCATTCCAAAGATATTTGGGAAGAGGAATGTTCCATGTGTCAGCTTTTTTTTTTTTTTTTTTTTTTAACATATGTTTTAGTCTTTTACATTTATGCTCTGCAAGGCAGTGGAAACACCGCAGTTTTTTATTCATTTATTCAACATATATTTAGCAAATATCTACTGTATCCTAGAGATTCACTGGCTGGCTTTCTAAGTGCAAGTGGGTCAATCTCTCTGTGTTCCAGTTCATACATGCATAAATTGAGGACAATGATATCGATTGCCAGGTTAGCATTAAGTTTAAAAGAGGAAAGTACATGACATCTTGGGGTGTATTAATATCACTTAATCCTCTCACCAGGGTCAGTGACAACTATGATCAGTTGTCTCTTGAATTAATAATCGGTTGTCTCTAGAATTCAGTTCTCTCTTGCAGTGCCAGGGAGGCACTGGGTGCCTTCTGAAAAGCTGTTGATGCCTTGACTTAGTTTATTAAGTTATTGTGAAACAAGAGGGGAGGGACTTCTCTGGGCAGAGTCCTTCCTGTGCCTGGCACATGAATAATGCATAGGAAATATTTAGTCAGTCAATACAGTTACTCTGGCATCAATGCAGTTATTCTGGCCTCTGAAATGGATGGGACATTTTAATAATGCGAGAAAGGTGAGACTCATTACACACCTTTTCTTCTTCTGCCCATGATATCTTTCTATGCATTGGGAAAAGAAAGTTTCCTAGCCAAATGGGATTGTGTTGTTTCAGCATAAATTCTCTATCGGTTAGCAGCTGGGCATGGTGGCTCACACCTGTAATCCCAGCGCTTTGGGAGGCCAAGGCGGGTGGATCACTTGAGGCTAGGAGTTTGAGACCAGCCTGGCCAACATGGGTGAAACCCTGTCTCTACTAAAAATACAAAAATTAGCTGGGCATGGTGGCACACACCTGTAGTCCCAGCTACTTGGAAGGCTGAGGCAGGAGAATGCTTGAACCTGGGAGGTGGAGGTTGCAGTGAGCTGAGATTGCACCACTGCATTCCAGCCTGGGCAACGAGCGACACTGTCTCTAAAGAAAGAAAGAAAGAAATTCCCTATCATTTAGCATTACATTCATCTGCATGTAGTGGAAACATTTCTCCCCTCAACCCCCTATGTTTCCTAGGTAAGAGAAAATTCTATTTGTCATGTAAAAGATTAAAGTTAGGCATTCTAGGGTTGGTGTGACAGTTTCACAAAGCCATTAGAGAGTCCTCCCAACTTTACCTCTAGGATGGCCTCATGGCCCATGGTGACTGCTAGTGCTCCAGCCATCACATCTGTGTTCAAGACAGCAAATAGAGGAATGGGGAGATGAGATGAGCTTCCCTTCCCTTTTAAATAGACTTTTCTAAGTCCCATATCTTCCTGCTGACATCTCTTTGGTGAGAAATTGAACATATGTCCACACCTTATACAAGGAAGGCTGGGAAAGGAAGTGTTTCAGCTAGGCAGGAACTTGCTCAGCTAAAAATTGGGGTTCTGATACAAAGAAGGAAGGGACAGATGGATGTTTAAGGCAGGCAAATTGCAGGGTCTCTCACATCTTCCATTCTGGAGAAGGCGCATAGCTGTTTTTCCCTTCTGTGTTTCTCCCACCCTACGCAGGAACTGTCATTAATGTCTTCACATCTTACACTGAGGGAAACAGAAGTGATGACGCTGTGTTTTTCATCCCAGGCCAAAACGAAAGAAGAAATGGTGTCATTCTTCCACCTACATGCTCATGCTCTTTTTCTCAAATGTTCTGTTCCCTTCTCACACCTCTCCCTCCCTCTCTCTGTGCCTTTCCCAACACGTGCACAGAGCTCCTGTTAAATCTGCCCTCTGAACTGCAAAGAGATGGTTGCTGTCCCTGAAATTGATCACCGAATATTGTGTACTTGGTCCTTTGATATTCTCTGCTTGCCATGGACGCAGAGCATTTCATTTTGTTCAGGAGAAGCAGCCCCAAAGAAAGGGGGAGCCCTCTGTGCAGCGGGGTCTGCTGGATGAGGAACAGGGTTCTTGTCAGGATTGGGACCTGTGTTCATCCAGTTAATGATTACAGACAGTGCTCATCTCAAGACACTTCTGTTCTCTCATTTGGAGCACAGGGAATTAATGTTACCTTTCATACAAAATATGAAACCTCTTACCTTTCAAACAAAATGGATGGAGATTAATAACATAAGAAGTATTTGGGTGTCACAACATTTTGTAGGATGCCTATTATCTACTAATCTAATTATTGACTATGGCAGAATTGAAGCCAGCATTTGAAATGGTGGTTGGGGTGAGGGGCTGGGCTGGAGAAAGACCAGAAGGCCTGGCTAAGCCCGGTGCAGCCATTAGATTCTGGGTGAAGTGGGCTGTGCCTTCATCCTTCAAATGACCATGAGATTGTCTACTTCACAGCACCCTTTGAGCACAGAATTAGGTAACACATGGGAAACCCTAACAGAGGACTTGGCACATAGCAAGGACTCAGTGATTGATTTGTTCCTTTTTCCTAGAGGGGAAGAGTAGAGAATAAAGGGACAAGAATAGAAGGAAGAGATGAGTTGAGGAGTTGAAGTGGGAGCTGTTTTAAGTAGGTCCTTACCAACTCAGTAGTCGAATTCAATTAAGCTCTCAGAAACAAGCAAACACGCCATCCATTCTACTTTATGTCATCGTACTCCAAGACCAATTCTGTTCAACAGACAGCTCATTTATAAAACGTTACATATCAAGGAGTTATTTTTTTAAACTGCTAAGCTCTAAATACTTTTTTCTAGGTTAAACATAAGATTAGAGTCATTTTTTTTAAAAATGAAACCTTCCGAACAGCATTTCATTTTCCAAAAAGGAAACCAACAGTAAAGAATTTCAGTGTCTATTTTACACTGCTAATCAGTTTTTCCTCTCCTCTGTCATTCCACTTTCTCTCCCTACCCTGAAAGATGGTGACCAAGCTTCAAAAGTATCTAAATCACAGGGCTGGGCGTGGTGGCTCATGCCTGTAATCTCAGCAGTTTGAGAGGCCAAGGCGGGCAGATCACTTGAGGTCAGGAGTTCAAGACCAGCCTGACCAACGTGGAGAAACCCCGTCTCTACAAAAAATACAAAAAAATTAGCTGGGTGTGGTGGCGCATGCCTGTAGTCCCAGCTACTCAGGAGTCTGAGGCAGGAGAATCACTTGAACTTGGGAGGTAGAGGTTGCAGTGAGCTGAGATTGCACTACTGCACTCCAGCCTGGGCGACAGACTGAGACCCTGTCTCAAAAAAAAAAAAAAAAAAAAAAAGTATCTGGATTACTAAGGTGCCAGCATGGGTCTGCAATGAGCTTCTGTGAACCCCTCCAACCTTGGTGCCCCCAAGGCCAGGACTCTCAGGGATTCCCCAGCTGCCCCAAGGTGCTCACCCAGGAAAACATGTTGTGCCGCTCTGCCCACTGCCCACAGCTGGTGCATCAAGTCTGCCTGCTGTCCCACATGCAGGTGTGTGGGAAAGGGGCAGCAGGAGAAAGAATTCAAATGACTCATAGCAGAAGCATCCTTGCTACTGTGCCTGCAAACTGCAGCCTGCGGAGAACCAGGGAACATCATCTTTCTACATTTAATTATGCAGCCTTGGAAAAAAGATGGAGAAGTGAACACTTAACTCAAAGCCGTCAGGGTATGAAATGAGCTTGTGTCAAAGGGTCCAATACGCGAACAGCCTAGAGGATGTGTTCATGTGGCTCCCAGCCCCGAACTTCAGCCCCCAATTCTCTATGCATTCCTTTGGCAAACGTTATGGAAAGTCTATAGAGTTCCTGGCATGTTTGCATACATTATTTTATCTTGTGCAAAATTTAAGGGGGTGCCTCCCCCAAAACACTCTTACTCAGTAATCAAGATGAATAATATTCAATCCCATATTTAAGGTAATAAATAAATGCAAAAAGTTAATGATGAGAAAATGACCAACATTTTATTTCATTTTTATTTGTACAAAGTTATGGGGTAGAAGTGCAATTTTGTTACACGCATAGATTGTGTAGTGGTCAAGTCAAGGCTTTTAGGATACGCAACACCCAAATAACGTACATTGTACCTATTAAGTAATGTATCATCATCCAGCCCCCTCAAAAGTTTAAATAAAGACGACGTATCAGTCTTGATGATTTGTTGTTTCTTTTGCCTCAGCTCCTTAATGGCTGGTCATTTTTTTATTACACCCTTGGCGTAGGGTGTGGAATGGCATTTTGTAGACAAAATGATTGCACGTCCAATGAGCTGGGGAATTTACTCTAGCCAAAGTGGAGACCCAGGATTTGAACCTGGGACTTTTGACTCCCTTGTGCCCTTATAAAACTAGCCACCGGCCTGGTTTTGTGGCACCGACATCTTTAGCACTAATGCCTTCTTCAAACGATTTGTTAATGTGTGTTCCAGGCAGCCCGCACCCTTTGCCTCTGAAATAACTACTTTTTGGAGGTGCCAGAGGAGAGAATCGGTGGAGCGCCCTCCTGGAGTGGGATCACAGCACCACCCAAGCCTAGAATCGTCATCTTCTGGGTAAGCAAAACATTTACTTCTCTGTGAATAACCAAGTCAGCCTGTGAGTCCCTAAAGCCATTTGACCCTTCCCATAAGCGTCTCACTGGTGGAATGCGAGGCTGACCATGGAATCAGTTAGAGTAATAGCAAATACTAGAATTCATTCTAAGCGAGATTACCATTCAGGTCACGAAGTCGGGGGACTCAGCGGAGGCTTTGCGCGCAGCCTTTTCAAGGGAAAGCAGCCTGTAGAAATCCGTGCTTTGCTTCCTGCACGGCGGGTAGAGCAGCGGGAGGAGGGGAGGCTTCCCAGTTGGCCGCGGGACCCGCTTCCCCAGGTGCCCGGATCGTTTGGCGTGGAACTGCTCCAGGGTCTGGTCTGGACGCGGGGGCGCCACGCCCGGCTCCCGCTGTCGTCGCCGCTCGCACACTGCTACATACGGTGCTCCAGGGGCCCGGCCCTGCCCTGCCGCCGGCGCCTCGCCTTGGAGCAAAGGCAGCTCTAGCGCCCTGACAAGATCCCAGCAGAGGCCTCCCGGATTCATCACCACAACTCAGGCTTCACCTTCCCCTGGGTAACTGAAGGCTTTAACTAAAGCCCTGGTCTCACTTTACCTGCCTTATCCCACCACCAGAGTTGTTGTTGTTGTTGGGGTCTTGCTATGTTGCTCAGGCTGGCCTTGAGCTCCTGGGCTCAAACCATCCCCCCATGTCAGCCTCCCGAGTTGCTGGGTGAGCCAGGCTGTTGGTAAGCTAGGTGCATGAACCCGGGTGCCTGGTTTAGAGACTTTCACTTTGGTAGGCGAGTGAGACTCCCTCTCCAAGTGCATCTTTAGGACCCAGTAAATTCAACTTACATCACCAAGCTATGGCCCCCTTTGCTCTCCTGCTTATCGTCATAATCAAAATGATTGCTCCACTTTACTGAGCAGTCCCCAGGTAGCAGGCTCAGTGTCAGGGATCATTTTGCAGGCATCATTGTGTTTAACTTCCTCCAAACCCTTTAAGTTAGGTGCTGTTATTATCTTCATGCTATAGATGAAGAAAAAGGCCTAGAAATATTGTAAATGTATCTATCCAACTCACTCAGCTGGTAAGTGGCTGTATCAGATTTTTATTTTTATTTTTTTTAGCTGGAGTCTCGCTCTGTCACCCGGGATGAAGTGCAGTGGTGCCATCTCGGCTCACTGCAACCTTCGCCTCCTGGATTCAAGCGATTCTCCTTCCTCAGCCTCCTGAGTGGCTGGGATTACAGGTGCCCGGCACCATGCCCAGCTAATTTTTGTGTTTTTCAGTAGAGACAGGGTTTCATCATGTTGGCCAGGCTGGTCTCGAACTCCTGACCTCAAGTGATCCACCCGCCTCGGCCTCTCAAAGTGCTGGGATTACTGGCTTGAGCCACCGCTGGCCTGGTGTCAGGTTTCAAATCCAAGTGGGAGAATTCCAGGGCCCAGACACTTACTCAGATAACATCCTCTGCAAGGCTGTGTCGGATCTCGTTCAATCCTCACATACTGAGCATCTGCTCCAGGCCATGTGCTCTGCTTCGGGCTTGCTGAATTCTTACAACAGCTGCGTCAAGTACACACACATGTTAAAACGATTTTGCAGATAAAGAAAACTAGGCTCAAGATGTTACTAGTCTTTTCTTCTGTTGGATGTTGAGTCTGGATGCATGCCTGGGGTTGGATAGAAAGATGGAAAGAACTTGGACCATTGATGATATCATTGAGGCACCGCACTAATGAGCTACCTAGAGCCAACGTACCTCTGGATTTCTTGTCCTGAGAACAGGCAAACATACTCGTTATTTTTAAGGATTTGATTTATTGTTTCTGTTACTTGTGGATGGAAGCAGCCCAGCTGACAGAACTGGGATTCAAACACCAGTTAATCAGACTTCAAGAATGATTGGACATGTTTTGCAGACCATCGTCCTATCTTGTATCATAAAATTATTAAAAAGTGGCAAGTTCCTCGGGCGTGGGGTGATTTTTACACGTGGAACATTATGGTGGAAAGAGTCAGGAGGCTTAGAATTTAATCCTGGCTCTTCCTAGGTTGCTTATTGACCCACGAGGGAGATAAGACACCAGTGAATGAGATGGTAAGGATTGAGTGGTCAAGCCAGTGAATGTTTTAGAAAGTGTTAAAAATCATAGAAATTAAACATCTGGACAATGGGTTTTCTGCAAAGGTAAAAGATCTAGAAAAAAACCCCAAAAACAAACAAACAAACAAAAACAAAGCCATAGCCCCTGCTTAGTAACAGAATGCTCTTTGTTCCAAAGTCTGCACAGATGCTCATTACATCCATATCCAGTCCCATCCAGAGCCCTAGTGAAATGAACAGTGTCATACAGTAGCAGAGAGGGGCAACTGGACCACTGCTTGCCATGATTGGCATGCTTGGGTTTATAAAACAAACATGCTATTTAATAATACATCATTACTATATACCTGTTACCAGTTTTCAAAGAGATATGATTCTGTCAAGTTTAGCTCATGGTGTAACCACACAGAATAGTGAATAATTTTCCTTCGCTGACTGAGCAAGATTTCCCCCTTAGAACTGTGCAGGGTCATGGGTCAGCTGTGATCATCATTGCAGGGTGGTATGGAATATAATGATTTCAGGGTGATGGAGTGCAAAATATGCCCACTTTCACTTAATAATGATTTCCAGGAACACATTTTAATAGCTTGGGCTAATAAGCTAGTAAACAGATCCTGTGCATGCTTGAACCAAGTGGCTTTGACAGCCTTGCCCCTAGAGAATCAAGGCCCCGCAGAGCTGGTGGGCTGAACCAACTCTGATACATAGAAAGGCAGGTTGAGAGCCAGATCATGTCACAGTCCTGGGTTTTATTTATTTATTAATTTTTAATTTTTTTATTTTTTTGAGACCGAGTCTCACTCTGTCACCTAGGCTGGAGTACAGTGGTGCACTGCACTCTCAGCTCACTGCAAATCTCTGCCTCCTGAGTTGAAGTGATTCTCTGCCTCAGCCTCCCAAATAACTGGGATTACAAATGTGCACCACCATGCTTGGTTAATTTTTGTATTTTTAGTAGAGATGGGGTTTCACCATGATGGCCAGGCTGGTCTTGAACTCCTGGCTTCAAGTGATCCGCCCGCCTCAGCCTCCCAAAGTGCTGGGATTACAGGCGTGAGCCACCACACCCAGCCACAATCCTGTCTTTTATATAAGTTGTATTACTGCCTGTGCCTGCGTTCACTCATCTATTTATAGAATGGGGCATTAGAGTCAGCCCTCTGTGGGTTTGGCATTTCTGGACTTAACCAACCACAGATCGAAACTGTTTGGAAAAAAAATTGTGTCTGTACTGAACATGTACAGACTTTTTTATTATTATTCCCTAAACAATACAGCACAACAACTATATACATGGCATTTGTGTTGTATTATGTATTATGAATAATCTAGGGATGACTTAAAGTATAGAGGAGGATGTGTGTAGATTATATGCAAATACTATGCCACTTGATATCAGGCACTTGAGCATCCTCAAATTTTGGTATCTGCAGGGGTTCCTGGAATGGTGTCGCACATGGATACTGATAGGCAGCTGTATGCTTCTTTGTTTCCCAGAAAGTTGTAGAGGGTAATTTTGTCTGTAAAGTAGTTTGAGATATAGGCATCATGCGAATATGTGTCTTTACCTGTACTGTTTATTTTCTTCAGATAGTGAGGCCATTCCGAAATGAATGTTCAGTTCCCAATCCTACAAACAAGTGGCAAATTAATAACAATAATAACAGTGCTCCAAGTCAGAAGTTTAAAGCTTACAAAATCAATAAAGATCCATTTCAGAATTTCACAAGTGTGTAGTCTCTGAAAGGTTGGCTTTAAAATCACTTGGAGGAGGTACCTTACTTACAATATCTATGTCCGGGCCTCACACCAAGCCTATTGGATCAGAATGGGGTGTAGGGACAGGACCTAGAAATCTGCCTATGACAATCTCCTCCGATGAATCTTGGGATGAATACTAGGGTTTTAGAGAGGCTGGTTTAGCCCTTGGAAAACAAAATAGCATGAAACCTGAAGTGTCATTCATGTATCAAGGACATTCAATTACAGGATATAGTAGTGGAAAGCTTCTACTCCCATACATCGTTCTTTAGCCCCAGTGCAGAGGGCTACCGAATGAGCTCCATCCCTTGGGAGGAACATCTGCCTGTAAGCACTGGCCTGGGCCAGGCAGTTCAGGGTGGGTTGCCAGTTCAGTGATTTGTGTAAGCTGATACACTCAGGGGTGGGGAAGGGCAGAGCTCCCACTAACCTCGTCAGCCCTCACTCCGTCCTCAGAACTCAACCCAGCCATTGCTTCCTCTGGACAGCCTTTCCTTACCTTTGTTGCTCTGGTTTAATTTTGTTTATTATTCTGAAATTATTTTTCATTGTGGTAAAATACATTTAACTTAGAGTTTACAATCATAACCATTTTTTTAGGTATACAATTCAGCAGTTGTAAGTACATTCACATTGTTGTGCAACCATCACCATCGTCTATTTCCAGACCTCCTTTCTTACTGCAGAACTGACACTCTGCACCCGTTAAACACCAACTCCCATTTCCCCTTTCCTCCAGCCTCTGGCAACCCCCGTTCCACTTTTTGTCCCTATGAATTTGAGTCCTCTAGGGACCTCATGTAAGTGGAATCTTGCAGTATTTGGGTTTTTGTGAGTGGCTTATTTTACTAAACATAATGTCCTCAAGTTCCATCCATGTCGTAGAATGGGTCAGAATTTTCCTACTTTTTAAAGCTAAATATTCCGTGATACACCAGACTTTGCTTACCCATTCTTCCATCAATGGACACTTGGATTGCTTCCACTTTTCAGCTATTGGGAATAATGCTGCTGTGAACATGGGCGTGCAAATATCTCTTTGAGACCCTGTTCTCAATTCTTTTGGGTATCTACCTTGAAGTGGGATTGCTGGATCATATAGCAATTCTATTTTTACTTTTTTGAGGAACTGTCATCCTGTTTCCCATGACAGCCCCCTAGAGTAAGGTAATTTTCCATTGATTTATGTAATTATTTGATTGTCTGTCTTCCTACCATGAGTGCAGGGACTTTGTTTATTTTTGCTGCCTTAGCTCCTGTATCTCTGTATCTAGAGTGATGCCTCGGACATGGTAGTTCCTGAAATACCTGATGAATGAATGAATGAATGAGTCAGCCTAATATGAACACAGCATTGTATAGAGGCCGCCTCTGCACTTAATGAGTTTACAAATTAGTTGGTGAGACATGACACACACAAGGCAGTGAGTAAATATAAGAAGGATATAATTATGTACTAAACCCTAAACTGTGGTTGTGTTTTTAAGCATGAGAGGAATTGAGAGAAGTAGAAATTTTTGTGGGTGGGAACAGTCGAGGAAAAATAGGTGGGTTTTGAATAAAATGAAGGAAGGCAGTTTAGGAAGAGGAAAGAGTTTCCTTCCTCTTCTCTCCTAGCACTATTGAAGTATAATTGACAAATTAAAAATTACGTATATTTAAGGTATACAATGTGATGATTTGATATATGCACACATTGTGAAATAATCACCACAATCAAGCTAATTAATATATCTGCCATCACACATAGCTATCATTTTCTTTCTTTTTTTTTGGTCTTGAGAACACTTAAGATCTACCTGTCTAGCAAATTTCAAATATACATTACCATATTGTCAACTATATTCATTATCAGTACCCTAGATCTCCAGAACCTATTCTTCCTGTATAACTGAAACTTTGCACCCCTTGACCAATATCTCCCCGTCTCCCCATTTTCCCTGTCTCCAGCCCCTGGTAACCATCCCTCTACTCTCTGCTTCTGTGAGTTTGACTTTTTTTTACACTCCCCATATGAGTGAGATCATGCAGTATTTGTGTTTCTGAGCCTGGCTTATTTCACTTAGCACAATGTCCCTCTAGGTTCATCCACATTGTCACAAATAACAGGATTTCTTTCTTTTTTAAAGCTGAACAGTTCTCCATAATGTATATATACCACGTTTTCTTTACCCATCCATCCATTGATGGACACTTAGGTAGCTTTCACATCTTGGCTATTGTGAACAGTGCTGCAGCCAACATAAGAGTGCGTGTATCTCTTTGATATACTGATTTCATTTCCTTTGGGTAGATACTCATTATTGGGATTGCTGGATCTTATGGTGCTCTATTTTTAAATTTTTGAGAAACTTTCATATTGCTTCCCATAATGGCTGCGTCGGTTTTCATTCCCACCAATAGTGTGCAAGGGGATGAAGCCACCTTCACTTGTGATTCTTTCTTGGAGGCCCACTTTGGAGGGTGAGGTACAGGGTTAGCTAAGGAGTCTGAAGACATCAGCCTAGGGACAGCTGTATGCAATGTGAATTAGACGTGAGCAAAGGTCCAAAGCAAGCTACCAGAGGAGCTTGCTGTCTCAGAGGGTGCTGCTATGGGGAATGCAGGAACTAGCCCCTGCTTGAGAATTCAGCAGGCAGGCAGTGAAGGGGGATCTATCAGTTCTCCCTACGGGAAGCAGAGCAGGAGCCCACACTCTGGCTGAGGGACTGGAAAAACAAGGCTTGGCCCTGTCTAACAGGGCTGGGGCAGAGGCAGAACTGGAAACAGGGATCAGGATCAAAGATTCATCTACAGGACTCAGAGGTATGATAAAAACCAGCCCCAAAAGCTGTGAGCTGGGGCTAGCTTCACCCTGAAACATCACACATCCATGCAATAGGAAGAATTCTTCATGCTAAGGAGCTGCAGCCATGAAAGTCCTTTTTGCCCTTTTTTTCTCAGTTGGGATGGGCTCTGCAGCTTGGCAAGACTGAGGCTACAAGAAGGCAGAGGAGTCAGCTCAGCTCTGGAGTGGGAAGGCTGGGAGAGGCAGATGCAGAGGGAGAGGAGCAGGTGTCAAGATTCATATGCAAACAGGGAGCAAACAAGGTGTGTGGGGAGTGAGGTGAGAAGAGAGGGCTGGCTGGCTGAGAAGGCAGGGACTGGGTATAACCAGGAACTGAGATGAAATAGAGGCTGATGTTCAGACAGGGTGTGGGAGGCCTGGAAGTCACATGGAGACACTCCTATTTCACTTTCCTCCTCCTCAAGTTAGGAGAGCCAAAATATCACTGCTTTAACATCCAAGTTTGGAATTCTTAGGGTACAGAATGATCTGCTTAACAAAGATCCCAAGGGACCAGCTTGAACCTGAAAAATTAGAACTGAGGGCCTGTGTGGCCAGGGCGAGGTGTGAGTCAGACTCCGTTAATTGGCTCTGCAAGGAAATGAACAGAATTTTGGGTTTGAGGAGTGAGAAAACTCTGGACGGACTCTAGGGAAAAGAGGATGTCTTAGTCTGTTCAGGCAGCTATAACAAAATGCCATAAACTGGGTGGCTTATAAACAAGGAAATTTATTGCTTGCAGTTATGGAGGCTGGGAAGTCCAAGATCAGTGTCTGGGGAGATCTCCTCTTGGTTCATAGGCAGCACCTTCTTGTTGTGCTCTCACATAGTGGATGGGGAAGAGGAATCTCTCTTATAAAAGCACTGATCCCAAGCATGAGGACTCCGCCTTTATGACCCAATCACCTCCCAAAGTCGTGATCTCGGCTCACTGGAACCTCCACCTCCTGGGTTCAAGTGATTCTCGTGCCTCAGTCTCCCAAGTAGCTGGGTCTCCAGGTGCACACCACCACACCCGACTAATTTTTGTATTTTTATTAGCGATGAGATTTCACCATGTTGGCCAGGCTGGTCTTGAGCTCCCAACCTCATGTGATCCACCTGTCTCAGCCTCCCAAAGTGCCTGGATTACAAGTGTGAGCCACTGTGCCTGGTCCCAAAGTCCCCACTTCTTAATACCATCATGTTGGGGGTTAGGATTTCAACATATGAATTTCGGGAGGGCAAAAAACATTCAGACCATAGCAGGGGGTGTTGTAGTTTGGCTTTTCTTTTGTTTTTTATTTTTTTTCTTTTTGAGACTGAGTCTCGCTCTGTCGCCCAGGCTGGATTACAATGGTATGATCTTGGCTCACTGCAACCTCCACCTCCCAGGTTCAAACAATTCTTCTGTCTCAGCCTCCCAAGTAGCTGGGATTACAGCCTCATGCCACCACGCCTGGCTGATTTTTTTGTATTTTAGTAGAGATGGGGTTTCACCATGTTGCCCAGGCTGGTCTCGAACTCCTGAGCTCAGGCAATCCACCTGCCTCAGCTTCCCGAAGTGCTAGGATTACAGGCGTGAGCCACCACGCCCAGCCTGTAGTTTGGGTTTTCTAGGAGTTAGATCCTAAGACAGAGTTTAATGACCAGGATGTCTGTTAAAGAGGGCCCTTGGGATCAAGATTATAGGAGAAAAGAAGCTGAGCCTTGTTGCAGGCCTCACAACCTCAGGAGACCCTATGGGGCCATCTAGGGCTGAAATGGCCTGTTAGAGTTGTCCCCACTTGGGCTGAAATGGCTGGGCCTTCATATGTCCTCTTTTATCAGTCACTCGACGTGAGCCACCTCATGTGATGACCTTGGGTGTGACCTTGGGTGAAGTGGTACTGCAACTGAGGCAGACCATGGAAAGGATGACAGGTGGAGGTTGTCTACTCACCATTCTCACAGTGGGGACAATAGGCCCTTTCTTTAAGGTGATCTGGGCTCTGTGTCATTGGGTCCAATGTGGGGCATTGGGGCTTTGAAACTAGAGACTGACCAAGACGGTGCTTAGTCCATTCGGGCTGCCATAACAAAACACTTTAGACTGGGCAACTTGTGAACAGCAGAAATTTATCAGTCACAGTTCTGGAGCTTGGAAAGTCCAAAATCAAGGTGCCATCATATTCAGTGTCTGGTGAGGGCTTATTCCTCATCGGTGGCGCCTTCTTGTGGTGTCCTGACATGGTGGAAGGGGCAAAAGGCACAAGGGAACTCTCATATCCAGGGATAAAGGCACAATCCAATCAAAAGGCTCCACCCTCATGACCTAGTCACTTCCCAAAGGCCCCACCTCCTAATACTGTCACCTTGTGCGTTAGGTTTTAATATGTGAATTTTGAGGTCGACAAACATTCAGACCATAGCAGAGGGTTGCAAGGGACAGTTCCTCAGTAGTAGGAATGTCTAAGACAGCATTAAGAACTGAAGAGATTAGTCCCAGCTACTTGGGAGGTTTAGGTGGGAAGATCGCTTGAGCTCAGAGTTGGAGGCTGCAGTGAGCTACGATCGGACTCCTGCACTCCAGCTTGGGTGACAGAGAGAGACCCTGCCTCAAAACAATAGAAAAGAACTGAAGAGATTAATGTTCAATTTTAGACTATTTGTGGCATCCCATAAAACACTGAGCCCACCACACTTCATGTTCCTCTGGCGTGTCCTTCACACAGCCGTGAGTTGGTGGTACCTTGAGGACTGATGGCCTGGAGGCAGTGATGAGTTGGATGAGATGGTGCAGAAGAGGACAGCACAGAGAAGGCAACATGCAAAGCAGAGCTCCTGCTTCTAAGCCCTGTAAGCCGCAAGTGACTAGGAGAAACTTCAGGCCGCCTCATCACCTCCCATTCCCACTCCAAGAATCCCTGCAGATGTTGGGATGGGCACTTGGTTTTACAATATATGCCTTAGTCAGTCAGGCTGTTATAACAAAATACCATAAACTGGGCACCTTATAAACAACAGAAATTTATTTCTCACAGTTTTGGAGGCTGGAAGTCTAAGATCAAGGTGCCAGCAGGGCCTCCTTTCTGATCTTCCTGGGTCCCCTTCTGTGTCCTCACCTGGTGGAAGGGCCAAGGCAGCTCTCTGGGGCCTCTTTTATAAGGCCACTAATCTCATTAATGAAGGCTCTGTCCTAATGACCTAGTCACTGCTCCAAGGCCTCCTCTCCTAACACCATCACATTGATGACTAGTTTTCAATATACGAATTTGGAGGGGACACAAACACCCAGAACATGATATTCTATCCTAGGCTCCCCAAAATTCATGTCCTTTTTGCATACAAAATGCATTCATTCCACCGCAATTACTCCCAAAGTCTTAACTTGTTCCAGCTTCAACTTTAAAGTCTAAGACCAAAGACTCATCTAAATATCATCTGAATCAAATATGGTGAGACTCAAGGTATGGTTCAGTCTGAGGTAAATTGCCCTATAGTTGTGAACCTGTGAAATCAAGCAAGTTATGTGTTTCTAAAATACAGTGGTGGGACTGGCATATGGTGGACATTCCTATTCCAAAAGGGGAAAATAGGAAAGAAGAAAAAGGTAAGAGTTCCCAAGTAAGTCCAAAACCCAACAGGGCAAACAACATTAAATCTTAAGCCTCAAGAATAATCTTCTTGGCCAGGTGCGGTGGCTCAGACCTGTAATTCCAGCACTTTTGAAGGCTGAGGTGGGAAGATTGCTTGAGGCCAGGAGCTCAAGACCAGCCTGGGCAACATAGTGAGACCTCTTTTCTACAAAAAATTAAAAAAAAAATTCTGGGTGTGGTGGTGCATGCCTGTAATGCTGGCTACTCAGAAGGATGAGATGAGAGGATCACTTGGGCCCTGGTGATTGAGGCTGCAGTGAGCAGTATTTGTGCCACTGTACTCCAGCCTGGACAACAAAGTCAGACCCTGTCAAAAAGAAATAATAATAATTTTCTTCTTTGACTTGATGTCCTGCTTTCTAAACACACTGTCATGGGAGTTGGGTCCCAGGTGGCCCCACCCTTATGGCTTTGCTAGGTGCATCCCATACCACAGCTTACTTGGGTTGGAGTTGCTTGTCTGTGGCTCTCCCATACTGGAATTGCAAGCACGTGAGTCTATCAGTCTAGAGTCATGAGGGCAGCTTTGCTCCCATGGCTCCACTGGGCATTGCCCTGCCCTCATAGTGGCCCTCTACCTGAGTCATACATCCAAGAGACTCTATTCTTTAAAATCTAAGTGGAGGTAGCCCTTCCCCCATGGCTCATGCATGCCAACTGCTGGCAAAGATGGCACCACACAGGTGCCACCCAGGGTGACTTTTCTGTGCCCTCCAGAGAGGTAACCACCACAGCCCGTACTGCAACTGGGCTTACTGGAGCCATTCCTAGGGTGGCTGAGCAGCACTGTGCCTGCATGCAGGGAGCAGAGCCTTGAAATTGTTCTGCCCCATCCTAAGCTCTTATACTCTGGGCTTCTGATAAAAGGGTCAACCCCAATGAACTCCAATGCCTTCAGGGTCAATTATTCCATTGCCTTGTTAAATAACACTTGGCCTCTGTTGAGATGGCAGATCCATATTAGTCTCCTTATTGGTTGCTTGGCCACACTCTTGTTCTTTCTCATTTCCTTCAATATGGATAGGCTGAGAATTTTCCAAATTTTAAAGTTCTGCTTTCCTTTTGATTAAAAATGTCATCTTTAAATCATTTGTCTCTTCTTGCATTTTATTATAGTCATTCAAAAGAAACCAAGACAAACCTTCAACATGTTGCTTAGAAATTTCTTCAGCTAAATATACTATTTTATTGCTTGCAAGTTCTACCTTCCACAAAACACTATGATGTGAACACAATTCAGCCAAGTTCTTTGCCACTTTATAACAGAGGTAGGCTTTTGTCCATTGTCCAAGAACATATTGTTCATTTCCATTTGAGACCTCATCAGAATGGTCCTTACTGTCCATATTTCTACCAACATTCTGATCATAACCACTTGAATATTCTCTGAGAAGTTTGGGGCTTTCTCTACAGTTCTCCTTTTTTCTTTTTAGGCCCTCAACAGAATTACCCTTTAAGTCCATTCATTGCACAGTAGGCTTTTTCTAATATGCAACTCAAAACTCTCCCAGCCTCTCCTCATTACCCAGGTCCAGAGCCACTTTCACATTTTAAGGTATTTGTTACAGCAGCACCCCCACTTCTCAGTGCTAATTTTCTGTCTTAGTCCATTCAGGCAACAATCGCAAAATACTGTAGACTGGGTGGCTTATAAAAAACAGAAATTTGTTTCTCAGAGTTCTGGAAGCTGGGAAGTACATGATCAAGGAATTGGCAGCTTGAGTGTCTAGTGGAATCCTGCTTTCTAATTCATAGATGATGTCTTCTTGCTGTGTCCTCACATGGATGAAGCGGCAAGGCAGATCTCTGCCTTCATGATCCAATCACCTCCCAAAGGCCCCATCTCCTGATACCATCACATTAGCAGTTAGGTTTCAACATATGAATTTGGGGGGAACAAAAGCATTCAGGCCATATATAGTACCATATCTAGGATGAGTGTTTGAGCTGATTTAAAAAATTGTATTATGAAGCGCAAGAAAACTCTAGCAAGGTAGAAGACTTGGAAATATTGAGGGGCTGATATATATCTGGGCTATTGTGGTAACCAGCTTCGAAAGAGGCCCTCAATGATGCTTGCCCCTTGGCATTCAAACACCTGTGCAGTCTTCTCCCACACCAAATAGAGCTGACCTGTATAATTAATAGGATATTACAGAAATAATGGTGTCTGACTTCCTTTTTTTTTGAAACAGAGTCTCACTCTTTCACCGAAGCTGGAATGCAGTGACGTGATCTCGGCTCACTGCAACCTCCGCCTCCTGGGTTCAAGTAATTCTCCTGCCTCAGCCTCCCAAGCAGCTGGGATTACAGGCACACACCACCACTCCCAGCTAATTTTTGTATTTTTAGTAGAGACGGGGTTTCACCAGGTTTGCCAGGCTGGTCTTGAACTCGTGACCTCAGGCGATCCATCCCCCACAAAGTGTTGGGATTACAGGCATGAGCCACCATGCCTGGCCAATGGTGTGTGACTTCTGAGGCTAGGAAATAATAACACATTGTGACTTCCACCTTGCTACCTCTTGGATGGCTCCTTCTGGGGAAGCCAGCTGCCATGTTGTGAGGACACTCAAGCAGTCCTCTGGAGAGGGCCATGTGACAAGGAACTGAGATCTACCAATAGCAAGTGCAAACACCAATTTGCCAATGATGAAACTTGAAATCATATCCTCTAGCCCCTGTCAAACCTTCACTGACTACATCCCTGGTTGTCAACTTGACTGTGATCTCAAGTAACAACATCACACAGATTTTCATGAGCCGTGAGCCAGAAACACCCACCTGATGTGCTCCTGTGTCTTTGACCCACAGAAACCATGAGAAATGGTACACAGTGTGACAATGTTTATTGGTATTCTAAGCCATTAAGTTTTGGGGTAATCTGTTACTGATCTATAGCCAGATAATATATTACGCTCTCAGTCAAAATTCTTTGTGGATAATTATCTCAACTCTCTGGGCTACCCCCACTCCCACATACACTTTGTGTGTTGTGCTCAGAGAGTAGTGTGTTCCCTTTTCTTCCAGAGCCTCTAAGTACTATTTCAAGAACACTTTTCTTTTCTTTCTTTTTTTTTTTTGTTTGAGATGGAGTCTCACTCTTTCACCAGGCTGGAGTGCAGTGGCACAATCTCGGCTCACCACAACCTCTGCCTCCTGGTTCAAGTGACTCTCCTGCCTCAGCCTCCTGAGTAGCTGGGACTACAGGCGTGTGCCACCACACCCAGCTAATTTTTGTATTTTTAGTAGAGATGGGGTTTCACTATGTTGGCCAGGTTGGTCTCGAACTCCCTACTTCGTGATCTACCCACCTCAGCCTCCCAAAGTGCTGGGATTACAGGTGTGAGCCACTGCGCCCGGCCCTTCAAAAACACTTTTCAAAGGTTGCTGTGCACTGAAGCAACCTAAACACTTAATTCCAGATCCCTGAGTCCTATGTATTTCTAATGTAGACCAATCACAGAAAAAACGAAAACATTTCCTTGCAAACATGAGATATTTGTTCAATTCCCATCCATTAAAAAGCAACTTTTGAGTTTGTTTTATCACAAATTTTAAAAATCTTAGAAATATGACATTCCAATATGTTTACAACAGATATTATTTTGAAATTTTTTAATTTTTTCTTGATGGAAACTTTAATGAGAAAGAGTCAGCTTTTTTATGGTTAACTATAATTTATTGTACATTTTCTTCTTTAACTTTTATTTTAAGTTCAGAGTACATGTGCTGGTTTGTTATATAGGTAAACTTGTGTCATGGGGGTTTATTGTACAGATTATCAGGTATTAAGCCTAGTACTCATTATTTTTCTTAATCCTCTCCCTCCTCGAATCCTTCACCCTCTCATAGGCCCAACTGTCTGTTTGTCCCCTCTATGTGTCCATGTGTTCTCATCATTTAGCTCCCACTTATAAGTGAGAACATGCGGTACGTGGTTTTCTGCTCCTGCATTAGTTTGCTAAGGATAATGGCCTCCAGCTCCATCCATGTTCCTGCAAAACACATGAACTTGCTTTTTTATGGCTGAATAGTGGTGCATCCATGGTGTATACATGCCAAAATACATCCATGGTGTATATGTACCACATTTTCTTTATCCAATCTACTGTTGATGGGCATTTAGATTGATTCCATGTCTTTGCTATTGTGCTGCAGTGAACGTACGCATGTATGTGTCTTTATGATAGAACTATTTATATTCCTTTGGGTATACACCCAGTAATGGGATTGCTGGGTCAAATGGTATTTCTGTTTTTAGGTCTTTGAGGAATTGTCACACTATATTGTCCACAATATATTGTCCACTATATTGTCCACAATAGTTGAACTAAATTACTCTCCCACCAACAATGTGTTGCTCTTTAGTTTAATTAGATCCCGTTTGTCAATTTTTGCTTTTGTTGCATTTGCTTTTGGCATTTTCATCATGAAATCTTTGCGTGTTCCTATGTCCAGAATGGTATTGCCTCGCTTATCTCCCAGGGTTTTTATAGTTTTGGGTTTTATATTTCAATCTTTAATCCATCTTGAGTTAATTTTTGTATACGGTATAAAGAAGGGGTCCAGCTTCAATCTTCTGCATATGGCTAGAGAGTTATCCCAGCACCATTTATTGAATAGGGAGTTCTTTCCCCATTGCTTGTTTTTGTCAGCTTTGTTGAAGATCAGAGAGTATAAAAGAATTTTAAAGACGCTGTTAGATGCAATGTAAAATGCAAACTTTGTGCATCACAACTTTAACTTGTGAGTGATTATCATGCCCAGTTGTCAATACATCACTGATTGATATTTAGAGTAGTTGTACCAGAAGTAGATTCAACCAATAAAAATGTTCAAGTTGGTCATGCACACATTAGTGTCTACCCCAGCAATTGGTAAGTAAGCTGTAGTGGTAGTAGATGATGGCTATCAATGATGGAACAATAGAAAAAAATTAATTATCCATGGCCAGTAACTGCTAATAAAGTAATACAGTCACACATATTTCCAAAATGTCTATGAATAGGAAGGAGAATAATAAAGGCAGGAAATAGAAATCAAGTTGTGCCAAAGGACCTAAGCGGGTAATTTTAGAGAAACAGAAGTTGTCACATGTATGGCTTGTACCCAAGATCATGTTATCTCTGTTTAATGCAGCTTCAAATGCTAAGGCTGGACAGTGGCGATAAATCCAGGGGTAGAACACTCTGTTGGAGGAAGAGTGGGCAAGACAGGATTGTATTATCAGAGGGATAAAAAGCATCAGTAGTCCAACAGGTCTGAGCTGGCATTAATATGTCCAAACTCCAGCCGAGAATTAGCTTTAGAGACATCTAAGAAAACTTCTACTGGGAAGCTGTGATTCAGAGCAGGAAATCCAGTCCCTGGGGTGGAATTTCCAGCTGATTTTGCTGGGACTTCACAAGTTTTGCATCCACCTCCTGAACCCTAGAAAAGGCCTCTTCTCCTCAGGAGGCTCCATAGCCGTCTCCAAGGGAGACCCCCAAAGGCCCGCATAGAAGGCTGGATGTCTCTGGCCTTCCCTTGGGGCCCAATACACCTCAAGTCATGGCTGCTCTTTGGACCCTGAAAACCCACTTCCTGAGGGTCAGCAGTCTTTCTACCCAAGCAACGGAAGCTCCCCTCCACCTGGGACTTCCTTCCTGCCAGCTGTGGGCAGTCTAGCCCCTCAGCTCCCTTAGGGTGCATGGTTATTTTCAAACTCCCAGGGGTAGTCTTGATCTTTCAGATGTACAGCCCCCTTTGTTAGCAGCTTAGAACAAATTCCCAAGAGCTGGGAAGGAGGCTTCTTGGGGAAGTACTCTCTGCTCAGCACCAGTGACCCTCCTCTCCTGATCAAATCCCATAAGGAGGATGCAGATCCTTCTGCTGTTAAGGTGAGCTCTCTTTACCCTCTTTTTGGAGGACTTGGAGCTTACATTTTCCTCCTCTCCTTTGTACAAGAATCTTAATTTCTGTGTCCAGGATGTGACTCCTGACCTGTAACTCCTTTTTCAGTTTTTCTCAAAGGATACTTATGAAGGGGGACATCCCAGAATTTTGAGTGAGAATAAAGGTTAGACTAACTCATGTTGCCAAACTAGACTTATCTTAAAGGAAAGAGTCCTCTTTTATTTTTTTTTCCTTCCTTGGGCTTCTTTCCAAAGCATTGTTTATAGTTGTGTCTTAAAAAAAAGAAAAAGGAAATTACAGACTTTAAGTCTGACCCTTGCAAAAGGTCTAAATCTGTGATGGGAACTGGGTTTACAAGACAGAACAGGTCCATGCAAAGAGTTTGTAGTTTAACATGACCCACAAACAAGTACATGGGCACAGCTCTGAAGGAGGCATTTCTCTCCTTGGAAAGCATCCTGGGGTTCCCAGGATCAAGTTCAAGGTCACTGCAGTGTCACAGCTCTGAAGGAGGCATTTCTCTCCTTAGAAAGCATCCTGGGGTTCCCAGGATCAAGTTCAAGGTCACTGCAGTGTCACAGCTCTGAAGGAGGCATTTCTCTCCTTAGAAAACATCCTGGGTTCCCAGGATCAAGTTCAAGGTCACTGTGCAGTGCACAGGGCTCTTCAAGATCTGGCTCCCCCAACCCTGCAAACTCACCTTCTCCATCAACAAGTAAGTTGTGTCTAGGCTCTCTCATGACTTTGGTTATGCTACTTCTTTGCCTTGAGTGTCCTTTTCCTCTGGCTATACCCATTCAACTTTCTGCAGACAGATTAAATGACACTGCCTTTGTAAGACTTTCCTAGATCCTCCCAGAAAGAGTTAGTAACAACTCTGTTCTGGTCCCGCCGCATGCTATCTGTAGCTCATGTGGTTGTGCTGTAATTATTCATTTAAATGTCTTGCTGCCCTGATTGCCTACAAGCTCTTCTGGGATGGACTTTATTTGTATCTGTATTCCCAGCTATACTAGTCCATTTTTGCACCACTATCACTGCTATAAAGAAAAACCTGAGACTGGGTAATTTATAAAGAAAAGAGGTTTAATTGGCTCACAGTTCCACAGGCTGCACAGGAAGCATGGCTGGGGAGGCCTCAGGAAACTTACAATCATGGTGGAAGGTGAAGGGGAAGCAGGCACATCTCACATGGCCGAAGCAGGAGGACGCAAGAGAGTGGGGAGGTGCTACACACTTTTAAACAACCAGATCTTGTGAGAACTCACTCACTATCATAGAACAGCAAGGGGAAAAACCATGCCCATGATCCAGTCACCTCCCACCAGGTGCCTTCTCCAGCATAGGGGATTACAATTCAACATGAGATTTGGGCGGGGATACAAATCCAAACCATATCACCAGCACAGAGTAGGCACTCATTTAATGTTTGTTGAGTAGCATGGATGAATAAATGAATGAATGAATGAAGTCTTGAGTGGAAGAGCAATTTTGGTTGTTCAGGTCTAGCATGAGTTTTATCAGGAGCCTAGAGGAGGGAATAGGAGAGGCAGAATAAGTGTCTTGAAAATGAAGATGGAGTGGGGCACTGAGGTGAACTTAATTTTCTCTATAATTTTGCCTCCGATTTGCTCTATCTAAGGGGGTGTCTTATATAGGAAAGGATGTCATTGAATCACCCTTTGATCATTGGTCCTTTGTGGACATTTCTCAGGAGGCTCATCCTTCACATGACCCAAATTTTGAGTTAGGTGGTGATCAGATCTGGATTTCCAAATTTACTGTGTCATTTATTGAGTTTAATAAAGAAATAATCCCTTACAATTATATGATATCTTTCATCTTTAAACCTCAAAGAATTTTCTAACTACTAATAGACATGAACAGCCCCAGGGGTTTGCTGCTACTGGATCAATTTCTCTGCTGGATAGAAGTATAAGAGAGTTGGCTAACTTGCCAAGAGGGTGGATTATTATTTCTTAAAGACAGTTTTTATTATGGAATATTTTAAACACATACAGAAGTAGGGAGAACAGCATAATGAACATCAATGTACCTGCCATCCACCTATCAACTTATTGCCCACCTTGTTTTACCCACTTCTACCCTCCCATATGATTTTGATGTAAATATTGCATATCATATGTTTTCATCCATAAATATTTCAATATGTCTAAAATATAAGGAATCTTTTTTAAAAAACATGATAGCAGTATCACACCATAAACAATAAACAATAATTTCCTAATGGCAAGTAGTGAATCCATTCTCAAATTTCCAATTGTTCTATAAATATCATAGATTTAAAATTTTTGTGTTTCTGAATCAAGATCTAAATATAGCTCACATATTGTGCTTGGTTGATACGTCTTTTACATCTCTTTAAACTTATAGGTTCTGTCTCTCTCTTGCAAGTTATTTGGTGGAGTCGGGTCTTTTGTTCTGGGGAGCTCTCACACTGAGTTTTTCTGATCGAATCCTCATGTATAATTTAACAGATTCCTCTCATCTCTGCGTTTTATGTAAATTGGTAGCTAGATCTGGAGGCTTGATCAGAATGGGGTTTGTTTTCTTTGGCAAGACAACTTTATAGGTGGTGGTGTTTTCTTCTAACTGGGGGCAGATGATGTCTGATGGCCTGTTTTTGTGCTGTAAGCAGTTGTTCATGATCTATACTCAGAGTCATTAATTTATTAGAGGTTACTTCATTTCTTATTAATGGAATTATATCTATAAAGAGAAACTTTACTATTTGATTGTTCTGAAGTACATTTTGAATTGGAAAGAAAAATGCTTAGTTCTCTTCCTTTATTACTAATTTTCAAAATAATGAGTTGGCTTATTACTATCAGCAATAAATTGGTTAGCTAACAGTAACCAATTAAATTATTTAATATAGCTTTATTGAGGTCTCACTGACATAAACTGTGTGTAAATTGATGAGTTTTGGCAAATCTATATGCCTGTGAAACCATCGTTACAATCATGAAAATGAATATATTACTCACAAATTAGGTTTTGAAAGTATTATTATAAACTGGTAGATTTATTTATTTATTTATTTTTATTTTGTTAGACGGAGTCTTGCTCTGTCACCCAGGCTGGCGCACTGCATCTCACCTTCTGGGTTCAAGTGATTCTCTTGCTTCAGCCTCCTGAGCAGCCTGGATTACAGGCACAGGCCACCATGCCCAGCTAATTTTTTTTGTATTTTTAGTAGAGATGGGGTTTCACTATGATGGCCAGGCTAGTCTTGAACTGACCTCAAGTGATCTGCCCGCCTTGGCCTCCCAAAATGCTGGGATTACAGGCATAAGCCACTGCACTCGGCCAAACTGGCAAATTTAAACGTGTATATTTTCCACCATTTTAGTTATTATTCTTTTTGAAGCTTGAATTTTTCCAATTTTGAACAATGGGAGCTTATTGGAGTTATCCTTTGTTTTTATTTATTTTTTATTTTTACTTTTTGAGACAGGCTCTTGGTTCCATCACCCCAGGCTGGAGTGCAGTGGCGCAATTACAGCTTACTGCAGCTTCAACCTCCTGGGCTCAAGTGATCCTCCCACCTCAGCCTCCTGACTAGCTGGAACTACAGGCACATGACATGACACTTGGCTAATTTTAAAATTTTTTGTAGAGATGGGGTTTTGCCATGTTGCCCAGGCTGGTCTCAAACTTCTGGAGTCAAGGGATCCACCTGCCTTGGCCTCCCAAGATTCTGGGATTACAGGCATGAGCCACCGTGCCTGGCCTCCCTTAGTTTTTGTTTGTTTGTTTGTTTGTTTTTTTGAGGTGCCACCCAAGCTGGAGTGCAGTGGTGTGATCTCGGCTCACTGCAACCTGCAACCTGCACCTGCTGGGTTCAAGTGATTCTTGTGGCTCAGCCTCCCAAGTATCCTGAGTAACTGGGATTACAGGAGTGTGCCACCAGGCCCAGCTAATTTTTTTGTATTTTTAGTAGAGATGGGGTTTTGCCATGTTGCCCAGGCTAGTCTCGAACTACTGACCTCAAGCAATATGCTTATCTCGGACTCCCAAAGTGCTGGGATTACAGGTGTGAGCCACCATGCTGGGCCCTCTCTTGATTTTTTTGAAACAACTCTTATAGTCTTTGTTAATTTCCTTGCCATCTTCTTGTGAGAGGGTGCTCCAGACCTGACATCAGCCTTTTTTCCAAGAAGCCCTGCATCCTCTCAGTGGGAAAGGGGGAACTTCATCTATTACATGGTGTTCAACAAAGGAGCAAAATCCAATATGATATTTGGGGTGGGTTCACATGCTTACAATGCAAAGCTGCTTTACCAAGCAACTCTATAATTACCACTTTTGTTTGTGTAGTGCCTTTCACTGAAGCAAGTTTACAGGATCAAATTTCATCTTGGGGACAATTCCAGGATGGAAGAAAAAGGTTAGAGAGATTATTATCCCATTTTATAGTTGGGGAAACAGATAAAATTGCTGTGGCTTATCCATTATGTTTTAAAAAGCTAAGGGCAAGTTGAATAGAATCTAGCCTCCTAACAATGAAAACAGTGGTTCTCATCTTGTTGCTAGGGGTACCCTGGATTTAACAGCTTCACTTATTACTTTTTAATAAAGGGGCTAGGAAGTTTCAAGCAATAGGCAGGTAGGAAAGCCAGAACTTTCTTTCCTTCTTTTCCTTTTCATTTTCCTCTTTTTCTAGCTCTCTCTTTTAAATTTTCTAAGTTTCTGAAGGTGCTGGAAAAACACGAAGAGTAGGATGAAAAACTGGGAATTACAGAATCCTGGGCTTAGAAGAGCCCTTTTAAAAAGTTTCAGCCCAGCCCCCTCCATCTAGATAGCACTGTACTTGGGCTGAATCCAAAGAAATGGGCAGTTCTCCATTTAGAAAGATGCAGTGAAGAGTATTCCACTGTGAACTAAGTCAAATTAGAGTTACAAAAACAAATCCCCAAATAGCAGCTTTAAGTTTATGAAAACGAATCCAAGTCTAAGTGCTTAGAGAGAAAGAAATGACCATGTGTAAACAGTGGCATGAAGCCAGCGACAGTTGTCTAGGTAGGAAAAGGGCCTGTGCAAGCAGCTCTGCCTTGGATTTCACTGTGTCCACCACTGAAGAAATGGAGAGGCAGCCTGTTTGTGCTAGCTACAGAATCAATTAGCTATTAACTATTAATTGGCTTAACAGATTCTGCATCTTCAATGGAGGCCATGAGGAAACATCATAGATTTAGCTTCCCTAGAGGTCTTTAAATCTGTGTAGGATTAGGGCAAGAATCAGAGGTTCTGGGGTCTGGGCAGTGAATGCAGGAATTGGAAACCTCTTATGTATCATCCCGTGCAGTGTTTCCCAAACCAGTGTTCCATCGGTAACGGTATTCCACGGTGAATAAGGGAAATAAGAATATAGCCCTTCTTGGTCAGCACTTTGGGAGGCTGAGGCAGGAGGGTTGCTTGATCCCAGGAGTTTGAGACCAGCCTCGGCAACATAGTGGGACCTTGTCTCTACAAAAAATAAAATAAAAAATTTGCCAGGCTGGGTGTGGTGGCTCACACCTGTAATCCCAGCACTTTGGAAGGCTGAGACAGGAGGATCTCTTGAGCTCAGGAGTTCAAGACCAGCCTGGGCAACATAGTAAGACCTCGTATCTGCAAACACAAAAAAACCCCACAAAATTATGCAGGCATGGTGGTGCACGCCTGTGGTCTCAGCTACTTAGGTGGCTGAGGTGGGAGGATCGCCTGAGCCCAGGAGTTCAAGGCTGCAGTGAGCTATGATTGTGCCACTGCACTCCAGCCTGGGTGAGAGAATGAGACCCTGTCTCAAATATATATATATATATATATATCCCTTCTCAAAATTTCTAAAACGTATCATTATGTTAAAGGCTCTGAGAAGTCTTGAAGTCTTGAAGGAAACAAATATACTAACCTTTGTTGAAATCAGTTTCTTCGAATGTACTTGACTGTAAAATCTCCCTGTCCTCACTTTTTTGGTCCATACCTATGAACTTGTAGACATGAGCACACAATGAATGAATAATTTAACAGATGTTGGTGTGGATATTTTCTTTTGTAGATGAGGAAAATAGGGCTCAGGGAGGTGAAGTAACTCATTTGGGAGTCACAGAGTGAGTTACTGGGAGGCCAGAAGAAGTAGAAGAGGAAGCAGAGCCTTTGCAATGAGATAGACCTGGATTCAAATCCTGACTCCATGGTTTTCTGACTATGGGATCTTGGATAGTTATTTTTTTCTGGACCTCAATTTTCGTATTTGTAAAATGAACAATATAATGCCTGTGTCTTGGTGTGGTTATACGTTAAGTTTGTTATGAGTTGGTGGTTAGCTTGAGAGAATAATTTGCAAGTGCAGGCATCTGATGAACAAGGACAAGGCGGGTGCTGGGCTAACTGCGAAATGACTGAGATCTCATAGATGTGGGCCTGGGTTACTTGTGGGATTGACTCTAGACTAAGACCTGGGGCAGTGAGTGCTGCTACCTCAGAAGGAGAAGGAGGTGGGCCAAGGCTGAGAATCAGGCTAATTGGCAGTTCCCCATTAGGAAGTATGATTGGAAGGCAGAAACAATGCTCCACCTCCCCCTCCTTCTGCCCCACAGTACAAGCAAAGCACCTGGGCTAGTAGAGGAGAGTCTAACTCAGCAGATAATCTGACCCAGGGAGAGGCAAACATTGTTCATCTTCATTTCTACATTGGCAAAAACTTGGGATGTCTTTATTCTTTATTTATTTTTAGTTTTTAGTTTTTGTTTCCAGGGGGGTTGCAAGGATGTCTTACATTGTTGCAGAGAAAATAGAATGTTGACTTACATTGTTGCAGAGGAAATAGAATGATAACTTACATTTTATTAATTATGTAGCTGTTTGCATGTATCATCAGATTTCACTCTGTTAGACTTCGGAAAACCTATATGTAACCATTCTGGAGTAGAGATTTTAGCCTGAGATGAGGATGTTGGAGTGTGATCTGCCTTAAAGGCAATTAGAGCTGTTATTTACATAGTGTTTTCTCTACTCTCAAAAGTCCACCCTGTTCTCCCCACCACCTTCAACAGACTCCCATTCAGGCTCAGCTCCCCACCTTTCTGCTTCCGGGCTCCTGTGTGCATGCATCCTTGAAAGCACTGAAACAGTGAAAGAGTGTGGAAATTATCTGTGTTTCTTCCCAGCCTATGAACACTTAGAGAGGGCAGGAACTCAGCCTCATGCTTCTGTGTATCTTCAGCTCCCAGAGCAACCCTTACTTAGAGTCAAGGCTTTGTAAATGGGAGTCGAGTGAATACATGAATGATGAACAAATGATGCTTTGCTCTTCAGGGACAAAACCTTTTTACATCTCCTTCTTATTGAATCCCTATAGAGCATTGTTTTTCTTTCAGAGATGGGATCATAGTTTGCAGATCATTTTACAGGTGAAGGGGAGGAGCCTGACTGAAAAATAAAATGCCAGAATTTGGAATATCTAAATGAGTACTATCCCCCTTTACAACATCAGCTTGGCACCCTGGATGCTTCTTCCAAGGTGACATTTGCTGTAGATGGCAGTGTCAGAGGTACATTCTCTCACCTGTTCTCAGTGGTCATACTCTGTCATTTTAGAGTAGATTTCACTTTTGAAATCAGCTCCACATCATTTGGAGTGAAGGTTGGTGAAAGGATGTGAATAACCCAAATGGAAGATGCTATTTCAGATTTTCTTTCTTTCTTTTTTTTTTTTTCCAGACAGGGTCTCACTCTGTTAGGCAGGCTGGAGTACAGTGGCATGATCTCAGCTCACTGCAACCTCTGCATCCCCGGCACGAACAATCCTTCTGCTTCAGCTTCCCAAGTAACTGGGATTACAGGCGTGTGCCACCATGCCTGGCTAATTTTTGTATTTTCTGTAGAGACAGGGTTTCACCATGTTGCCCAGGCTGGTCTTGAACTCCTGGACTCAAGCGATTTGCCTGCCTTTGCCTCACAAAGTGCTGGGATTACAGGGGTGAGCCACCATGCCAGTCCTCTTTCAGATTTAAAAGAAAGTTTCGTCTGACACGAATAGGAAGCAAACCCACAGAGAAATGTCAAACCATTGTGAGCAACATAGAATAAGCATGTGGACTTCAGAGGGGAGAACATTAGATTATTGTAAATTCTAGTGCATTGGTTTGAAAAAAATCTCTGTAATCTAGAATCATACCTTTCAGAGCCTGGTTCAAACAACAAATAAGAGTGATAGATTCAGTCCTTTAAAATGTACTTTCTGTTCTGGCCAGGCCCCCAGTTCAGGCTCCTAGGTTGGTTCCCCTGCAGCCGCTGATAACATCCAGAGCCCTTTCCCGGCATTGTTCTGTGTGTCATTGATGTTAAGCAAATGGGGAAGGAAATGTAATTCAGAGCTCACAAAGCTAAGGGGAACTGATTTTCAAGTTTATGTTCAAATCCGTGGCACAAACACATATGCATTTTAATGAACTAGGGATGTGAGGATGGAGTTACTGCCTTTGGATCTGTTCTTTCCTGTTAATGGGAAAATGCTTTTTAATTAATGTTTTTGAAACTTGTTTAACTGCATGAAGAGACTTGTTCCCGTGGATGTTTGGTTCAATGCCTTCCTATACTGTAGTGGGAAAAGAATGTGTAAATAAAGCCCTGGAAAATCAAAAGTCTCATTAACTCTGAGTCTATTTAATTCAACAAATATTTATTAAATGCTTGCATGTTCCAGGCAGTGCAGCAGGAACTGGGTATGGGATAAGGAGTAGGACATTGTTCATGCCCTAAAGCAGTTTATAGTCTGATGAGAGAATTGACAAGTATACAACTGAATGCTGAAATCAGATGCTAAAAGGTTTATTTAAAAAAAAAAAAAAAAAGTAGGAAAGCAGGGGGGAGGATGGGAAAAGAATTCATAGCATGAGTGACATTTTAGTTGAATCTTAAAGGACAGATGAAATCTTAATTGAGTTAGGAATTGGAGTGGGACGGGTCATGATGAAGCATAAAAGAGAATAAATGAAGACCTGGAAAAGGCAGATGATGCTTGCAGAATGTTGCCTGATGCAGCCTCCCTGATCATTGGTGGGTGCAGGGAAGAGGAGAAGCATCACTCTTCTCTGTTCCCAGGAGAGTAGAGGCATTTGTCCAGAGTGGATGCTGGAACTAGTCTCGGCTCTTACTAAATGTGATTTGATCTTCTCTCAGACCTGACTTCAGGCAACTATCCTGCAGAGATTGTGCTCATAAACTTCTTCACACTAAGATGACTTGGCAGCAGAAGTCTCTTTAAATTTTTTAAAAAAATATTTATGGTACATAATAGTTGTCCATATTTATGGAAGTGCATGTGAGATTTTGATGTAAACATACAATGTGTAATGAGCAAATTTGGGTAATAGGGATAACCCATCACCTCAAGCATTTATCTTTGTGTGTGTGTGTGTTAGAAACATTCCAATTCCACTTTTCTGGTTATTTTGAAAAATACAATAAATTTTTTTAACTGTAGTCACCCCATTTTGCTACTGAACACTAGATCTTATTTCTTCCATCTAATTGTATTTTTGTAGCCATGGAAGTCTTAATTCCCTACTTTTTCTTATTATATTTACATCATTTTAAATTATTGATTGATTGATTGATTGATTGATTGAGATGCCCAGGCTGGAGTGCAGTGCATTTATGGCTCACCGCAGCCTTGACCTCCTAGTCTCAAGCAATCCTTCCACTTCAGCCCCTGATTAGCTGGGACTGCAGGCATGCACCACCAAACCCAGCTAATTTAAAACAATTTTTTTGGTAGAGACAGGGTCTCGCCATGTTGCCCAGGCTGGTCTCTAACTCCTGGCTTCAAGCAATCCTCCTGCCTTGGCCTCCTCAAGTGCTAGGATTACAGGCATGAGCCACCACACCTGGCCAACACAGTGATTTCCTCAGTCATTTACTTACCTCTTTTACAGTGGAATTTTATACTTTGAGCAAGAGGTCTTTAAGGAAAATACTTTTGACCAGGGAATGTTGCTGCAGCACGTGAGATTACAGTGTGTAAGTGAGCATCAGGGACTTTGACTGTGAAGGTGGTGCATTTGGGGACATAGGAAAGGAGGCTATTGACAAGGCGTGAGAAGGGGTTGGTGGTTTTGCATCTAATCTTGCTATTCACCAGCGAGTTTCATTTTCCTGTGATCCCTTTATGCATGTGCTACTCTTTGATTTCCATCCTGTCCCATCTTCCTCTGTTTTTAACTCCACCTGCTTTTTCCAGATCCAACACTATCATACATACACCATATGGTATAATGTTATAATTTGGCAAAAACCAGTGACATGAAATTGAACTCTCCCTTCTACCTCCTTTTCCTATCCTCTTCCTTCTGTTGCTAGTTAATATACTTCATGGTTATGTGGGAGGCTCACACAGCTGGTAGCCTGTTGAAGGAGCTGTAAAATGATGGAAGATGCCACTTTAGAAATAAACACATTGATCCTGCAAAATGCCTGAGCTCAACTGTGTGAGGGAAATCCAGCAGAGACCTGAAATAGATGAGTCCATTGTGATTGTGTTATGTGGCATTAAAGCATATCTATTACTCCATATGTCATACATCCGGCATCTCCAAGGCATGAAGTATGCTACTGAAGAGCATTTTTTAAATAACAGAGCTTTATCATGTTTCAGATAGAATTAACACTTTTCCATTTGCATTTTTATAAAACGTGATTACTCTCTTGCCTTCATTTTGCCTTAGAGTATTATAGAAAGAATACAGGAACAACATTTAAGCACATTTTTTTTTCGTTGTTTTAATCCAAAGCAAGCTTACAGAGAAGTTGAAAATAAAGTACAAATAATTAATTTTTCCTGAACCATTTGAGAGTGAATTGCTGACATAATGCTTCATCAGCCTTTTGATACCTGTGGGCTCAACTATGTCCCTCCGAAATTCATATGTTGAAGCCCTAACCCTCAGTATTTCACAGTATGACTGTATTTGTAGATTGGGTCTTTAAAAAGGCAATTAAGTTAAAATGAGGCCATTAGGGTGGGCCCTAATCCAACGTGCTGGTATCCTTGTAAGAAGAGGAGATTAGGACATAGACACATACGGAAGGAAGATGATGAGAAGACACAGGGAGAAGACAGCCATCTGCAAGCCAAGAAGAAAGGCCTTAGGAGAAACCAACCCTGCCAGAAACTTGATCTTGGACTTCTAGACTTCATAACTTAAGAAGATACATTTCTGTTGTTTAAGTGACCCAGTCTGTGATATTTTGTTACAGCAGCCCAAGCTAACTAATACAGTACAGTATTCCCTCTTTATCTGCAGAAGAGGTGTTCCAAGACCCCCAGTGGATGCCTGAAATCACAGAAAGCACTAAATCCTATGTATACTATGCACGAATTTCTTTTTCCTTCTTCCCAATTTCATGGATAGAAGATATGTTTTTACCATAGATCTTAGCAACTTCAGCATATAATTTTTTGTTTCCTTATTAAGTCAAGAAATTTTCACTTTTTCATGGAAAGGAAGCAGTTTTATGGCTTCTCTTTGGCATATCCAAACTGCCAGCATCACTACTCTTGTGCTTTGGGGACATTATTAAGTACAAAGGTGACCTGAAACTGAGCAATGGGGTACTGTGACAGTTGATAACCAAGGTGGCTCCTAAGAGACTCATAGATGGGGCACACCTATAGTGTGGATTTGCTGGACAAAGGGGAGATTCACATCCTGAGGAAGATGGAGCTGCATGGCGCAAGATTTCATCATGCTACTTATGATGGTGTGCTATTTAAAACTTACAAATTGTTTATTTCTGGAATTTTCCATTTAATATTTTCTGACTGCTGTTGACCATGGGTAACTGAAACCATGGAAAGTGAAACCAAGGTAAAGGGGGACTACTGTATTTAAGTGGACATTTCCTACAAACAAGGACATTGCCTTAGATAATTATTTGGCTGTTGCTGAACCATAACCTTTAGAATAAACTGGTAATAGTTACCAAAACATTTCCTTGAATTCTGTGTGCTTTTATAGCAAATTATCAAACCAGAGGAGGGGGTCATGGGAACTCCCATTATGCAGCCAACTCAGCCAGAAGTGCAGGTGTTAACCTGGGACCTGTGACTAGCATCTGAAGTGGGAGCAGTCTTGTGGGACTGAGCCCTTTAACTTGCAGGGTTTGATGCTGTCTTAGTCTATTTTGTGTTGCCATTGTGAATGAAAAACACGATGTTGGAACCCCAACTCACTATGCCAAAGGGACAGTTAAGCTTGGAAACTGAGTTATGCAAAAAACAAACAACAACAACAACAACAACAACAAAAACTGCCTTTCTGTTTGTTCCTAAACCATCTATCTAGCTGCAGTGATCAAAGGCCATGTATCTCCCCAGGTAGTGCTTTCACAAATTGCTTTCAAGGAAATTCCTTGTGGGCCCTCAAATCTTTCAGTTAACTAATCCTAAAACAGAGGTCTGTTGAATTTCATCCTGACAATACAAATTAATAGCTTATATTCACAGGTATCGGACAAGGACAAGACCGGAGCCATCCCTCCACCCACCCCACGACAAATGCATAATTGACTGCTTCCTCTACTTTATGTTTATCTTATGTAAAATGTAGATTTACTGAGCATGAGATGAATGCATAATTGACTGTTCCTCTACTCTGTTTATCTTATGTAAAATGTAGATTTACTGAGCATGAGATGAATGCATAATTGACTGCTCCTCTACCTCCACTTTTCACATGTAAAATGTAGATTCAGTGAGCACTAATCAAAGCCTCCCCAGAATGTACCTGCCTCATTGCCTACCTTCCCTCCTTTATTTCTTTCCTCCTTCACCTCTTGGTTGCTCTTTCCCTTTTAAATATTGAAGTCCTCAAAACTCTCTCAGAAAAGTCACAGGTCACAGGTGCTCCTGTGACTTGTGGTCACTGCCCCCTTCCCCTACAACCCAGGTACATCCTCAACTTTGGTAAAATAAACCTCTAAATTGATTGATACTTGCCTCAGTCTTTTCTGGAGGTTAGGCATCTACATCTGGTGAGGGCCTTCGGCTGCTTCCACTCACAGAGAAGTTGAAGGGGAGCCGGCGTGTGCAGAGATCACATGGTGAGAGAGGAAGCAGGAGAGAGGCAGAAGGTGCCAGGCTCTCTTTAACAACCAGCTTTCACAGAACTAACAGAGTGAAAACTCACCCACTCCCCACCCCCAGGAAAGGCTATGATCTATTTATGAGGACGAACCAAACATCTCCTAATATACCAAACACCACCATATTTGGGATCAAATTTCAATGTGAGATTTGGTGGGGATGAATAAACCACAGCAGATGTTAACTCCAGAAAATTAGTGTCAAAATTGAAGGACACTCAGTTGGTGTCTTTGCTGAAAATTGGAGAACTGCTTGGCATGGAAAAAACCCATATATTTGTTGTCAGAAGTGTTGAGGATAGAGAAAAACTGAATTGTTTTTTCTTTCCTTTTAGGCACCCTGTGCCAAACATGCATGCACTTCTTGCCTGCTGGGCTCTCAATTCTGCTCTGGTGCCCCCATCCCCACACCCCCTTGTCCCACCTACCTTACTCTGCCCCTCCTAATGGCTTTAGGGCTAAATTGTTTCAGGATAGGAAGGGGAAGGGAAAAGAAAGAAGAAGAGAAAAAAATCAGCTATAAACTCACTCACCTAAAGCAACTACTTTCATTTTAGTTCACTTCCAGTCTTGACCTAGCATATACACAGACAGTCCTCAACTTACAATGGTTCAATTTACAATTTTTTTACTCTACGATGGTGCAAAAACGAGGCACATTCAGTAGAAACCGCACTTTTTGAATTTTGAATTTTGGTCTTTTCCCAGGCAAGTGATATACAGAATGATACTCTCTTGTGATGCTGAGCCAAATCATCTAACACAAAGCCTATTTTATAATAAAGTGTTGACTATCTCATGTAATTTTTTGGATACTGAAAGTGTTCTGAGCATGTTTAAGTAGGGTAGGTGATATGGTTTGGCTGTGTCACCATGCAAATCTCATCTTGAATTGTGACTCCCACAATTCCCATGTGTTGTGGGAGGAACCCAGTGGGAGGTGATTTAATTATGGGATAGGGTCTTTACTGCACTGTTCTCATGGTAGTGAATGAGTCTTACGAGATCTCATGGTTTTAAAAATGGGAGTTTCCCTGCACAAGCTCAAGCTCTCTCTTTGCCTGGCACCATCCGTGTAAGATGTGACTTCCTTCTCCTTGCCTTCTGCCGTGATTGTGAGACCTCTCCAGCCCATGTGGAATGTAAGTCCATTAAACCTCTTTTTCTTTCCAGTCTAGAGTATGTCTTTATCAGCAGCATGAAAACGGACTAATACAGTAAACTGGTACCAATTGAGTAGGGCACTGCTGAAAGATACCCAAAAATGTGGAAGCAACTTTGGAACTGGGTAACAGGCAGAAGTTGGAACAGTTTAGAGGGCTCAGAAGAAGACAAGAAAATGTGGGAAAGTTTGGAACTTCTAAGAGACTTGTTGAATGGCTTTGACAAAAATGCTGACAGTAATATGAATGATAAGGTCCAGGCTGAGATGGTCTCAGATGGAGATGAAGAACTTGTTGAGAACTGGAGCAAAGGTGACTCTTGTTATGTTTTAACCAAGAGACTGGCAGAATTTTGCCCCTGCCCTAGAGATTTGTGGAACTTTAAATTTGAGAAAGATGATTTAGGGTATCTGGTGGAAGAAATTTCTAAGCAGCAAAGCATTCAAAAGATGACTTGGGTGCTCTAAGAGCAATCAGTTTTAAAAGAGAAACAGAGCATAAATGTTTGGAAAATTTGCAGCTCGACAATGTGATAGAAAAGAAAATCCCATTTTCTGAGGAGAAATTCAAGCTGGCTGCATAAATTTGCAAAAGTAATGAGGAGCTGAATGTTAAGACAAGACAATGGGGAAAATGTCTCCAGTGTCACAGGTCTTCATGGCAGCCCCTCCCATCACAGGCCCAGAGGCCTAGGAGGAAAATATTGTTTTGTGGGTCAGGCTCAGGGTTCCCGTGCTGTGTGCAGTCTAGGTACTTGGTGCCCTGCATCCCAGCCACTCCAGCTGTTACTAAAAATGGCTGAGGTACAGCTTAGGCCACAGCTTCAGAGGTTGCAAGCCTCAAGCCTTGGCAGCTTGTACGTGATGTTGAGACTGTGGGTTCACAGAAGTCAAGAATTGAGGTTTGGGAACCTCTGCCTAGATTTCAGAGGATGTATGGAAACACCTGGATGTCCAGGCAGAAGTCTGCTATAGGGGTGGGGCTCTCATGGAGAACCTCTGCTAGGGCAGTGCAGAAGGAAATGTGGGGTCGGAGCCCCCACACAGAGTCCCTAATGGGGCATGGCCTAGTGGAGCTATGAGAAGAGGGCCATGGTCTTCCAGTCCCCAGAATGATAGATCCACTGACAGCTTGCACTGTGTGCCAGGAAAGGCTGCAGCTGCAGGAAAAGCTGCAGACACTCAACACCATCTTGTGAAAACAGCTGGGAGGGATGCTGTAGTCTGCAAAGCTACAGGGGCAGAGCTGCCCAAGACCATGGGAACCCGCCTCTTGCATCTGTGTGACTCGAATGCAAGGCCTGGAGTCAAAGGAGATAATTTTGGAGCTTCAAGATTTGACTGCCCTACTGGATTTCAGACTTGCATGGGGCCTGTAGTCCCTTTGTTTTCACCAATTTCTCTCCTTTGGAACAGCTGTACTTACCTAATGCCTGTACCCCCATTATATCTAGGAAGTAACTAACTTGCTTTTGATTTTACAGGCTGATATGGCTTGGCTGTGTCCCCACACAAATATCTTGAATTGTATTTCCATAATTCCCACATGTGGGAGGGACATGGTAGGAGATAGTTTGAATCATGGGAGCGGTTTTCCCGATACTGTTCTCAAGGTAGTGAAGAAGTTTCATGAGATCTGATGGTTTTATCCAGGGTTTCTGCTTCCGCATCTTCCTCATTTTCTCTTGTTGCCACCATGTAAGAAGTGCCTTTTGCCTCCTGCCATGATTCTGAGGCCTCCCCAGCCATGTGGAACTGTAAGTCCAATTAAACCTCTTTTTCTTCCCAGTCTTGGGTATGTCTTTATCAGCAGCATGAAAATGGACTAGTACACAGGCTTATAGGTGGAAGGGACTTGCCTTGTCTCAGATGAGGGGTTGGACTGTGGACTTTTGAGTTAATGCTAAAATGAGTTAAGACTTTGGGGGACTGTCGGGAAGGCATGATTAGTTTTGAAATGTGAGGACATGAGATTTGGGTGGGGCCACGGGTGGAATGATATGGTTTGGCTGTGTCCCCACCCAAATCTCATCCTGAATTATAACTCCCACAATTCCCACATGTCATGGGAGGAGCCTGATGGGAGGTGATTGAATTATGGGGGCAGGTCTTTCCTGTGCTTTTCTTGTGATAGTGAATGAGTCTCACGAGAACTGATGGTTTTAAAAATGGGAGTTGCCCTGCACAAGCTCTCTCTTTGCCCGCCACCATCCATGTAAGATGTGACTTGCTCCTCCTTGCCTTTTGCCATGATCATGAGGCCTCCACAGCCTTGTGGAACTGTAACTCTGTTAAACCTCTTTTTCTTTCCAGTCTTGAGTGTGTCTTTATCAGCAGCATGAAAATGGACTAATATAGTATACTAATGCAGTATTCACTAGAATGGCTAAAATTTAAAAGTTTCACCACACTCAACATTGGCAGAGGATATGGAAGAACTGGAACTCTGTACTGCTGGTAGGAATGTAAAATGATGCAATTGTTTTGAAAACATTTGAAACATTAAACACATTCCTCTCATATGACCTAGACATTCCACTTGTAGGTATTTCCCCAAGAAAAAAGAAATCACATGTCTACACAAAGACTTGTACAGGAATATTAATGTCATCTTTATTTGTAATTGCCTAAAACTGGAAACAACAAGCAAATGTCCATCAGCAGGTAAGTGGATATGCTATGATACTCACATGATACTACACAGCAATAAAAAGGAATGAACTCCTGCTACATGAAGCAACATGGATGAATCTCAAAATAATTATGCTGAGAAGACAGACAAAAAGACTGACAAAAAAATCATACATACTGTATGATTCCATCACTAAAAAAGTCCTAGAAAATGTAAACTAATTGGCCAGAAGGTGAATTAATGGTTACCTTGGGTCAGGGGCTGGTGCCAGAGAGAGATGGATGACAAAGAGACATAAGAAAGTTTTTGGGGATGATGAATATGTTGGTTATTTTGATTGTGGTGATATTCTTATAAATATATATATATGTCAAAATTCATCCAAGTACATGCTTTAAATATGTGCAGCTGATTGTATGTCAATTATACCTCACTAAAGCTAAAAAGGTAAATAAACAAATAAATGAACATAGTAACCTATATACTGTTTTTACACACTAGGAATAACCAGTTAGAACATATAAAGGAAAAAATGTCTTATTCACCACGCCTATACAACATACAAAACAATCTATAATAAATTTAATAAGCAGTGTGATAGAGATTGTCTGGAAAAGCCTATGTAAGTCTTTGTGAAACCACCTTTGCAAAAACTATGGCAGTGAGAAGATGACTGATTCCATCTTGCTTCTGGCTGCACAGGCTGGCTGTCCCTGGTCATTCCTGGTTATAGGCCAAGCTAATCATGGGAGGAATTTAGTTTACAGTTTAACTTGAAGGCAATAATGATAACAGTCTCTCCCTAAAACTAACCCCCTCCTTGCTCAGGGACTGAAGCTGCCTTTATAAAACTAACGAAAGACCACAAGATTAGGATTACTGGGGAGCTGAATTCTGCTAAAATGTAGGCATAGTGTCTATAATCCCTTACTGCTAAGGAGTCGTGTGGCTAGAGGTCACAAGATTTGTGACTTCCCAAAGTGCTCTTCTAGGTAACATCAGTATTGTAGAACCTAAGATTGGTCTTTTGAGATGTTTTTCAGACTTTTGGTTTCTGGTAACCAACTGGCCCCACCTGGACCTGTGAATCATGACTCAGCTGGTCCCAAGGCCTCCATCCAGAGGCAGAATCAGTGCACAGGGACCCTTTTCAGCCCCGCTATGATTTCATCCCCAGCCAGTTAGTGGCACTCATTCCCTAGCCCCCTGCCCACCAAATTATCCATAAATACCCTAGCCTCTGAGTCCTCTGGGAGGCTGATTTGAGTAATAATAAAATTTCTGTCCTTCTACTTGGCTGGCTTTGCTTTAATTACACTTCTTCTGTACTGCAATACCACAGTCTTAGTGAATTGGTTTTGTCTGTTCAGTGGGAAAGAGGAACCCATCAGGAGACTGCTTTTGTAACCATTTGAATCTTTGAAAATCTTCAGAAAAAAACAGATTTGAATGAACAAGAGACGCAATACACTCATGAAGAGACTTAAATGGGTGTAGTGGATGCTGTGATGTGCTACTGAGATTCCCCACTTGGAACGAGACCAAGGCATCATTCCCTTTGCTGCTGAGAGTGTTGGCTGCCAATGGCTTATAGCTCGTTTGTTCTCCAGGAATCTCCCTCAATGAAAGCCACCTCTCTTAAGCTTAAGGCCTCTTCTTGCTGGGTAGTTCACCTCTAGTGAGACTGGTCAATGGGGGGAAGGAAGTTTTTACAAGGGTCTGGTCCCCTTGCCTCAGTTTGGGGCAACTATGAAGTTCCATTTTAGCACTAGAACTCTATCTCCATGGGATCAACTGCTTTGTTATGACTTCATTACAGTTCAACGCTTCCTCTGCCTAATCCCATCTCCTTCTTCCCACATATTAATCCCAAGGATTCTTCCTAATAAATCTACTTATACAAATCTCCTTCTGAGTAGGCTTCCCAGGGAAGTTGACCTACAACAAAGGATAAAGGTGTCAGTTATACCCAAGTAAAAGTACACGTTTAATGCAATTTCTCATCAGAATAACAGTGAAATAATTTTATTAAGTGAAAATAGCTAAGAAATTGAGGGTAGGGGAAGGATAAGAACAACAAAATTGTACTTGAAAGACCAGAAATTTAATTTTATTATAAAGCTATGATAATTTAAACAGCATATTAATGATACGATAATAGAAAAACAGTCAATGAAACAGAAGAGAAAATACCATATTCACTATAAATAACCTCCAAGAGGACATTATCTTTCTGGAATTTTCTCTCTACTCCCATGACTTTTTGAATCCTGTCTCTTCCCTAAGGATATCGATTCCTTGGAACTGTTTTATTTTTATTTTATTTTATTTTATTTTTTGAGACTGGGTCTCACTCTGACATTCAGGCTGGAGTGAAGTGGTGCAATCTCAGCTCACTGCAACCTCTGCCTCCCAGGCTCAAACGATTCTCCCACCTCAGCCTCCCAAGTAGCTGGAACTACAGGCTCATGCCACCATACCTGGCTAATTTTTCTATTTTTTGTAGAGACAGGATTTCACTGTATTGCCCAGGCTGGTCTCAAATCCCTGGGCTCAAGTAATCCTCTTACCTTGGCCTCCCAAAGTGCTAGAATTACAGGCATGAGTCACCACACCTGGCCTCCTTAGAACTATTTTTAATGGAAGCCACTCATTCTCTCATATGGACACTAGTGGTGGTGTTTGCATTCTCTCAGCTCCCTAATAATTTTATTAGGACATTATTTTTACCTCCTCATACAAAATCACTTATTTTTTTAGGTTCCAGCCATTTTATTACTCCTCCTTTTACTTTTCTCATTAATATTCTACAAAAGTGAGCATTGTACTTCTACATTCATTGTGCACTTTAACACCTGGTTGAGTCTTTCTTCCCACCTTAGCATCTACTACCATCTTAAGTAAATTTAATATCTGCATGGGCAACACAACTAATACCCTAGCCTCTTAATGCTTTAACTCAATGGCAATGAACTCCAACTTTCTTCTCCCTGAAACCTACTCCCATGGTCATAGTAGCCCCTTCATCATGAGGAATGTCTCTGCTTCTAAAACCTTAAACTCCAACACATCCATGACCACAGTCTCCTCCCTTCCTCTTTCTCCACAACTTTTCTTCTTTTAAGTGTATACCAAAAAGTATCTGAGCAGGTCTCAATCAATTTAGAGGTTTATTTTGTCAAGTTTGAGGACCATGGCCCGTGACATGGCCTCAGGAGGTCCCAAGAACATGTGCCCAAGGTTGTTGGGTTACAGCTTGGTTTTATACTTTTAAGTGAGACAGAAATTCCAATGCAAGACACAAATCAATACTTGCAAGGTATATGTTGGTTTGGGACATCTCAAAATGGAGGGAATGGGGGCTTCCAGGTCATAGATGGATTCAAAGATTTCCTGATTGGCAAATGGGTGAAAGAGTTAAGCTTTGCCTGAAAAGTTGAGTTCATCATAAAGAAATGCTTGTGTTTATTTATTTATGTATTTATTGAGATGGACTCTTGCTCTGTCACCCAGGCTGGAGTGCAGTGGCACAATCCTGGCTCATTGCAACCTCCACTACCTGGGTTCAAGCAGTTCTCATGCCTCAGCCTCCCAAGTAGCTGGGATTATAGGTATGTGCCACCACACCTGGCTAATTTTTGTATTTTTAGTAGAGATGGAGTTTCACCATGTTGGCCAGGCCAGTCTCGAACTCCTGGCCTCAAGTGATCCACCCACTTTGACATCCCAAAGTGCTGGGATTACAGGCGTGAGCCACTGTGCCTCGCCAGAAATGATTGAGTTTAGATTAGGGGGCTATGGAAGCCAAAGTTCTTGTCATGTACATGAAACATCCAGGTAGCAGGCTTCAGAGCGAATAAATGTGAATGTTTATTATCAGACCCTAAAAAATCTTAGACTCTCTGGGAAAATTCCTATTAAGGGAAGGAGACTCTCTATGGAATGCAAATTTCCCTCACAAGAGACAGCTTTGTGGGGCCATTTCAGAATATGTCAAAGAAATATATTTTGAGGTAAAATACTTTGATTCTTTCAGGGTCATGTGTTGAACCTTGCAGTTAATTGGGGTCTCTCAAGCTCACCTGAAGTTTCTTTCTTTCCTTTTGAACTTGAACCCATGTGGTTTACAAAGGCCTGATCCCTGTCTTTTTGGGACAACTATGAAGTTTCATCCAAGCTTCAGAACTCCCCTTATCAGACAGGAATGATATAGCATCATCACAGGGGAATAAAAACTCCAGATAGCAGTTTCACATGACTAGAGGCTATGGGCTTAAGACCCTGAAACACCTGTGTGGACCAAGCGGGCTAAGACCAACTGGACCCAACATGGTGCTGGATTCGACCTAGGTTTCACTTAGATCCTCATTATATGCTCATTAACATACTCAATTACACACCCACCAGTGCCAGGAGAGTTTTGGGAACATGCATATTTGGTGTAAAAATGCGTGGCATGGCACCACAGTTCCAAGAAATCTCCATCTTTTTCCAGGAATTTTCATGACTATTCCATACCTTGGTTAAAGAAACCCATAAAGGTAGCAGTCCCAAACTCCTTTATGTGCGACTCTCTCTTGAGTATGCCTGCACTCCCCTTTCTTGAGTATGTACTTTTCACTTGCAATAAATTTCCATACTTTCACTATTTTCTGACTTATCTTTGACTTTCTTCTCATGATGGTGTCAAAATCCTGGACACTGGCTGGGGTTGAAGTCCCACCAGCATTTGGGGACCTACCCTGGTATCACCTGGACTCATAGGCTCTCAATTCCTTCCAGCCCATGCTCTGCAATGCTGCCAGAGGAGGCTGTCTAAATGATGGCTTTCATCAAGTTATTCATCTGTTAAGGCATTTCCTTATCACCCTCATCATGAAGCTTAAACTCACTGGTCTGGCACACAAGGCCCGCCATGGTCAGACTCCAAACTTCCCCTCTGACTGCTCCTCTTCTCACTCCTTGTGTTCCCACTATCATGATGTGCATAATGATTTATGCCCTAATGAGTTCCATATCCTGCTGCCTCCACCTGGGAGACCTCCCCACATTCATCTCTTTGCAGACCCACTTCCCCAGCCAGCACTGATTACTCCTCCCTGAAAATCTCCATTGTCCCTCATACATACCTAAGGCACTCGACGCTCCATGTGGAAACTATTTCAGTGTTACAGTCACCTACCAGACTGTTAACATGTCATATTGGGAGTTGAGAGTGGCATCTTCGAAATTATATCACTGCACCTATCACACAGTATGTGACACAAAGCAGATATTAGACAAACAGCTTGGCTGAAAATAAGGAAGAATGCAAGGAAGAAGGTTTTGGGGTTGGATTCCAACGACCTGAATCCCAGACCTAGCTCCATTACTTACCTGTTAAGTGACTGAAGGTGGTGATTTCTTAATCTTTCTTTTCTTTTTTTTTTTTTGAGATGGAGTTTCACTCTGTTGCCCAGGCTAGAGGGCAGTGGTAAAATTTCAGCTCACTGCAACCTCCAACTCCTGGGTTCAAGTGAGTCTCCTGCCTCAGCCTCTTGAGTAGCTGGGATTACATGCATGTGCCACAATGCCTGGCTAATTTTTTTTTGTATTTTTAGTAGAGACAGGGTTTCACTACATTGGCCATGTTGATCTCAAACTCCTGACCTCAAGGGATCCACCTACCTCGGCCTCCCAAAGTGCTGGGATTACAGGCATGAACCACCACACCTGACCAATCTTTCTGATACATATTTACTTCCACCCGGAAATAGACGTAGTAATAGCTACTCTAGAGGGTGGCTTTAAGGAGAAAATGAGAGAACAATGTGAAATGCATAAGACAGTTCCTGATATACAATGAGTCCTCTGTAACTTTCAGGTTTCCTTCTTGTCTTTCTTTCCTCCTTACCTTTTGTCTTCTTCCCCATCATTTGCTGTTTTTCCTGTTGGTTCTCATCTCCTCCTCATGCCTTTGGAACAGCAACAGGAAGAAATACAACTGACTTTGAGCCTAACCATTACCAGCTTCAAAGTGTTCTAACTCCCAGCCCATGACTCAGCCAGGGCTCACCTCATTGTTGCTCCACCTTAATAAATAGTTGACCTTTTAGCTCATCTAACAAGGAATGTTTGCTAGAAACAAACTAAATGTACTCATCTGGGTGTGTCCTGGAGTCTCCCTAATGAGGAACCTCCAAGAGTCTAAGCACTTCACTTAGCAAGCCTTGGGGGGAAAGAAGCTGTGGGATTTGCATAACCAAACCCAACTCCATCCTCAAAAATACACTCAACACTGTTGTGGACATTGAAATCCAGATGCTACTTAACATCATTTAATTTGTACCAATGGAAAATAAAGGGAGCATCACATTATTCCAGTGATTCAGAAAAGAAAATGGGTTGGATACAGAGAAATCACCAATTTGTAAATTTCAACCAGATCTAAGCTTATGCCAGAGTTTCCTGGATGCTTATTTTGCCTAAGAACATGATTTAAAGCATCGACCTGTGGATTATATCCTTACATGCAGACAAGAATGACATTGAAGGCTTAACATGGAAGAAAGAAGAAGCAGGAAAGACGGTAACTAGAAGTGACCTAGAATAGTAAAGCATAAAAGAAATTTAAGGAAACAAAAGGGTAGAAGAGACTCATCAGTAACTATAGCAATTCCATAGGGAGTATAATCCAATTTCCATTTGACATACTAGAAAACTGAGGCTCAGAGAGATTATTAAATAACATATCCAGAGTCACACAGGGAGTTATTAGACACATCAAGTTTCCAAACCAGGTCTGTCCAAGTCCAAAGCCCATGTTATTTCTAATCTTTCAGGTAGTCTCAAAGAAAGCATAGTAAACACATATAAAATGAATCCACCAGGTTGCCTAGGGTTTATTTAGCTTTATTCATCATCACCTGGCAGAGAAATATTTTAGAACATTCAAAACCATTAGGAGAAGACTCCCGTTTCCAGTCCAGCGTATAAGGAGCTTGGAAGCCATCACTCTGTCCTAACAAGTAAAAAGCTGAACAAACTACAATTCAGCAACTCTTCTTGGGTCCATCAGAGGATTAAGGTCACAGGTCATATTGCTTGGAGAGACAGACAGGCAGGTACAGAGAACCACAGCTTACTCCAGGGGAAACCCATGAGCAGAAACTTCTGCAGAAACAAGTAGAGAAACCTGAAGTGTAAGTAACGAATTGCTGGAGACTCAGAGTGGACAAGTCGAGAGTAAAAACCTTCAGGGAGGTGACCAGTCTTAGAGGGGAGCACTCCCACTTTTGTGAGTTTTAACTCCGGTGGCTCTAAGGTGTTCTCAGAGTGAAGATCAAAGGAAAAAAAAAATCGCCTCATGCTTCCAGAAGGGGAAGAGAAAAGAAACCATGGTGAAATATGTCAGAGCACTCTGTTCTTCACAAGGTCTGCTCTCAGGAGAACCTCTTGCATCAGAGCCTAAGTGACCTGGGAAAGGGAAATACCCAACTCTAGCTCCCTCTAGCCATCCTGTTCCTCCTAAGCGGGGAAAAGTGAGAAGCACACTTGAAGTGCACAGTCCAGAGGTACAAGCTTCCTAAAAGACTGAGACCTGTTCATGGGACCATAGAGTGCTCCCCCTCCCTCCACACCTTACCACCATACCACTAAAGATTGACTTACAGCAGGTTTTTTTTTTTTTAACCCAGTATAGCATGTCCACTTTCAACAAAAAATTGCAAGGCACACAAAAAGGCAAAACAAAACAAAAAACAAACAAACAAACCCCCCCCCCCCCCACCACAGTTTGAGTATACAGAATGAGCATCAGAACCAGACTTAGGTATAATAAGGTTGGCATTATCTGACCAGCAATTTAAAATAACAATGATTAATACATTAAAAGTAGACAGTATGTAAGCCACACCCTGGCTTGTAAAGCTCTTTGTGAGAAGGTAATAATTCTTTGCATGTCACATTTCAGCTTACAGCTAGGTAATACCAATATACATACACACTTGGGAAAAGTGAGCAAGAAAAGAAAATGTGGCTGGGTGTGGTGGCTCATGCCTGTAATCCCAGCACTTTGGGAGGCAGAGGCAGGAGGATTTCTTGAACCCAGGAGTTCGAGTCCAGCCTGTGCAAAATAGTGAGATCCCTGTCTGTACAAAAAAATTTGTTTTAATTAGCTGGGCATCGTGGCACATGCCTGTAATCCCTGCTACAGGGGAGGCTGAGGTGGGAGGATCACTTGAGCCTGGGAGGTCAAGGCTGCAGTGAGCTGTGATTGTGCCAATGCACTCCAGCCTGGGTGACAAAGCAAAACCCTGTCTCAAGAAAAGAAAAAAGAAAGAAAGAAAAGGAAACGCACTGGGTGAGAGGCTGGCACAGGAGGTGGCAGAAGTAATTTGAAGGGATGCTATAGGGCATTGTGCCATAAGACTTTGAGTTTACCTGTGTATTACATAGACATATACCTTGATAGGGCTCCCACACAGACATTGATTGAGATACCTCTGGGCTCCATCTAAGGATGACCTGGCGTTGTGGGTTTGGTATCAGTAGCTGCAGTTTCCCTGCCAGGCTAATATGTGGCATGACTTGGGGCATTATTTCTGGAAGTTCAGCTTCAAATCTTTTTTTTTCTTTTTTCAGAATGTCCAAAATACTGTAAGCTACTTAAAATCCTCTAATAAATTTGTTTTCTTCCTAACAAATAATACTGGCCTTGCTGAAAACCAGATCCAAGACATTCTATAATTCTTAAAAGCTTATTTAGAAATATAGAGGCAACTGTTAGGGAAACAATGGTTAAAAGAGTTCAGAGCGGCTGCTTCAGAGAAGCAGCAGTCGAGAATAAGGAAGGATGGACATAGTTGACATTTTTTGTTAAAAACCTGGTAGTACAGCTGGGTGTGGTGGCTCATGCCTGTAATTCCAGCACTTTCGGACGCTGAGACAGGCAGATCACCTGAGGTCAGGAGCTCGAGATCAGCTTAGCCAACATGGCAAAACCCCATCTCTACAAAAAATACAAAAATTAGCCAGGCATGGTGGCATGCGCCTGTAATCCCAGCTACTTGGGAGGCTGAGGTAGGAGAATCGCTTGAACCTGGGAGGTGGAGGCTGCAGTGAGCCGAGATCACGCCACTGCACTCCAACCTGGGCAACAGAGTGAGACTCTGTCTCAAAGAAACAAAGCAAAATGAAAAACAAACAAACAAAAAAACCTGGTAGTACTAGATGACTTTTTATCCTATATACATATATTTAAAAAATATATTTTTCTAATAAAATAAAAAAAGGTTTATGGGAACCATTAAAAGAGCATCATTCACATGAACAAACTCTCAGGCTAGTAAGTGCAGAGGAAGATGTTTGATAATGCAGTGCAGCAAGTGGTATAGAGTCCTGGCTTCTACATGTTGAAGAGGTCCTTTGAAGGTCCTGGTCCCTCAATCCAATTAGGTTCTCCCTGAACTGGAATATGCTTCCATTCCATCCCACCCATCCAGAGCAACATCCAGCCCTCCTCATCTACCACAGAGCAGAACAGAGAGATGAGTCCATGTCAACTCTGGCTGTATGGAGGCAAAGCAGGCAGTGACTGTGTTGTGAGAACTTTGCCATTAGGATTTAGAGCAATGACGCCAGGAAATGAAGGTGAAGGACAAAGGGGATGTTGTGTGGGCAGCAATGCAAAACCAGGGGCACTGGACAGGGTCTGAGTGGGACTAAGCAGAGAGGGACCTTTCTCTGCCATGTTTGTCCAAGGTATTTCCCTGATGTTCCAGAGAGAAGGGATAGGAAGTTCACAATAAAATTAGACTGTGATTACTCTTTTTACAACTGAGGAAACTGAAGCTTAAAAATGTTAAACAACCTGCCCAAACCAATCCAGTTGTTGAAGAGGAAAACAAACACACCTCAAATACTGCTGTCAGCATGGTCATTTGGAAACCAGCATGCCTATTGGGATTCAACAAGCATTTATTGAGCACCTACTAGGTGCTTGAACCTTTGGTAAGTGTTTGTGCACATAGCCAAGAGGCATAAGAGCATTCATGTCCTGCAGCCTCAAAATCCTTCTCCTAGGCATCATCCAAAAAGCAATCTAGCAGACCAGAAAAACTATAGTCATGAAAAGGTTTCTACCAGCATTATCTATTTGGGAATAGTTGGAAACAGCAGAAATAGCTAAGAGTAAATTAAGACTATCTTTTTTTTTTTTTTTGAGACAGGGTCTCATTCTGTCACCCAGGCTGGAGTGCAGTGGTGCAATCATGGCTCACTGCAGACTTGACGTCCTGGACTCTGGACTCAAGTGATCCTCCCACCTTGGTCTCCTGAGTAGCTAGAAGTACAGGTACTTGCCACCATATCAGAATAATTTCTTTTTTTTTTTTTTTTTTTTTGTAGAAACAAGGTTTTGCCATGTTGTCCAGGTTGGTCTTGAACTCCTGGACCCAAGTGTTCCACCTGCCTTGGCCTCCCAAATTGCTGGGATTACAGGTGTGAGTCACTGCACCTGGCCAAGGCTCAAGGTTTTAAAGGCATTTTCTATGGCCGTAACATCTATTTTTATAAAAGTTATGTAGAAAAATAAGAAGAATCTAATGCACTGCTAACCTTAAATATAAAACAATTGTATTGCTCTATGATAACTGTAGAAAAAATGTATATACAGATACTCCTCAAGGTTCAATGGGTTACACCCCAACAAATCCATTGTAAGTTGAAAATATGATAAGTTGAAAATACATTTAACACACCTACCTTCCAAACGTCATAGTTTAGCCTACTGTATTAGTCAGGGTTCTCTAGAGGGACAGAACTAATAGGAGATATATATATATATATATGAGTTTATTAAAGAGTATTAATTCAGTTGATCACAAGGTCTCTCAATAGGCCATCTGCAAACTGAGGAGCAAGAAAACCAGTCCAAGGCCCAAAGCTGAGGAACTTGGAGTCCAATGTTCGAGGGCAGGAAGCATCTGGTGTGGGAGAAACATGTAGGCTGGGAGGCTAGGCCAGTGTAGTCTTTCCATGTTTTTCTGCCTGTTTCATATTCTGGCCATTCTGGCAGCTGATTAGGTGGTGTCCACCCAGATTAAGGGTGGGTCTGTCTTTCCCAGACCACTGACTCAAATGTTATTCTCCTTTGGCAAGACCCTCACAGACACACGCAGGATCAATACTTTGCATCCTTCCATCCAATCAAGTTGACACTCAGTATTAACCATCACATATACCATTGCAGATTTAATTTGCGTTTCCTTAATGACCAGGGATGCTGCACATCTTTTCATCCTTCTGGCATTTAATATCATTCTACAACATTACGATTGAAGACTGCATAGTGTTTCATTTTAGAGGTATCACAATTTAGTTAACCAATTCTTTAGAATAGGACTTTTTGGCTGCTTATGATTTCTCTTTGGCTATTATAAATTTTGTTGAGATAACTATTTGTATAATTAAATCTTGGAGTTACATCATTGACCATTTAGACTAAAATTCCTAGATTTCCAATCTGCCTTCTTGTTTCAGCTCTCATACTGTGTGCTTATTGTATTTAGTTTTGTCAGAAATCTAACTTTCTAATTATTTCTACAAGATTTTTATTGATTCAGTTGGATTTTGTAGGTACACAAATAAATAACATATAAGTAATGATATTTATTTCCTTTGAATAATCATGTCTTGGTTACTTTTTTCTTTATCCAGTCTCATGGGTGAGAACTCAAATAATACTGGTATCTGTCTTTTTGCTGACTAACATAGTCGATTTAGTATCAAAATAAGATATTGGCATTATAGTATTAATTCTTTAAATAGACTTGTATTCCATCCTAATTTGCTATGATTTTGTTAAGAAGTTTACCTTTAAAGTAGTTACGTGTCTTTTTTCACAATTATTTAAATAATTAGGAGTCTTACCTTTTCCCCTTTTTACACATAAAAATAGAATCAAATCTATAAACTATGGTCTAATTTTTAAAAGTGAACTTAGCCTTTTAGAGTGAGCAACTTGCCAAGTGTTTAATATCATTCTACAACATTCTGATTGAAGACTGCATAATATTTCTTTCTCTTTTCTTTCTTTTTTAGACAGAGTCTTGCTCTGTTGTCCAGGCTGGAGTGCAGTGGTGCAATCTCGGCTCACTGCAACCTCTGCCTCCTGGGTTCAAGCACTTCTTGTGCCTTAGCCTCCCAAGTAGCTGGGACTACAGGCATGTGCCACCACATCCAGCTAATTTTTGTATTTTTCATAGAGTCAGGATTTCACCATATTGGCCAGGCTGGTCTCGAACTCCTGGCCTCAAGTGATCTGCCTGCCTCAGCCACCCAAAGTGAACCACCGTGCTCTGCCTGAAGACTGCATGGTATTTCATTTTAGAGGTATCATAATTTAGTTAACCAATTCTCTATTACAGGACTTTTAAGCTAATTATAATTTCTCTTTAGCTATTATACATTTTGTGAGATAAATATTCTTGTAATTAAATATTGGGGTACATCTCTGCCTATTAATTTAGGTTAGAATTCCTTGATTTCCAACGGTAGGTCAAGGAATCTGAACATTTTTAAGGCTTTTGGTTATTCACTATGACTTTTCTCTCAAGAGAGTTAGCGGATATTTGCATGCTTACCAACATTCTAATCTATTCTGATGATTTGATAGGTGATTAATGCTATCACAGTAATTTGCATTTGCCTTTGAAAACACTGAATATCTTAAATGTGTATTTTATTTTTATTTTCTTTTTAAATGCTTTATTTACTGTCTTATTTTATGTTCAGTCGGTCCTCATTATTTGTGGATTCTGTACTTGCAAATTCACCTACTAACTAACATGTATTTGTAACTTCGAAATCAGTCAATACTCATGGTGCTTCCATGGTCATACTCAGATATGTGCAGAGTGGTGAAACATTTGGGTAACCTGACACCCATGTTCCCAGCTGTGGTGGACCAAGACAATAATCTGCCTCTTGTTTCAGCTCTCACACGGTAAACAAGGACCCTTTTTGTAGTCTATTTAGTTCCATATTTTTTTTTGCATTTTTGTGTCTTTTGTTGGTGATTTCACTGTTTCAGATGGTCCCCAAGCATAGCACTAAGGAGATGTCTAGTGTTCCTAAGCACAAGAAGGCTGTGCTGTACCTTATTGAGAAAATACATGTGTCAGATAAGCTTCACTCAGGCATAAGTTACAGTGCTTTTAACCATGAGTTCAAGGTTAATGAATCAGCAACATATATTAAATAAGGTGTCTCCGAACAGAAACACACATAAAGCAAGGTTATATACTGATCAGTTGATTAACATATGACCAGAAAGAGGTTTATAAGCATGTAATGCTGTTTTTGGTTTTTGTTTTTGTTTTTTTCCATCTAGGAGCAATGGCTCAGTACTTGCAGAGTCATGTTTTAGTGGCTTTATAAAACATAACTGCCATAGGCCGGGTGCAGTGGCTCACACCTGTAATCCCAGCACTTTGGGATTACAGGGGCAAGCCACCATGCCCGGCTAATTTTTGTATTTTTAGTAGAGATTGGGTTTTGCCATGTTGCCTAGGCTGATCTCGAACTCCTGGCCTCAAGTGATCCACCCATTTTGGCCTCCCACAGTGCTGGGATTATGGACATGAGCCACCATGCCCAGCCCAGAATATTTTCATAGGTGCTATGACACTTGTATTCTCTTTAACAATGCTCTGATGGGAGGTCTGCCCAGTGTCCTTGGTTTCATGTAAACAGTAGAGAAAGATGCTTTAGAAACCTCCTCGGATCTTAAGGCGGGGAAGTTGTCAATAGAAATACCCATCACCAGTTCAGCAGTGCATAATTCTGAGAGGAAAATGGAGACTGTTAAAGCTACGGTAGGTGGGAGAGAGGGGGGGACATTTTACTTTTGTCCATTAAAAGTAAAATTTTAATGGTTAAGGGGTCGTCTTTTGCACCTGGCTCTGTTTGGGCCAGTTTCTACACCTGTAGTTTTGCGTGGCAAGATCATGGTGCTGCTGCCTGGGACATCAAGCCCAAACCCCTGTCACCCCATCCAGGTACCTGTTTTCCTAATTACCACATGAAAGCTGGGGGTGGGACCTGGGAAGGGGAGGTTATCTGGAGGATAGCTCAGTGCTTCTCACTTAGATTATCTGTGCTCCAATCTCTATGAACTTGCGCCTTGAGGCTAGGATGAGGAGGCTGCCATACGATAAGAAGAATTTACAGAGCCAGTTTTTCCAGTCTTGGAAGGAGAACTTGCGACATTGATGTGGAGAATGGTGATGGCAGGCAGATCAGTCGTGATTGTGCTGCTGGGCAGGGGGTGGCTGTGGGGCTCTTATGTCACAATGCTTTTTACCCAGAGACTTGGGTGTGCTTCTACATACAGAAGAACAGCACTAGGACCCAGAGAGCTGGTCCTAAGCATCACAGAATCCCAGTCTCTTCAGCAATGGCTCAGCCAACATGGGCCCACAAGAGGTCATGAACCATTGGTTTAATGGCTCCGTGCCACTTGTAAGCCAGCAGGTAACAGGAGGATATTATGACCTCTGAGACCTGGAGCTCAGTACCAGATGGCCCCACCCTGGGACACCATTTCTAGTGTGCCACTCTTCCTGAGACCTGGGCTCAGTGCCAGATGGTATATTATGTCCTGGCTCTGCTTGGAACACCATTTCTAACATGCCACTCTTTCTCTCACCATGGGATCCACCCCTAGCTGTCTGAAAGATACTATTGAGCTACCAGTTAATTGAAGTTGGAGAAACACAACTCCCTACCCTTCACCTCTCTGTGCTTACAGCATGGTATCTGTGAAGAATGCAGGTCTTTCCCAGCCTTAGCTTAGAATGGAATTGACATCTGTCTCTCTTTCTCTCCCTGTCTCATCTCCTCTCTCTCCTACATTACTAACCTGCTGAGTCCTTATTTTCCTTAACCATCCTCTATTAGCCTTGGAAATGACAGATATGTTGATGGTGAAGGTGGAGGCCCTGATGTCCTTGCTCCAGATGTCAGAACCATTGGCCTGATGTCGACAGCTGCAGCAGCACTGGTTGTTTTGTTTGCCCTTCCAGATCCACTCTCCATCCTTCTCTACTCTGTCTGTGCTGTGGGAGGCTGACCCCATCTGTTTACTTCAGTGGAGCACTAGAGCCTGCAAGAACTGATTGTATGCATCTCCTCCTAACTCCGTGTTTGGTGACTGTGGTAGGAATATTTACACTATGGACACTGGCAAATACTACAAGTAAGCATGCATGCACACATACATGTCTCAGAGCTTGTTGTTAAATGTTTATTTACTAGCTGACCACTGGGGCAACATCAGTATATTCCTTGCCTCTGGCTTCTGCTTGGGTTTGGCCACTGGGTGGTACTTGCAAGGAATTGAATAGAGCATGGTAAGAGAATCTACTCTCCTGGCCTCCCTAACACATTCTCAGATTGGCTGAATCCCTCTCCAAAGGCTTCAGCTGTGGTCAAGCACCCACTCAATAAACCCATCATCTCTGGATTCTGGATACTCCTTCCCTTTCCTTCTTGACATCTGTATTAGGCCATTCTTGCATTGCTATGAAGAAACACCTGAGGCTGAGTAATTAATAAAGAAGAGGTTCACAGTTCTGTAGGCTGTTACAGGAAGCATGGTGCTGGCATCTGCTCAGCTTCTGGGGAGGCCTCAGGAAGCTTCCAATCATTACTGAAGGTGAAGGGAAGCAGGCATCTCACATGGCCAGAGAGGGAGCAAGGGGTGGCGGGAGGTGCCACACTTTAAGACAGATCTTATGAAACTCACTATTGTGAGGACAACACCAAGCCATAAGGGATCTGCCCCCATAACCCAAATATCTCCCACCAGGCCCCATCTCCTACACTGGGGATTAGATTTCAATGTGAGATTTGGGGGGACTAATATCCAAACTATATACAAATCTATGGATGGTAATGGACCCAGGTGCCATAGTATCTCTCCCTGGGTTCCCTAAATCCTACCTACATCAATAGCCCCATACATAACACTCTTCTCTAAAAACTCATCTGAGTGGGTATTAGCTGGTTCCTTCTGACTAATGCAAAAGCCGGGCATACTCAGTCTAGTAGGAATGCCTGCTGAGTGCACTTCCTGTGTCTGCATATAGATGCTAAATGCAAGAGCTGTAGTTTTCAAACTCTCTCTATTTCTCTCTCTCTCTTTTTTTTTTTTTTTTTTTTTTTTTGAGACAGAGTCTCACTCTATCCCCCAGGCTGGAGCAGAGTGGTGCAATCTCAGCTCACTGCAACCTCTGCCTCCCAGGTTCAAGTGATTCCTGTGCCTTAGCTGGGATTAGAGGCGTGTGCCACCACACCTAGCTAATTTGTGTATTTTTTAGCAGAGACAGGGTTTCCCCATGTTGGACAGGCTGGTCTCAAACTCCTGACCTCAAGTAATCCACCCACTTAGGCCTCCCAAAGTGCTGGGATCACAGGCATGAGCCACCACACCCAACCTGCAGTTATGATTTCTGATAGAAGTGGTATCTCTCATTTGTCTTTCAGTCCTCCAATACCCAATTAATCAGTTCCTTTATTCTTTCTGTTAACGTAACTGGTGGTGTTTAGTTTTCCAAGCCAGACCCTGACCAATATAGACTCCTTGAATCTTCAACATGGACCCTAGGTTAACAGCATCTGATGTCTCAGTTAGTTAGATAGTACCCATCTCGAGAAAGAATCAGGGATCATAAGCGAGGGTTTGTGACTATCAAAACTTAGTAAGATTGCCAGGCACAGTGGCTCACACCTGTAATCCTAGCACTTTGGAATGCTGGGGTGGAAGTATTGCTTGAGCCCAGGAGTTCGAGATCAGCCTGGGCAGCATAGCGGGATCTTGTGTCTACCAAAAAATTTTAAAAATTAGTCAGGTATTGTGGTGTGTGCCTGAAATGGTTTGGCTGTGTCCCCACCCAAATCTCATCTTGAATTGTAGTTCCCATAATCCCCACGTGTTGTGGGAGGGACCTGGTGGGAGTTAATTGACTCATGGGGGTGGTTACCACCATGCTGCTGTTCTCATGACAGTGAGTGAGTTCTCATGAGATCTGATAGTTTTATAAGGGGCTTTTTCCCCTTTTGCTCAGTGCTTCTCTTGCCTAGCACATTGTAAGATGTGACTTTGCTCCTTGCCTCCCGCTGTGATTGTGAGTCCTCCCCAGCCTTGTGAAACTGTGAGCCAATTAAACCTCTTTCCTTTATAAATTACCTGGTCTCAGGGATGTCTTTATTAGCAGCATGAGAACAGACTAATACAGCACCTGTAGTCCCAACTACTCAGGAGGCTGAGGCAGAAGGTTCACTTGAACCAGGCGGGTTTGAGGCCACAGTGAGCTGTGAATGTACCACTGCAATCCAGCCTGAATGACAAAGTAAGACCTCACCTCAGAAACAAAAACAGAAGTGAGCCCCTCAAAACTTAGTAAGACTTTCATGTTTGTGTGCTTTTCCCCTTGTTTTAAACATCTCAGTTACAACTGTATTGTGCCCTTGCAGTAATACTTAAAATGAAATGGACTCAGAATTTGTCTTTAGGAGAAGTGAGAAAATGGGGGACTGGCTTAATAACCAGCAAGGGAAGTGAGGTGGGGAACAACATCTTCTTTTTATTAACCTCTCTCAGAGATCTAGCATTTCCTTTCCTTATGCACATAGGCTAAAAATAAAGAAAATCACAGTAGTATTAGCGGTACATGCAACTCTGTTACTAATACTTTCATAACACAGAGTTGCTGCAGATATTTCAAGGGTGAGGGTCAGAGGTGGTCTTGGATGGAGAAGCTCCCCATGGGGAAGAGGGAGGGGGCAGCACTAAAGAGAAAATAAAAGTGGTCAAGGTCAGACGCGGTGGCTCACCCCCCTAATCCCAGCACTTTGGGAGGCCGAAGCAGGCTGATCACCTGAGGTCAGGAGTTCAAGACCAGCCTGGCCAACATGGTGAAACCCAGTCTCTACTAAAAATTCAAAAAAATTAGCCGGGCGTTGTGGCACATGCCTGTAATCCCAGCTATTTGGGAGGCTAAGGCACGAGAATTGTTCAAACCCAGGAGGCGGAGGTTGTACTGAGCCAAGATAGCTCCACTGCACTCCAGCCTGGGTGACAGAGTGAGACTCTGCCTCAAAAGCAAAGAAACAGGCCAGGCACAGTGGCTCACGTCTGTAATCCCAGCACTTTGGGAGGCTGAGGCAGGTGGATCACAAGGTCAAGAGATCGGGACCATCCTGGCCAACATGGCGAAACCCTGTCTCTATTAAAAATACAAAAAATTAGCTGGGCGTGGTGGCGCATGCCTGTAGTCCCAGCTACTCGGGAGGCTGAGGCAGGAGGATCACTTGAACCTTGGAGGCAGAGGTTACAGTGAGCCAAGATCACGCCACTGCACTCCGGCCTGGTGACAGAGCAAGACTCCGTCTCAAAAAACAAACAAACAAAACAAACAAAGAAACACAAAGCAAACAAACAAAAAACAAAATAAAAACCAAAATGGGGTTGAGCTCCTGGTACTAGGGCAGGGAAGACAAGAAGAACATGGAAGCTGGGCCTGAGAACTGACTATGGGAATTCCGCAGGAAAAAAGCTTTGGTGCCCTTTAACCCAGTGATCCTGCTTCTGGGAAGCTATCCTAGGAAAATAACCCAAAAGGAAAACTATCCAAACCCTTGACTCTTTCCAGCCTGTCTGGCTTGTGGGTACAGATGAGAACCCATTAACATTGATGCCTATAGTCCACACACTCACTGGGTCAACTACATAACTGGAGGAGCTAAGCCCTTGCCTCAGAATCCCTCCATCAGTTCTGGGAGATCTCTGCCAGTGTCTTGCATGTGGGAAGGACCAAGTCTCCTTCTGCCCTGCTCCAGCCTGCTCGTGGGGCCTCAGCCGTTAGCGGGTTGCCCCTCACTCTGCCTCTGCTGCCCCATCTGCATGAAAATGCTACTTATGGGCCATTTTTGTATTTCCCCGACTCCTGGCTACTGTGGTTTTCACGCCTGGACCAGGAAGTGACCCATCTTTGCCCCAGGCCTCGTAAGACCTTTCCTCAAAAAGACAACTACTCCTGCCCATTCACTTCTCTCTAAAAAAGATGAGTACCACTGTCTGAGGTCAACTGTAGAACAAACCCAGCATCGTCCATTTTTCTTGCCGCCCCCGTCTCTCTCCCTACTAGGCCAGAAACAGCCCATGCCCATTGCATATCATCTTGTGGAAAGAGGTGCCTGAAAAATTGCCAGTACTTCACCTTCAACCTTCTTTTAGGCTCCCAGACTCTTTTCAAGAGTGGTGATCTGAGTAATGCACTAAACTGTTCACTGTAACATTAGGTCCAACAGTGAAAAATGGAAAGCAATCTAAAAGGATTGCTGGGTGACTGGGTGAATTATGCAGTATAACCTCTTGTGAGATATACAGAGCCAATAACAATTGTGAGGACCCCATATAACATAAAAAAGTGCTTAGGATTTAATTGTAAGTGATAAAGAGAATACATTTTACTGTACATGACATTGACTTCAACTACATAAAAATGATACATGCCAATGAAATGAAACGAAAATGAACTTGAACCAACAAAAAGCAGTTCAACTTGGAGTGTTGATAGTGTGGGACAAATTTTTCCATTCCTTTAGAGTCCTATTAGTTTATTTATAATATCATGTATTTAATAAGAATAAAAAATACTGGAAGAAAGTAATAAAAGGCTTGATCCTGCTTTGAGATCTCCTTTGAACATAACTCAGGTTGTGTTTGAGCTGGGAGGGGGATGGGGGTCAGCCTGACCAGGGATATGAGGTTGACCCTACTATTCTCTCTGGGAGCATTTCCAGCTTGAATTTCTAGAAGCTGTACAAAGGTGCTTCTTTTCTATAGTGGCAACGTATAATCCCAAGGTTTCAGGAAGGAAGAGTAATCATGCCTCATTGTGGAGTTGCCTTTAGTCCATTTGGGCTGCTATAACAACAACAAAACAAAAAACAAAAAACAAACAAACAAACAAACAAACAAACAAAAACCTTAGACTAGATAATTTATAAACAACCAAAATGTATTTTTATTTTACTATCATTTTTTTGAGACAGAGTCTCACTCTGTTGCCCGAACTGGAGTGCAATGGTAGGATCTTGGCTCACTGCAACCTTCACCTCCTGGGCTCAAACAATCCTCCCACCTCAGGCTCCTGAGTAGCTTGGACTACAGGCATTACAACACCTAACTAATTTTTTTGGTATTTTTTGTAGAGATAGGGTTTCACCATGTTGCCCAGGCTGGTCTCAAACTCCTGGCCTTAAGTGATCCTCCTGCCTTGGCCTCTCAAAGTGCTGAGATTACAGGTGTGAGCTACCATGACTAGCCTAATAACAGAAATTTATTGCTCATGGTTCTGGAGGCTGGGAAGTCCAAGATCAAGGTGCCAGCGGATTCAGCGCCTCTGCTTCAAGATGGTGCCTCTTGTTGCATCCTCACATGGTGAAAGGGTCAAAAACACACCCTTTTGCCCCTTTTATACGGTCACTAATCCCAGTTATTAGAGGATAGCTCTTATGACCTAAAAACTTTCCAAAGGCCTCACTTCTTTTTTTCTTTTTAAGCCTACAGCACCCAGTATTCCCAGGCAGTCTTCCATCTAAGGACTAACCAGGCTTTATCTTGCTTAGCTTCCAAGGCCAGGTGAGATCGGATGCATTCAGGTTGGTATAGCTGTAGATAGCCCCACCTATTTATACCTTCACACTGGGGGTTATGTCCCAACATAGGAATTTTTTTGGGACACCAACATTCAGACCACAGCAGGAGTGTTGGAGACCAATTAGAATGTTGACATTTGATAATTGCCCTCTTCAAAACTGGCTGAAGAGAAAGGAATCTGACTGATTTTTGAAGCTAGTGCTCTTTTGCAGGTGCCATCACCTGTTTGTTGTGTGAACTTGCTCTCTGTCCTCCTGGAGTCAGCTACTAAAACTTCTCATCCACAGTGCTGGCCCCTGAATCCTGGCTAACAAAGCCTTACCCTATGGACAGGAAGAGAAATGAGACACAACGTTGCCCAGGAGCTGGGTATTGGTGATGACTCCAAGCCCTACTTCTCTTCCACTTGCTAGGGCTCTGCTTGCTCCATTGGTTGCCAAATCCACATCTGGATTTTCCTGTTCACTGGGCCCGTTTCGACTCATGATTTGCTTTGGACTTTCCACTTGGTTCTATGCATTGCTCTCTGTGATGATCCTGGTGGTTCAGCCTCTGCATTTTGACACAGAAAGCCCCTGGTAGCAGTATGGATGGCCATGTTGGCCTGGACCTGAAGAACACTGAATCTCACCCACCAGGAACTGGACTCCCAAACTCCTGGCTGCTGACTCCAGGAATTCCTATAGCTATAAATGTCTACATTGTTTTATTTTGATTCCACTTTGTTTATTTGGATCTGTGTATCTGCCTCTGAACTCTGTATCTTGTATCTTTTATTTTTATTTTATTTTTTTTTTTGACACAGGGTCTCACTCTGTTGCCCAGGCTGGAGTGCAATGGTGTGATCACTTGAGCCCAGGAGGTTGTGCAGCCTCAACCTCCTGGGCTCAAGCAATGGGTAGCCAGGACTGCAGGCTAGCGCCACCACAGCTGGCTAAGTTTTCAATTTCATGTAGAGGCAGGGTCTCCTTATATTGCCCAAGATGATCTCGATTTCCTGGGCTCAAGCGATCCTCCCACCTTAGCCTCCCAAAGTGCTGGGATTGCTGGTGTGTGCCACCACGCCCAGCCTCTTGTACCTTTTGTAATTGTTCCTTGGCTCCAACTACTACACAGGGGCATGAAGGGGTATGGGCCACCCCTAGCAGGGCCTCTCTCATTCTTTCCTGTCTAGAGACGCAGAATGGGACCCTTAGAGAGCAATGATCTTCTTCGTTGCTCCCTGGGTTAAATAGGAAACATAACACCTGCTCTGTGAGTCTTACTGAAATCCTATACCTCCAACTGTTCATGGATGTGAAGTTATTTAAATACTTTGGGAGAAAGTACAAATCTTGTTACTTTTTAAAGGAACTGCTAAAGTACTTTGGACACTGTGCTTTTCAATATGATGATTTGTTAGGAGACTCACTCAGAGGCTTCCCCAGCAGGTGCTCCGGTCCCTTGCTGAGGGCACTGCAGCTTGGGTGAGAGGACCGAAGTCAAGACCTGGTTCTGCCTCATTCCAGGTTGTGACTCAGGTCTCACATTTCCTCCTCTGTGGAATAGGAACAACAATAATACCTGCCTGACGAGGTTGTGGTGAGGATCAAAGGAGATGCTGTGAAAGTGTGAACGAAAGGCAATTGCCCTAATTATTGTGTGTCATGTACCCATCATTGCATTAATTACAGTGGAGAATGGGCAAGGGCTTAAAGAACACAGAAGACTTGGTTCTGCTCCTGAAGATTTCATGCACAGAAAGAAAATAACTGAGGAAGCAGCCAGTGCTGTTGGCAGTAGAGTTCTATGAGGGCTAGGAGTTGAGGGTGTGGCAGAAGAAGGGTTAAAGGTATGGGACAACATCAAAGGGTCCTCTGGGGTGGTGGAGAGGCAAAGAAACTGGCATCAGGTGGGCACTTAGGGACCCTGTAAAGGGGTAGAAAGAGTAACAGTAGGGACATTGAGTCCGGCTTCTGTGCCTGAGATCCCAAGCCAGCTGTCAGCAAAAAGCCTCAGCAATAGAAAAAGAAGTAAGCCAGGCCGGGCTCAGTGGCTCACGCCTGTAATCCCGACACTTTGGGAGGTCAAGGTGGGCGGATCACCTGAGATCAGGAGTTCGAGACCAGCCTGACCAACATGGTAAAACCCATCTCTACTAAAAAAAAAAAAAAAAAAAAAATACAAAAATTAGCCAGGCATGGTGGCATGTGCCTGTAATCCCAGCTACTCAGGAGACTGAGGCAGGAGAATCGCTTGAATTCAGGCAGCGGAGGTTGCAGTGAGCTGAACTTGGGCCGTTGCACTCCAGCCTCGGTGACAGGCTAAAACTGCATCTCAAGAAACACAAACAAAAAGAAGTAAGCCCTATATGCAGTGGATGGGGAGCTCTGTCAGCACATTGATTCTGGCAGCCACAGTATGAGATCCCAGGCCCTGCAGCTGGGGTTGCCAAGCATCTCGTGAGAAGTCCCTATTTTTTAGGTCAGGCTTTAAACCCTTGAGATGGCATCATGGGGTGGGTTGAATGCGACTCTATCAAACTCATCCTTGTGGTGGGAAGAAAGAGGAGAGGGTGCAGGGAGGGCAGTGGCTGATGGGGAAGTGGTAAACCTACTGCCCTGTGACTGCACTCAGCCTCCCAGCTGAAATCCCCACAAGCCATGCAGAGGGGAGAAGGAGCTCTGTGGCCACTGGACTGGGAAAGCTGCCAAGTGAGACTTTAGCAACAGCGGGAGATTTGCATTTCTTGGTTGGGAATCTCTGTGACGGTGGTGCCCTGCCAGGTGTCAATGATTTTTGATTGACCAGGCTCCTTGCATCTGTGTGAACCCGTTTTCACCCTATAATTGGTTGCTAAAATTAAATGAAAAAATAGTAAAGCCTTGCCAATTATTTAATAAATAGTAGCTGTTATTGTCATTGTCATAGTCAGCTGCACTGCTGTGTCATCTCTAAGGGCTGAGTCAGCCCTGCCTCAATCCTGAGCCAACTGACAGGACTGGCAAATGTGCAAGGCTCTCTAGCTTCACCCTCTGGCAGGGGACTGCAATGAGTCTTGATGCCCAAGAAACCAGGGAACAGGGATGGGAACTGGAAGCGGCTTTCATGCGACATTGCTGTATCCTTCCTCCCCATCTCCTCGTCCTCCACATTGATCCCTCAAAGAACTAGATTTCTGCTGGTTCCTTGCAGAGCACTCTAATTCCCACGAGGACTGCAGGCGTTCACTTGACCAGAACCCAGACACCTACCTGGCTCTCACTTTCTGTGTCTCAGTGGTTCTCAGGATGGGCAATATTTCCCTCCTGGGGATGGCTGGAACTTGGTAGGGCATTTTTATCAATAAAGGGTAGCCCTACTGGCATTTAGCGGCGTTGGCCAGCAATGCTAGATATCCCGTGAAGCGCAGGAAATCGTCTTGCGTGCTTTCAAACATCCTGTTGGATATTCCAGTAGGTGAAAGACCATTTCTTATTCATTCTCTGAGCTAGAACTAACTCCATCTTATGTATAAACACAAAGGTTTTCCAAGGTTTTTTTTTGGTATTTCAAAAATATGATAAGATCTATATAACCAAAAATTTACCATTTCAACCACTTCAATTCAGTGGCATTAATTTGCAATGTTGTGCAACCATCACCATTATCTATTCCAAAACTTTTTCATTACCCCAAACAGAAATTCTGTACCCATTAAGCAATAACTCTCCGTCCTCCCCCTCCCAGACACCACTAACTTCTAATCTACTTTGTGTCTCTTCAGACTTGCCTATTCCAGGTCCCTCAAATAAGTGGAATCATAGAGTATTTGTCCTTTGTTTCGTCAAAAACTTTACTAAGAATTGTTCATCATATTGAAAATTACCATCACCAGTGACAAGGCCACATATGAGGTGTTCAAATCATCAATGAAATTTGCATATATGGGTCTGCACTTACAACTGCCACATTCAACATGACCATAAGCACTTGACACTTTAATATGTTTTCTAATGAGTGTTCAAATCTTTACATACTGTAAGAGTTTATATGTTTTTATGTTTTACATTGCTTTTTATTCCCAATTAAGACATTATGATTAAACAATTATATGCAGGGGCCGGGCGTGATGGCTCACACCTGTAATCCCAGCACTTTGGGAGGCTGAGGCAGGCGGATCTCGAGGTCAGGAGTTCGAGACCAGCCTGGCCAATATGGTGAAACCCCATCTCTACTAATAATACAAAAATTAGCTGGGCATGTTGGTGGTGGGTGCCTGTAATCCCAGCTACTTGGGAGGCTGAGGCAGGAGAATTGCTTGAACTCAGGAGGCGGAGGTTGCAGCGAGCTGAGATCGTGCCACTACACTCCAGCCTGAGCGACAGAGTGAGACTCCATCTAAAAAAAAAAAAATTATATGCAGGTAGCATAAATAAGCTATTAATTTTATTTCAGATTAGGAAAGGGAGTAATATAAAACATTTATTATTGAAAGGGGGCATTGGGCTTAGTGGAGCTGAGAGCCATTTATCTACTATAGTCACAGACAAATAACCAGCCATGAGGGAATATCCTTGGAAGTGAGGTGCTGTTGACTGACTGTGAATATTGCCTTGCCTTTATAACATTATACGACCAGTCCCACCTCCCTCAAACAAGAATCCTCAAGTCACTGAACCTGTTGGCTCTTTGGTCACTACCTGCCTGTTAGGTCTGGTCAGTGCAGTCAGGCAGGGATGTTTGCACCTGTCTGCAATGTTGGATTTTCCTAATACTATTTTTTTCTAGCTTTCATGATGGGCACGGGCATAACAAACAAATTGAGATCAGATCGTTTCTAGGCAATCACCTAAAATTGAAGGTATATTTTCAGCATTCAAGGAAACGATTGATTCCAGCACAAATCCTAAGCATCATATAAATGGGAATTTGGGACCACACTGTATTTACTTCACATTCTTGCTTCAGACTGACCTGAATCTGGCTGGGAGCACTCAGATATTGATTTCTTCTGAATAAAAAGGCAGGAAGTATTACAGATATTGTTTTTTAACCAACTGCCTGTTTAATATTCACACTTCCTTAGATCAGCCCCAAAGTCTTTCTTGAGAACATATAACACCACAAGATTTTTGTTTTTTTTTTTTTTACTTTAAGTTCTGGGATACATGTGCTGAATATGCAGGTTTATTACATAGGTATACATGTGCCATGGTGGTTTGCTGCACCTATCAAGCTGTCATCTAGGTTTTTAAGCCCCACATGCATTAGGTATTTATCCTAATGCTCTCCTTCCCTTTGCCCCTCACCTCCCAACAGGCCCCAGTGTGTGATGTTCCCCTCCCTGTGTCCATGTGTTCTCATTGTTCAACTTCCACTTATGAGTGAGAACATAACACCAAAGGTTTTAAATGGGCTGAAATTTTGTTGCTAAAACCAATTGTGTGGTGTGTGTGTGTGTGTGTGTGTGTGTTTAACATGGAGCCTTGGAGTTTGTCTGCTTGTTGCACTGTGCGAAGGATGTAATGTCATGCTTGGAAAATGTAGTCTTTTCACTTCCTCCCTATGTCAATATTCCTTCACTCAAATGCTTTCTAGCTTTGTGCTTGGAGCTGACCCACATAGATGAACACAATCATTGGCCCCAAGGAGATTGAAGTCTTGCGTGAGAGAAGGACTAGAAAAACAAAACATGGCGATGCTGTGTGAGGGTATTTTCTTACAGCTGTGGACCACAGAGGGGACAGGAATAATTACACTGACTCAAGAAAGGAGCACACAAACACACATCATGCACACACACAACACAAACATACACCATACATGTACATACACAACCCACATGCACAGCATACACATACACTCACATCCCTGTCAATCTACTCAAGTTCTTGAACAAGGACCAGTAGAAACCATAGTGAAAGCTCAGTGTCATGTCATTCTTAGTTCATTTGGTGCTGCTATAATAGAATAACACAGACTGGGTAATTTACAGATAAGAGAAGTTTATTTGGCTCACAGTTCTGGAGGCTGGGAAGTCCAATATTGAGGGTCTGCATCTGGTGAGGGCCTTCTTGCTGCATCACGACATGGTAGAAGGCATTACATGGTGAGAGAGAGAGAAAACATGCTCAGGAGGAAGGCCTAATTCATTCTTCACAAGGATGCCACTCCTAAAATAATGAGCTCATTCTTGCCACATGGACATTGTCCATTTATAAGGGCAGAGACCTCATGACTTCATCGTCTCTTGAGGGTCCCGCCTCTCAACACTGTTGCATTGGGGATTAAGTTTCCAACACATGAATGTGTTCCAGCATCAACTCAAGTCCAAAGTCCATGGTCTCATCTAAATCACATGTGGGTGAGACTCAAGGCACCACTCATCCTGAGGCAAATTTTCCTCTAGCTGTGAGCCTGTGACATCAAATGAGTTATCTACTTTCAAAATACAATGGCGGGACAGGCATAGGATAGATGTTCCCATCCCAAAAGGGAGAAATAGACAAGAAGTAAAGGGTAACTGCTCCCCAGTTTGTCCAAGACCCAAGAGGGAAAACAACACTACATTTTGAAGTGCCAGAATAATCTCCTTGGACTCCATGACCCACATTGTGGGCACACTTCAGGGAGTAGTTGGGCCCCCGAGGCCTGAGGCAGCCCCACCCCAATGGCTTTACTGGGTTCAGTCCACCCAATAGCTCTCTCAGGCTGGCATTGCCCGCTGAGAGCTCTACAATTCTGGGGCCTCAGTGGTCATCTCACTCCACAGCTCTGCTAGGCATTGCCCTAGTGGGGACTTTACATGGCTGCTACTCTCCTGCAGCAAGTTTCTTCCTGGAACCCCCAGCTGTGTATAGCACCCTTTGAAATCTAGAAAGTGGCTGCCATAGCCCCATAGTTCTAAACTCTGTGAGCCTGCAGAATTAGCACCATGTGGACGCCCTGTGCTCTCTGGAGTGGCAGCCCACGATGCGCCTGGTTCTGCTTAACCTACAGCTGGGATGGCCAAGGAGCACCGTGCTAGAATGCAGGAGCAGATGCTTGAGGTGGTGCAGAGCAGTGGAGGTCCCAAGAGTGCCTCCCTGGAAGCCTTGTCCTCAAGGTCCTGCTCACACTCCCCTCACCATCCCTACCCTTGGACAACCGGTAATCTGTTTTCTAGCTCTACAGTTTTGTCATTTTGAGAATATTATATACATGAAATCATATGGTAGACTATACTGATTTTTATCTCCTGCTGTAATTATAGTAATCAAGCCAATGCTCTGGCTTGGGGAGCAAAGTCAGTAGTTTTTGAAGCTACTTCTGGTTCATAGTGCTAAACTTATGTCATCAGTGAAGCTAAGCACCGCTGTTTGTGTTTGCATTTGCTAGACTATGGCCATACACAGAGCTCATCCAACTGGCTGTGTCTTGTTCTTTAGATGCACATTTAAAATCACTGAAGATGTTAAGACAGAGGCCTGTTACCCTTTGGAACTCACCTGTCAATTGGATCTGTTGAAAAAAAAAGTCATGCCTGTGTGATGTTGGTGAATGTAGGCTTTGAGCAGGTTTACGGGGATGAACATATAGAAAGATTGTTTGGGCTGGGCGCAGTGGCTCTCACCTGTAATCCCAGCACTTTAGGAGGCTGAGGTGGGCAGATCACTTGAGATCAGAAGTTCAAGACCAGCCTGGCCGACACGGTGAAACCTCGTCTCTACTAAAAATATAAAAAATTAGTTGGGTGTGGTGGCATGTGCCTGCAATTCCAGCTACTCGAAAGGCTGAGACAGGAGAATCGCTTGAACCTGGGAGGCAGTGGTTGCAGCAATGAGCTGTGATCATGCCACCGCACTCCAGCCTGGGTAACACAGCGAGACTCCATCTCAGACAAGAAAAAAAAAGAAAGATTGGTTTGCCCATTTCGAGTACCACCTTGTTATAAAAAAAAAATCAGTGAATGTAACACAAGTGTGAGGCATATCTCGGTTATTTCTTGGTCACAGGAAATGTTGCAAAAATGATCACTTGTGAGAGAGTTGTACTGAAAACATATTTAAAACTTGCAAAATTTTAGATTATGAGAAACAGTTCAATTAGAAAAAAACTGGTGTAGATTTCAAAAAGTGTGTAGAGGCGACACCCCCTTCTCCCAAACAGTTCATTCATAATGTTGGAGAGATGGCTGCAATTTTGCCATTTTGAAAATGGGGTCAACTATATTGTTAGTGTATTCTGGGAGGTTCCCTATCTTGGGAGCTAACATGGGGAAAGAATTTAAATGAGATTAGGGCTGAACAATTACAGAGGAAGCAGATATGACCTGTGCCTTTTTCCACTTTAGGTGATGGAGTGGTCCTAAAATGCAGCATCAGCATCTCCTTGGAGGTTAGAAACTCTTGGATTCCTGAGACATTTTGATTCTGCAGGTCTAATGGGGTCGGACTCTCTTTCTGTCTAAGCTCTGATGATAATCTCCCTTCTTTTTTGTTTTTTTGTTTTTTGAAACAGTCTCTCTCTGTCACCCAGGCTGATAATCTCCTTTCTTTTTCTTTCTCTTTCCTTCTTTCTTTCTTTCTTTCTTTCTTTCTTTCTTTCTTTCTTTCTTTCTTTCTTTCTTTCTTTCTTTCTTTCCTTCTTCCTTCCTTCCTTCCTTCCCTCCCTCCTTCCTCCTCCACCTCCTCCTCCCCCTTCCTTCCTTCCTTCCTTCTTCCCTCCCTCCCTCCCTGCCTCTCTCTCTCTCTTTCTTTCTTTCTCTCTCTCTCTTTCTTTCTTCCTTTCTTTTGAAACAGTCTCTCTCTGTCACCCAAGCTGGAGTGCAGTGGCACCATCTCAGTATTTCCTGGGTTCAAGCAATTCTTGTGCCTTAGCCTCCCGAGTGGCTGGGATTACAAGTGTGCGCCACTGGGCCTGGCCTGATGATAATCTCCCTCCTTTCTGAGATTATCTGGCCTCCTGGGTTCCTGGCCACAGCTGTGTCTTCATGGCTCTTGGCCACTTTGTGGGAGCTTTGCTTTGTTTCTATTCACTGTCTCTCACCTTCAGGCAGTGGAGTGTGGACATGGGCAGGACCCTTTTGGCTGCTGGGCCTCTAAACTCCCTTCCCTGCAACATATAAAAGCCTGGGTATGTTGAAAAATGTTTTTGGCTTATTTGTTTTTGCTTTTATTCTGAGGAAATAGAAGTTTATGCCCAGAACCCAAACAACTTTGTCTGGAATATTAGACACTGTGTACTCTTTGGCTCACTGTTGGGCCAAATTGCGTCCCTTCCTCCACCAAAGGAAAAAAAAGGTATGTGGAGTCCCAACCTCCTCAGAATGTGACCTTATAGGGTCTTTACAGTGGTAATCAAGTTAAAATGAGGTCATTTGGTGGGCTGTGGTCTGATATGACTGATGTCTTTATAAGAAGAGGAAGTTTGGACACAGGCAAGCACACGGGGAGAGTGCCATTTAAACGTGAAGACGGGCAACAACCCAAATGAGAGGTAACCTGTGTTTTGGGCTGAATTGTGCCCCCCTCCAGCTCCCCTCAACCTAAATTCATGTACTAAAGTCTAACTCCCATTACTTCAGAATGTGATTGTATTTGGAGATGGAGCCTTTGAAGATGTGATGGAGGTAAATTGAGCCACCAGGATGTGCCCTAATCCAATCTGACTGTGCTTACAAGAAGAGGAAATTTAGAAACATAGAGAAACACCAGGGATACAGGCACAGAGAAAGGACCGTGGGAGGACACAGCAAGAGGGCGGCCATCTGCAAACCAGGGAGCAAGGCCTTAGAGGAAACCAGCCCTGCAGGCACCTTGATCTTGGACTTCCAGCCTCCAGAACTGTGAGAAAACACATTTCTGTTGTTTAAGCTGCCCTGTCTGTAGTATTTTGCTATGAAAGCCCTAGACAACTAAGATAACAGCTGAGACCAAAGAGTTATGCTGAGGCAAAATGTAATTTTTTTAAAAGAATGAAAATGTTACAAAGGATTTTCACTTAGCAAGGGTAACAGGAATAATATTTTGAATTATTGAATGGATGCGTTTTTCATACCCCCGTAAATCCTGTTCTTCCACAGCCTTCCGCCATTAGGGCTAAGCCATAAACTGCAGGGTGGGTGAGGATGGGCAGTGCCTGGAATAAAAAGGTCATTGATGGCTTTGGTTTGCAAAGCTGACTTCATTGACTCCATATTGAAATAACAGTTTTGAAATGCAGACTTTATGGGGAGAGATAATGTTTATTTTCTGAATTTTAAAAGCTCCCTTTATAGGTGGAAAGTTAGGGCTGGAGTTTAGACATATAAGCCTTTGGTAGAGACAATGCAGATTATTTCATAAGGGAGGTGCTGACAGAATGGGAAGAGGAGACAAGAGGTAAAATAACCAGGTACCTGGTTTGTAGTGTACCTATTGTGCTGTTTGTAGCACAAAGACAAGAGTGCATGTGTGCACATGTGTGTGTGAGAGAGAGAGGAGAAGCTGACTTTGGGAGAGCGGAGGGGCTGTCTTTCCTTTCCTACAGGCACTCATCTAGTCTCTGTTTTGTTTCAGTTTGGAGGAATCCCAGAGCAGCGGCTTTGTTCCTTACTTTTTCAGGATAGACCGGGGAAATATCAAGTCCCAGAGAACTGCTGCATCCAGCACATGCCACCCAGGTGGTGGGTTAGAAAGGGCGGAATGAAGGGGGAAGACAGAGAGAATGGAGATGCCACTATCCTGCAGGTATTGCTGGGCTCCTAGTGGAGAATGCAGAAAGGAGCTGAGTGAGAGCCAGAACACTTGCTGTGGGGCTACCCGGGGCATCACCCAGGGCACCTGTGACCCTGTGGCAGAGGCTGTGGTTAGACACCAGGTCAGGGGAGGAGGGAGGACATTGCCAAGATTCAGAGCATTTGCAACACCAGTGGGAGTCAGACAGAGCCAAGATGGTGGAGTTGGGAGCAGGGCACGACCAGGTGGGACAAGAAACTTTGACTCCTGTGTAAGAGACCTGTCCTTGCATCTGAGAACTCCTGTCCTGTGGCTAAGCTCATGGAAGCTTTTCCCTACATGAATGGAAGGGCAGGTGAGGATGGGAGGGACACAGAAATCTTGAAAGATGATTTTACCAAAAAAAGACCACTAACTCAACTAAGACAGTGGTAAACTGGAAAAGACTGAATTATATTCACCTGGCAAGCTCGTAACCTCTTCCTCTCCGACCTCTTCCCTTTTCTCCTTCAAGCAACAGTGAGGTAAAAGTTATAGGAAACAAAGAAGTAACCTTTTCTGGTACCTCAATGCATTGGACATAGTTTTCAAATCACTACGACATGTGTGTGAATTCTTCTGAGTTCTGTAAGGCTTTGTCCCCAGCTTTTGCCACAGGAAAGCTTCTTTGCAGGTAAACAAAATCGAGAGAGGGTAATTATTTCTCAGATTATTTGTTTTCTTCTGTTTTGAGTCTGACTCTGTTGCCCAGGCTGGAGGGCAGTGGCCCGAACATGGCTTACTGCAGCCTTGACCTCTGGGCTCAAGGGATCTTCCCACCCCAGTCTCCTGAGTAGCTGGGACCACAGGCATGTGCCACCACATTCAGCTAATTTAAAAATATGTATTTTTTGTAGAGACAGGGTCTCACTATGTTGCCCAGGCTGGTCTTGAACTCATGGGTTTAAGCAATCCACCCACCTCAGCCTCCCAAAGTGCTGGGATTACGGGTGTGAGCCATTGTGCCCAGCCACTCAGATTCTTGATTTAAGATTGTTTATGCTCTGGGGCATGGTTACCTTGGTCACATGTATTCTACTAATATTATGCAAATAACATTTTGATTTTTGTTGTTGCTTATTTCAAAGGACTAACATAGGAGTTAGCAAACTTTTCCTGGAAAGAACTGGATGGTAAATATATTTGAGGTTTGTGGGCCACATAGTCTTTGTTGCAGCTATTCCATTGTGGCATTGTAGGGCAAAAGCAGCCATAGACAATATGTAAATGTATGGGCATAGCTGTGTTCCAACCAAACTTTATTTATGGACATTGAAATTTGAATTTTATATAATTTTGCATATGTCACAAAATCCTGTTTTGATTTTTTCCCCCAGCCATTTAAACATGTAAAAACTATTTTTAACTTAAAGGCTGTACCAAAACAGTCAGTGGAATGAATTTGGCCCACAGGCTATAGTTTGCCACTGCCTGGAGTAACATATAACATGCAAACATTTTATGTAGAAATGAATGCATTTATTACACACATAATATTTCAAAAATAAGATGAAAGGTGGGATTTTTCAGGGGAAAGGGGATACAAAAATCATGTTATTAGTTTTGGTCTAAACATGAATATTTGACTAAAAAGTAAATCAGATGTTGTTGGATTAGTGTGATTTTTTTTTAAGGCTATTTCTGCCCATGTTGTTGTTAGAACATTCTATTTTGATGAGAAAATAGTGAGATCATTGCAGTTATCACTGACACATCATGCCTATGATAACAACCTTTACCAGTGGCCAGGAGGATTGACTGGTTTCTTTTCTTTTCTTTTCTTTTCTTTTCTTTCTTGAGACGGAGTTTCGCTCTTGCTGCCCAGGCTGGAGTGCAATGAATGGCACAATCTCGGCTCACTGCAACCTCTGCCTCCCAGGTTCAATCGATTCTCCTGCCTCAGCTTCCCAAGTAGCTGGGATTACAGGTGTGTGCCACCACACCTGGCTAATTTTTTGTATTTAGTAGAAATGGGGTTTCACCATATTGGTCAGGCTGGTTTTGAACTCCTGACCTCAGGTGATCCACTCACCTCGGCCTCCCAAAGTGCTGGGATTACAGGCATGAGCCACTGCGCCTGGCCAACTGGTTTCTTTAATGCTATTTAACTCCGTATGCTGCTGTTTGTAGCACAAAGACAAGAGTGCATGTATGCACATGTTTGTGTGTGTGAGAGAGGAGAAGGTAGCTGTGGGAGAGTGGAGGGGCTGCCTTTCCTTTCCCACAGGCACTCACTCAGTTCTTCGTTATGCAACGTGCAAATCACCACCATTTATTACTCATGTCTAGCCTGTAGACTCCTCCATTAGAAGTCAAATGGACTTTCAGGGATCAGCCATTAAGGACCAAGGTAGACAGTAATATAGCCCCAGAGTCCCAAGAAATTACAGAGATAAAAACTGGGAGGACCCTCCTGCAATAGCCAGGAAGTAAGAAGAGAGAAAAACAGCTCAAGAAGGGTTGGGAAAATGCCATTTGACCAGGAAGCCTTAATACAGTTTCCAATTTCTCACTAAAATGCAGCCATCCATTGATATCTCAATCTAATTCTTTCCTGGGATTGTGCGAATAACAATCTTTTGGAGCCTGGGACCCTTATCTTTTTAAGTGGGAAAAATAATAGTGCTTTCTTGGCTGCCTAAAACCTCAACTATTTTTATTCTGAAAATTTAAAAAAAAACACTAAAACACTTTAAAACACCCATATAAAAGCCCACTAAGAATTTGTAAATAAAATAAAGCAATGTAAAGCATCAGTTACATAACAGTTAATGAACTCATCAGTGGGTCTCTTTGTAGGAAGTACACAACATTATTGAGAGATATCAGTTACAAATTACATTTTCTCTTGATACCAGGCAGTGAACATGTACAGCAATGAGTCAATAATAAAATAATAGGTTACAAGTATTCAAGATTCTATCTGTCCTGGGACCCAGATTGTTGGTGTCCCCAGGTGCCCAGGGGAGTGTAACATGGAAACTCTGAGGGGCTTAATCTCTAGGAGCGAGTAGAATCAGTGTAGCACACTCCATCCTGCAACCTGGGCTCAGGGCTACTTAATATGCTCAGTGTTCAGGCATGCATATGGCTAATCACAGATTTCAGATGTGAACAGTGAATTCTGCGTGAATATTTTTGCAAAAAGCAGCACATTCTCTGAGTAGCACAAGTATAGATAATGATACCTGTATGTATCTACATACACAGAATGAGACAAAAACTTACCAATCAGCGTAAACTGGTGTTGACAATCAGCCTAATGCCTGAAATTGGAAAGATTTTCTAAGAACAAGGCCAAGAGAATGACATGGAAAGTAAATGAATAAATCATTGACAAATATATCATCATGTCCCTCTTTTTCTTAATATTGTTAATACATTTAGTGACTATGCTATTATTTTATTTTTATTTTTTTGAGATGGAGTCTCACTCTGTCGCTCAGGCTGGGGTGCAGTGGCATGATTTTGACTCACTGCAACCTCCACCTCCCAGGTTCAAGTGATTCTCTAGCCTTAGCCTCCTGAGTAGCTGGGACTACAGGTGTATGCAACCACACCCGGATAATTTTTGTATTTTTAGTAGAGATGGGGTTTCGCCATGTTAGCCAGGCTGCTCTCGAACTCCTGACCTCAGGTGATCTGCCTGCCTTGGCCTCCCAAAGTGCTGGGATTACAGGTGTGAGACACTGCACCCAGCCACCATGCTATTGTTTTATACAAATAGCTGGTGTGCAGAGATATAAGATATGAATTTACTTTCCTCATCTACTCAGCCATAGGTCCCTACAGAGTTCATTCCTCCTATGCATCGAAATGCTTATTCTCCCTATGTGCCCTTCCCTCCATTGTCTCTGCAGTGACTCCATCCCCTATGCCCGTCCTTCTGGCATCCTCGCTCCATCCTATGGTTGCTGTGGAGACGGCTCCAGCCCCTCAGGTCCTGTGTGTGCTGGAGGGACATGGAGCCCTTCAGATTTTGTAGGGTGAAGTGCCCTGAAGCCAAGGGATTTTGCCCTGCCTGTCCTGCCCTCCTCTCTCTGCCAGCATCAGCCTTGCCAAACTCTTCACCTAAGGCTGGCTTCCAGACATGAGTAAGAAGAGATGAGATTTTGGGGCAAGGAAGACCCAGCTCGGAAACACACTTGTGAATCTGGATATCTGTGTCTTAAATAATTTTGTGGTTTTTTTTCTTACTACTAAATTCATATTCATTGTGGAAGATTTGGAAACTTTTGACAAGCCAAAAGAAGAAAGTAAAAATCACTAGATAATCCTACCACCAAGAGACAGCCGCTGTTCATATTTTAGTTTACCAACTCACATACGCATTTTCCTACACAACTAACTCCCTATTTATGTGATTGTCCACTTAGGACTTGTGAATCTTTCCATGTCATTCACTTAAAAACAAGTAAACGTTGTATTATTAAAATAGAGTTTAAGGCAATAAACCAAAATGTTAACAGTGATTAACTCTGGAGGGGGGCAGAACTCTTATGGTTTTTCTTTGCATTTTAAAGCTTTTCAAGCTTTTAAAATAGTAAATGTATATTACTTTTTTTTTTTTTTTTTGTGACGGAGTCTCTCTCTGTCCCCCAGGCTGGAGTGCAGTGGCACGATCTTGGCTCACTGCAAACTCCGCCTCCCAGGTTCACGCCATTCTCCTGCCTCAGCTTCCCGAGTAGCTGGGACTACAGGTGCCTGCCACCACGCCTGGCTAATTTTTTTGTATTTTTTAGTAGAGACAGGGTTTCACCGTGTTAGCCAGGACGGTCTCGATCTCCTGACCTCGTGATCCGCCTGTCTCTACCTCCCAAAGTGCTGGGATTACAGGCGTGAGCCACCGCGCCCGGCCTATTACTTTCACATTTAGAAAAATGGTGTTTAAAATGTAGGATGTATAATTTTATATACTGAATAATCTTTTTTAAATTTTAAGTTTTGTTTTTTTTTGACAAGGTCTCATTCTGTCTCCAACACTGGAGGGCAGTGGCACAATCATAGCTTACTGTAGCCTTGAACTCCTGGGCTCAAGTGATCCTTCTGCCTCAGCCTCCTGAGTAGCTGGGACTACAGGTGTGCACCACCACACCCAGGTAATTTTTTATTTTTGATTTTTGTAGAAACGGGTCTCACTATGTTGCCCTGGCCTCAAACTCCTGGGCTCAAGCAATCATCCCACCTCAGCCTCCTGAGTGGCTGGGACTACAGAGACATGTGCCACCATGTCCAGCTTCTGCACAATCTTAATGGCATTGAAATGCACCCACCAGAAAGAAGAGAAAGACAGAAATCTACTAGGAGGCTGTTTCCGGGTGATGAGATTCTGTATACATTTTTTTTCTTCTGCCTTTTTGTATTTTTTCAACGTTTATAATGAAACAAAAGTTATTTAAACATTTTAGATAGGAGCTTACTTTTGAGGGATGTTAGTTACCCGTAGAAGCAGCAGTTTTTACAGAGATGGGTCGACAGTTCTAGCATCATGCAAACTGACTTCAGCAGACACAGCCCGAGGGAAGCCTGTTAAGTCTCCTGTGGGACCCCAGGGAAGATAAGCTGCCACATCTGTGTTCATTTGAATGGAGGCTGCAGAGTTTTCACTGGTGGGCTTGGTTTGTGTCCTTGACCAGTGGGAGAAAAGCTGACACTCTCATTGCAGCCACAACTTCCTGCGCGTCTATCAGCAACTCCAGGGCAAGCAGAGCCCCAGATTCTGTGCATGGCCAGCACCTGACACCGCACCCCAATTCCCACATGCGACCTGCTATGGGTGACTCTGCACTCACTCCCCTGGCTGACAGCATTGGAAGGGGAAGTTCCTGCACTGCCCCAGCTTTGGGCAGGAGCTGTTTTCCTGCCTCTGTCACTGCCAGGTGACAAGGACTGGTGGAACTTCCTGAGGCGAGAGTAAGAGGCATGGAGGTAGTGGGTGGTTGAGAAGAATAAACAAGAAACATACTCAGACCAAGAACTGGAGAATACATTGGTGAACAGCTTGGAGACTGTGAAGCTGGTCTGAAATTGTGGGTGCAAGGTTCTTGGAGGAGAACAATCTTATCATCTTAATGAGCCACAAATGTGTAATTAGCACATGTTGTGTGTGGGACATTCTACCAGGACTTCGAGATGTAAGGAGGTGAAGGAAGAGTGTTAGAGCATGCAGCAGGTAATCGCCCGGAGGAGGAGACATGCAGATCCAGGGCTTAAAAACAGTATTAATAACAGGCCGGGTGCAGTGGCTCACACCTGTAATCCCAGCACTTTGGGAGGCCGAGGTGGGTGGATCATGTGAGGTCAGGAGTTTGAGGCCAGGCTGGCCAACATGGCGAAACCCCATCTCTACTTAAAAAAAAAAAAAAAAAAAAAAAATTAGCCAGGCGTGGTGGCATATGCCTGTATTCCCAGCTACTCGGGAGGCTGAGGCAGGAGAATTGCTTGAACCGGGGAGGTAGAAGTTGCAGTGAGCCGAGATCACATCACTGCACTCCAGCCTGGGCAACAAGAGTGAAACTCTGTCTCAAAAAAAAAAAAATAGCATTAATATTAACTGATCCTTGCCACACCCCGTGACAGAACCCTCCTTGCCTCTACCTGCCTCAGAGACCACTCACAAGGTCACCAGGAGGGAAACTGAGGCAGAGGCAGGGAGAATGGCTTGGTCAGAACCCAGAGAGTAGTGGCTGGCAGTAGAGCCAAGAACACACAGCCCGAGACTCTGTCCTCAGTGTTCTCCATTCATACATGCAGGCTTTTGTTGATTTGTTGATAGCAAGTGGTGGGCATTGTTGGATGGAAGGAAAGTTCAAGTAAAACAGGAACCAGCAAGAAAGGAAGAACTTAATTGTTCACCCATTCTGAGTTCATGATAATTGTTGCCACCTGGTATTACAAAGCACCCTGCAGAAAACCCCTCTAGTTGCTTGTGGAGTGAAGCACAATAGCAATTCACATTTCTGCCTTATCTCCCACTGCCACACTGCTCATTGGAAATGGCACCAGCTCCCCAAACAAGAAGGCCTGGCATACCTTTATTTATTTATTTTTTTTGCAGGTTTCTATTTCTCATTACAATGCCCATCCCAGCCCTCCAGGAAAACAGCACTGCCTACTGCCTTCGAGGGTGCACAGCCTGGGGCTGACATCCTGGAGAGCTTGGTGAGGCTCCAGCCACCTGTGGAAATACAGGGCCCCACTGACCTGGAGGGTCTGCCCTAGCTGCCCTTAGAAGGGAAAAGGGAAGAGACCGGGGATTAAAGCCCTCATCTCTGGTCGGTGTCCCATTCCTGGCATTTTTGTGAGGTGCCTCTCCCCAGTCATGCCCAATTGTCTGATGATTCAGCAACCATTTATTGAGCACCTACTATGTGCTAGGCATCAAGCTATGTGTTGGAGATAGAATAAATGAAAGGTCACAGCCTCTGCTCTCCATGAAGTTTTCTCTGGTCCTAATGTGAAATCTGTGTTCTTTGTGCGTAGCTGTTGCCCTCCTTGTTCTATCACCTCCTTCCACCCATATTCCAAGCCAATCCTGAAAAGTACAGGCAGAGAGGGCTTGCCTAGTATCAGCTGATGTCTACGGAGTACCTAGTATGTGCCAGGCATGATGCCGAGTGTTTTACAGGTCTTATTTCAATTCTCACAGAAACATGAGGTAGATGCTATGATCACTATCCCCATTTTACGGACAAGGAAATGAGGCACAGACAGATTAAGAGACCAGTCAAAGAACACAGAGTTGGGACCTGGTAGAACTTGAGAACTCTGTGCTGCTGTCTCCTGCCTGTGTTGTGGGGTTGGGAGCTCATAGGTCAACAGGCTGTGGGTTTGGCCAATGGGAGGGGCTCAGGCATGTGAATGACACAACCACTGCAGTCCACCTGGAGACAGAGCTAAAGGAGCTGGCCCAGTCGGTGTTAATCAAAGGAAGTCTAGTACCCACTTTTAGACTTAAGTGATGTCTGCTGGGCTGTGAAGCCAGCAACACTGTTAGGAAATCCAACCAGAGGTGACAGGGCAGGCATCAGGACAAGTGGATGTCACATGACAAAGGAACAGTCTAGACACAGGAAAGATGTGACAATCCAGTTGGGATACTGTTGGTGACCAGGTGGTCACCATCAGAGAGGCATGGGGCAGGTAATAACCCGTGAGTTAAGCAATTCCAGGAACACTGTGGCTACCAGGCTGATTATTACTGCAGGATCTCAGGTGTTAGGGATTCCGGGTCCTAATAAACAGTGCCTTCTCCACCTAAGTTTGAATTCAATTGACAGACAGGAATCAGGCAGCAGAGGCAAAACATCATCTTTCTTATTGATAATGCTCCTATTGAAGGATTTGGCTGGTGTCTGGAGGTGAGGGAGCTTCCTAATACTGAACCCCAAAATCAGGAGGACCTATCCCCATTCACAGCAACAGTGGGCCACGCTGGGCCTCCTGCATGGGCACCAGGTCTATTTCATCACAGGGAAGAAAGGGAAGCAGGGCTTGTGCTGTCTGCAGACAGGCTGGCCCCAAAGAAGAAGGCTGGGAAACTGAGTCAGACAGAGGCACCATTGGCAGAACTGAGATGCAAAGCAAAGGATAAGTTACAGAGACAAGGCAGAGGACCAGCTGCTTGAGCTGCAACAAAGGTCAGGAAGTCAATGAGTGTTGTAAGGTAAGTTTCCCAACACTGGGCCAAATTCCCAACCCGGAAAATTCGCCAGTTGCAACAACCTCATTGGTTGCTCCTGTTCACTTTTGCACCCCCGCAGACGACAGCATGCATTTCCTAAAATCCCTCCAATGGCTGCCCACTGCATGGCTACCAGGCTGCGGACCTCCATCCCGCTCAGCCTGCCCAGTTCACCTCCTACTCCTCTCCATCCTTTTATTAGCCTCAGCCACACTGGTCTTACTTTGATCCCTTGAATAATCTGAGACTCATTTCTGCTTTGGGACTTTTGCACAGTGGTTCCCCTGGACTGTGTCACAGTGTTCTGTTGATGCAGAACAGATCACCCCACAATATAGTGGCTTAAAATGACAACTATTTTATTATTTATCATGATGATTTTGAGGATCAGGAATTTGGGCAAGGATCAGCTGGGCAATACTTCTATTCCATGTGGCACGGACGTGAGTCGTGACTGGTACTGAGCAGGGGGTGGGGGTCTGGTCTGGAGGTTCTAAGACAGTTCCACTCACATCCCAGTCTCTCGATAGGGATGTCCGGAAGGTTCTGGAAGGTTGGACCCCTTTCCCTCTCCAGGCAGTCTTGGGTACTCTGTGTGTGTTCTCTCCAGCAGGAGAGTCAGACTTCTCATCTGGTGGCTCAGGGTTCCCAGATGTAGGGTCCCCAGAGACAGGAAGTTGAAGCTGCTGGTCTCTTATGGCCTAGAAACTGTCCCAGAGTCAATCCTGCCATATTCTATTGGTCAAGGCAGTTGAGCCCAGCTAGATTCAAGAGGCTGACCATAGGCCTACCTCTCCATGGGAAGAGACAAAGCATGTGTGGCAGTCCAGGCATGGGGGCTTATGGCTGTAATCCTGACATTTTGGGAGGCCAGACAGGAGGATTGCTTCAGTCCAGGAGTTTGAGACTGGCCTGGGCAGCATAGTGAGACCCTGCGTCTACAAGAAAAAAACAATTAGCTGGGTGTGACAGTGTGTGCCTGTGGTCTCAGCTACTCAGGGGGCTGAGGTGGGAGGATTGCTTGAGCCCAGGAGTCCAAGGCTGCAGTGAGCTGAGATCGCACTACTGCACTGAAGCCTAGCCCTTCAGTGACAGAGCGAGACCCTGAATCAAAAAATAAAAATAAAAAATAAAGACCGTGTGGCCCCCTTCAGTTAGCTGTCGTCTGAAATGCTCTTCTCCCAGGTCTCCACTTGCCTAGCTTCTTCATGCTGCAGGCCTCAGCTCACATGGCGCCCCTGCCCATTGTATGTAGGCAGGGTGCTGCTTGCCCCCTCTGCCCACTCATATGTGCCACCGTTTCTCCTCTTCGTCTTCAGTGCTGTCATCAACATTCAGAATTAATTTGGCTATTTGTCTTTCCTGCCTAAAATCTAACTGGTACATGAGCAGGGACCTCGTCTTGTTCACTGTTTCACCCAAGGGCTTAGAACAGTCTGTGACATGCAGTAGGGCCTCAACAACGTCTACTGAATGAATGAAGGGTTACAGAAGTGAGCAGAGGGCTGAGTGGATTAGGATGTTTGACCAGCAGCACTGTTTTCACGAAGATCTCCAAGGCTCTGGCATTCAGGCTAGTATTCTTGTTCCCCACGTGTCCCCTAGTGAGGAACAGGTGGCCTGCTGAGAGCAAGGGGGAAGCCACACCTGATGAGACTCAGAGCTGGCAGAAACTGAGACACAAGAGAGCATGAGGGCATTTCTCTGTGCCCTGTACCACCAAGGCCAAGCCCAAAGAGTCTAGGCCGAAGTTAGGTGGGAAAGTGGGGGGACGTCAGGGAGACGAACAGAGAAAGGTCTAAATACAAACAGCACTTACTGTATTAGTCCGTTCCCACATTGCTAGAGGGAACTACCTGAGATTGGGTAATTTAAGAAGAAAAGAGGTTTAATCAACTCACAGTTCCATAGGCTGTACAGGAAGCATGGCTGGGGAGGCCTCAGGAAACTTACAATCATGGGGAAGGCAACGGGGAAGCAGGCACATCCTACATGCCAGAGCAGGAGGAAGAGCGAGAAGGCGGAGGTGCTAAACATTTTTATTTATTAATTTATTCATTCATTCATTCATTCATTTGAGATGGAGTCTTGCTCTGTCACCCACGCTGGAGCGCAGTGGTACAATCTTGGCTCACTGCAACCTCCACCTCCTAGGTTCAAGTGATTCTCCTGTATCAGCCTTTTGAGTAGCTGGGATTACAGGTGTGTGCCACCACACCTGGCTAATTTTTGTATTTTTAGTACAGACGGGGTTTTGCCATGTTGGCCAGGCTGGTCTCGAACTCCTGACCTCAGGTGATCCACCCACCTCAGCCTCTGAAAGTGCTAGGATTACAGGTGTGAGCCACTGTGCCTGGCTGCTACACACTTTTAAACAACCAGATCTCGTGAGACCTCTCTATCATGAGAACAGCAAGGGGGACGTCTGGCCCCATGATTCAGTCATCTCCCACCAGGCCCCTCCTCCAACACTGGGGATTACAATTCCACATAAGATTTGGGTGGGAACACAGAAACAAACCATATCACTGACTAATTTCAGAATCAAATGAACATATTAAAATACCAGAGGCCACGTGGTCAGATCTCAGCCCACAATCACGCACTGAACTGGTGGACATTGATGCCATCTTGCTGAGCACAGGATCACAGAGCTTGGATCATTGATCTTGCTGGCACTGAACACCAACCAATGAGACCCCAGCAACTTCCCCCAGGGAGGCCTCCAGCTCTTCTTGCACCTCTGCATCACTAGCTCTTTTCAAAGTCTGGGGTGGTCTCCTATTACTGGCCAAGTCAAATGACGCACCCTTACCCTAGCAGCAAGGGAGTACCTGGCATTTTCAGCTACCAGCATTTCAGTCCTGACATTTTCAGGATTCACAAGTGTGGAGTTCCTGAAAGGAAAAGGCTTAGATTCTGTGCAGCCACATAAATGCCAAATGGCAGAGACCATGTGAGAAGTGACTGCAGAGCCTGGTCACTAGAAGAATTCCTTCAGAGCAGAATGCAGAGAAGCCTATCAGGACCATAGTCACTCAACTGTGTGCTGGCTTCAGGACTGGTGGAAGAGGTGATGTGATAGGACAAAGCAGGCTGCAGCTGACGGGGGAGATTAGGCAAATTTCTGCAATGACATCAACTCCTTGAGGGAGGATTGGCAAGGCCTGGAGAAGCCAGGAAGCCAGACAAAACGCCTGTTGTATACACACGAAAAGAATGTTGCCTGGACACTTCTATGCACCAGACAAATGCTACCAATTTCAAATCCCACTGGACTCTCGGAAGGGCAGGATGTATACTAGCCAGCGACTGTATCTGTGGCTCATAACCTAGCCTGCATATTGAAACCACCCAGACAGCTTTAAGATGTACTCATGCCTGGGCTCCACTCCAGAAATTCAGATTTAATGGGTCTGGGGTTCCACACTGGGATTTTTTTTTTTTTTTGAGACAGGGTCTCACTCTGTCACCCACACTGGAGTGTAGTAGCACAATCACTGCTCATGCAACCTCCGCCTCGCCGACTCAAGCGATCCTCCCATCTCAGCCTTCTGAGTAGCTAAGACTACAGGCATACACCAACATACCAGGCTAATTTTTGCATTTTTTGTAGGGACAGGGTCTCTCTATGTTGCTCAGGCTGGTCTTAAACTCCTGGGCTCAAGCAATCCTTCCTCCTCAGCCTCCCAAAGTCCTGGGATTCCAGGCGTGAGCTGCCATGTCAGGCCTGGGATTTTTTTTTTTTAATTGTAAAATTCACATAACAAAATGAACCATTTTAAAGTGAACGATTCAGTGGCATTTAATACATTCACAGTGTTGAGCAACCATCACCTCTCTCTAGTTCCATCGTTATGGGATGGGTAGTCTGTACCCCTTAAGAAGCCACTCTCCATCTCCACCCACAGCTTCTAGCAACAACAATTCTGCTTTCTGTTTCTATGAATTCACCTCTTCTGGATATTTCATATAAATGGAATAATACACAAAATGTGACTTTTTGTCTGCTGTCTCTCATAGCACGTTTTCAAGGTTTATCCATGTTGTAGCATCTATCAGCACTTCATTCCTTTCCATGGCTGAATAATACTCCACTGTATGGATATGCCACATTTTGCTTATCCCTTCATTTGCTGATGGACATTTGGATTGTATCCACTTTTTGGCTACTATGCAGAATGCTGCTATGAACATTCATGTACTTTTTTTTTTTTTTTTTTTTTTCCTGAGGCAGAGTCTCACTCTGTGACCCAGGTTGGAGTGCAGTGGCGTGATCTTGGCTCACTGCAGCCGCGACCTTCCTGGGCTTAGGTGATCCCTTGACCTCAACCTCCCAAGTAGCTGGGATTACAGGTGTGTGCCACTTGGCCTGGCTAATTTTTGTATTGGTATTTTTATTTTATTTTATTGAGACAGAGTCTCGCTCTGTTGCCCAGGCTGGAGTGCAGTGGTGCGATTTTGGCTCACTGCAACCTTCGCCTCCCAGATTCAAGCAATTCTCCTGCCTCAGCCTCCTGAGTAGCTGGGATTACAGGTACCCACCACCACGTCTGGCTTATTTTTTTGTATTTTTAGTAGAGACAGGGTTTCACCATGTTGGCCAGGCTGGTCTCAAACTCCTGACCTCAAGTGATTTGCCCGCCCCGCCCTCCCAAAGTGCTGGGATTACAGGTGTGAGCCACTGCTCCCAGCCTAGTTTTTGTATTTTGTAGTATAGACGGGGTTTCATCATGTTGGCCAGGCTGGTCTTGAACTCCTGACCTCAGGTGATCTGTCTGCTTCCGCTTGCCATGGTGCTAGAATTACAGATGTGAGCGACTGTGCCCAGCCTCATGTACAAATTTTTGTTTTAATGCCTGGTTTCAATTACTTTGGTTGTATACATAGGAGTAGAGTTGCTGGGTCATATGGTAACTCTATCTTTAACTTTTTGTGGCACTGCCAAGCTATTTTCTACAGTGGCTGCACCATTTTACAATCCTACCAGCAATGTTCCTGTTTCTCCACCTCCTTGCCAACAGTTGTGATTTTCCTTTTTTTTTTTTTTAAATATGGCATTCTAGTGGATGTAAGTTGGTATTTCATTGTGATTTTAATTTGCATATATATATATATATATATATATATACATATATATATATATATATTTTTTTTTTTTGAAACAGTGTCTTTCTCTGTCGCCCAGGCTGGAGTGCAGTGGCAGGATCTTGGCTCACTGCAACCTCTGCCTCCCAGGTTCAAGTGATTCTCATGCCTGTAGCTGGGACTATGGGTGTGAGCCACCATGCCCGGCTAATTTTTGTGTTTTTAGTAGAGATGGGGTTTCACCATGTTGGCCAGGCTGGTCTCGAACTCCTGACCTCAGGTGATCCACCCACCTTGGCCTCCCAAAGTACTGGGATTACATATGTGAGCCACTGTGCATGGCGATTTGCATTTTCTTAATGACTAATGTTGAACATCTTTTCATCTGCTTCTTGGCTATTTCTGTATCTTTGGGGAACTGTCTATTCAAGTCCTTTGCCCATTTTTAAATTGAGTTGCTTGTCATTTTTAATGAGTTGTAAGAGTTATATATTCTGGATACTAGACCTTTATACACTCAGATGTATAAGTTGCAAATATTTTCTCCCATTCTGTAGGTTGTCTTTTTGCTTTCTTGCTAGTATTCTTTGATACACAAAAGTTCTTAATTTTGATGAAGTCTGATTTATGTATTTTTAATTTTGTTGACTGTGCTTTTGGTCTCATATCTAAGAATCCATTGCTAAGTTCAACATACACCCTTGTTTTCTTCTAAGAGTTTTGTAATTTTCACTCTTACATTTAGGTCTTTGATATTTTGAGTTAATTTTTGTTTGTGTTGAGAGTTAGGCATTGATATTTTTAAAAGCTTCTGTAATGATTCTTTTTGTTGTTATTGTTGTTGGTAGACGGAGATTTGTTGGAGAATTTGTGGAAGCACAGTCTTTGGTGGCAGCAAGCCAGGTAGGTCTTCTTCTATAATGACTCTAATGGAAGCCAAGGTTGAGAATCACTGCTGTAAATGGCTGAGAAGGAGGGGCTGGAGTCTAGCTATAGATACCTATCTGAAGAAGGCGTGATGGAATTGAGCTAAAAGGCAAGAGTTGGTGCTTTCTGAGTTACCAGTTTGCTTTGGAGAGAATCAAGTTTGCTCCTGAAAGCCTTAGGAAGACATTTAAAGATATCAGGAGGGCTCATTCCTCTGACGGCTAGAGCTAGGGTACTCCTTTGAGGGTGTCTGGAGTCTGGTTGGGGAGGACACAGAACTGAACCAGCAGATGAGGTTAGTGGTTTCCGTGTGAGAGGAGAAACCAGAACCCACATGTTCTGAAACTTGCTCTGGATAGTCGGCAGGTAGACATTAGGCAATAGCAAGTCTCCCTACACCTGTTCCTAGTAACAGGTGCCTGTGGTAGGGCAGCAGAATCACCCTACATGCTTGGGGATTGAATTGTTTTCTTATAAAGTACACTGATTGCTAAGAGCTCTTATATGTGACTCATATAGGGATTACTAGCTTTGCAAACTTTAAAAGTCATCTGAAGATAAACAATTCCATTCTTCCTTAATGATTCAGAAGGAACTGTGGCACCTTGCAGAGACTTAAAGCATCTCTCTCAGCCTGTAAAGAAACCACACTCAATAGAATCACTTACTGTGCTTGTTAAAAGTGTATATTTTGGGGCCCTAATCCAGATGATTGAATTCAAATTCCTGCATTAGAAACAAGGAATTTGGATTTTAAAACAAACTCCCTTATTTAAAAATGTGGCCTTAAGTGCACTAGTTGAGAACCACTATGATTCATCCCTGTGAACAATTATAGAAGAACTATTATGAGGTTTTAACTTATAATTAGCACATTTGCCTTTAAAATAGGTGGTATAAAGTTCAATTATATACTGTCCTAACAAGTGCATTGGTGTCCGCCTGAAAATGTATTCATATATTTGTTCCAAAAAGGTACCAACATCATTTTTCCCAAATGATTTTGTATCTTCACCTTGTTTCCTGTTTTTTTTTTTTTTATGAGAGTAATTTGTTCTTGTGAAATCTCAAACATCTCTAATAACAGTAATGGATGTCATTCCATCCTCTCTGCATTTTATTTTTCTGCACCTCCATGGTAGGCAACTCATTTTCTGCCAGCTGGTGCTCTCTTGCCAATGCACTTGGCAAAATTGAAATTAAGTGTCACCCATCAGAAAAAAATACAGCACTATCAGTTGCATTTGTTTATTTTTCTGAAGATTTTTTTAATCCTCAGAAATGACTACTAAATTAGAAATAAACTGGACTTTTCAGATTGCTTTTTAAAAGTCATTTATTTTTAAAATTTATTTTTATTTATTTATTTTTTGAGATGGAGTCTTACTCTGTCACCCAGGCTGGAGTGCAGTGGCACAATCTCGGCTCACTGCAACCTCCACCTCCCGGGTTCAAGCAATTCTCATGCTTCAGCCTCCTCAGTAGCTGGGATTACAGGTGCCTACCACCGTGCTTGGCTAACTTTTGTATTTTTAGTAGAGACAGGGTTTTGTCATGTTGGCCAGGCTGGTCTCAAACTCCTGGCTTTGGGTGATTCACCCACCTCAGCCTCCCAAAGTGCTGGGATTATAGATGTGGGCCACTGCAACTGGCTAAAACCATTTGATTTCGATGTAACCTTGTTATCATAATTTGAGGGAGATCTAGAACAAAACTGGAACAGTATGGCAAGACCACAGAGGTGAGGGCGAGCTAGAGTAGAAGGTGCCCCATTTCCTCAGGTATAGCTTATAGGTCAGCAGGAGCACCTGCCCAGTTGTAGAGGCCATTCCACCAAACATAGACGCGGAGGTTAAGACGCCGGGTTTCAGATGCTTGGCATGCTCTGGCTTGATTCTGCTAAGAACCAAAAACTCAGATGTCTAATCCAGAGGGTGGTGTACAGCAGCAGCTGGAGGTTCCAGACAGCAGGCAACACCATGCCATTGGCTAGAACTGTGCCATGATTCTGGAATACACATACATTTATGACTGTATCCCATCCAAGGCTGGTGATGGCAGGAAATAGGCAGTGAGCTTTGGCACCCAGGGGAATGATGGGGGCTGACAAAGGCATTCGGAACGTGGCCAAGCTGGTGACATTCAGCACAGGACACAGACCTTGAGGGTGAGTGGGGTGAAAGTCACAGGAAATGAGAATTAAGTCCAAAGCCCAAACAAGTGGGCCAAGCAAACATCATGTTCCGGGACTCTGGTGGGTCACAGCATCTACTGTCACACTTTGCTGGACTGGAACTCCTACCAAAAACCCTAGAGATTCATTGCATTCAATGGCTGGGTAGACCTCTTGTAAGTAGTATTAATCCATGCTTCAGAGATTTGAAAAGAAAAGAGTATCAACCAATCAAGGCTTCACAATATTTCTCTTTTTTTCTTCTTTTTTAATTCAAAAAAAAATGGGATACACAATATTTCAAAGCACCACACTGAATCGTGCCCAAACCAACTGTGGCTTCAGGAGAGGGAGATTTTTAGTGTGTAAGAGAGCACCTTGGTCTCTTTTGATGTGTATTCTCCATTTCTTTCTCTTCTCCCATCACTTCTCTCTTCCTTTTCCTCTTCCTCCTTCTTTTCTTCTTCTCCATCATCTCCTCCTCTTTTCTTTCCTTTTCCCTCTCACTTTTCTCTTTCACTTCTCCTCTGTTTCCTCTCCTCTTTTTCAGTTAAAATTGCTGGGATAACTCTCTAGTCAGATTCCTCTTTTAGGATGCTGTGATTCCCCTCATTACTCACCCCTCCAGGACAATGAACACTCACAGGGAACATTTTCTTCTCATGGATATTCCCACTTCTCTTTTTGTTCATTTGTTTCTTTGTTTTTGAGACAGGGTGTATTAGTCCGTTTTCATGCTGCTGATAAAGACATACCTAAGACTGGGTAATTTATAAAGAAAAAGAGGTTTAATGGACTCACAGTTCCACGTGGCTGGGGAGGCCTCACAATCATGGTGAAAGGCACGTCTTACATGGCACCAGACAAGAGAGAATGAGAGCCTAGTGAAAGGGTTTCCCCTTTAAAACCATCAGACCGGCAGGGCACAGTGGCTCATGCCTGTAATCCCAGCAGTTTGGGAGGGTGAGGTGGGCAGATCACAAGCTCAAGAGATCGAGACCATCCTGGCCAACATGATGAAACCCCATCTCTACTAAAATACAAAAATTAGCTGAGTGTGGTGGCGCGCACCTGTAGTCCCAGCTACTTGGGAAGCTGAGGCAGGAGAATTGCTTGAACCAGGAGGTAGAGGTTGCAGTGAGCTGAGATCGCACCACTGCACTCCAGCCTGGTGACAGAGTGAGACTCCATCTCAAAAAACCATCAGATCTCATGAGACTGATTCACCACCATGAGAATAATATGGGGGAAACAGCCCCCATGATTCAATTATCTCCCACTGGGTCCCTCCCCTCCCACAAGATGTGGGAATTGAGGGAGCTACAATTCAAGATGAGATTTGGTGGGGACACAGCCAAACTATATCACAGGGTCTCACTCTGTCCCCTGAGGCTGGAGTGCAGTGGTATGATCATAGTTCACTGCAGCCTCAAACCCCTGGACTCAAGCAATCCTCCCACCTAAAACTTCTGAGTAGCTGGAACTACAGCCCCACACCCCACACCCAGCTAATTTTTTTAAATTTTTATTTTTAGTAGAGACAGGGTCTTGCTATGTTGCCCAGGCTTGTCTTGAACCCCTCCTCAAGCAATCCTCCCACCTTGGCCTCTCAAAGTGCTGGGATTACAGGTGTGAGCCACCTCGCCTGGCCTGCTTCCCTTTTACTCTTGTACCTCCTTCTGGAATGACATTTTCCTTCTCTTGAGGATTATCCTTGAGTCCATTATTTGTGTGTTTATCCAAGTGATGAGTGGTGTCATCACCTCAAAAAGTCCCCTTATGCTCTTTCCAGTCGATCCCCCAGTCCTGGTTCCAGGAAAAGGCTGATCTGATTTCTATCACTACATTGTAGATTTGCCTTTTCTAGAGTTTCTTATTAATAGCATCATATAGCATGTATTGTCTTGTGTCTGGCTTCTTTAACTCATAAATATTGTTGTGTGTATCATTCATTCCTTTTCATTGGTAAATAGTACTACATTGTAGAGATATATTACTTTTTTTATTCATTCACCAGTTGATGCAAATTTGGATCGTTTCCCTTTTTTTTTTTTTTGCCTGTTATAAACGAATCCACTGTGAACATTTATGTACAACTCTGTGTGTGCATATATGTTTTCATTTCTCTTGGGAAAATACTTAAGAGTAGAATTGCTGGCTTGTGTGTAAATTGTGCACTTACCTTTATAAGAAACTACCAGGCTGGGCATGGTGGCTCACGCCTGTAATCCTAGCATTTTGGGAGGTGGAGATGGGTGGATCATCTGAGGTCAGGCGTTCGAGACCAGCCTGGTCAACATGGCAAAACCCCATCTCTACTAAAAATACAAAAATTAGTCGGGTGTGGTGGTGGGCATCTGTAATCCCAGCTACTCGGGAGGCTGAGGCATGAGAATCGTTTGAACCCAGGAGGCAGAGGTTGCAGTGAGCCGAGATGGTGCCATTGCACTCCAGCTTGGGCCACAAGAGTGAAGCTGTGTCTCAAAACAAACAAACCAAAAACAAACACACAAAACAAAAAAGAAACAAAACAAAGCAAACAAACAAAAAAACCCCAAAACAACAAAAAAAGAAACTACCAAGCTGTTTTCCACAGTAGTTGACCCTTTTACATTTCCACCACTGATACATAGCAAATCCAGTTGTATCACCTCCTTGCCAACACTTGGCAGTTGTCAGACTTTTAGGTTTTAATCATTCTAATTTTATGTAACGCGAGCTCCCTGTGATTTAATAATGTTGAGCATCTTTCATGTGCATATTGATCTTTTATACTTTGTCTTTTGTTAAGTGCCTGTTAAAATCTTTTGTCCTTTAAAAAATGAGTTTTTTATTGAGCTGTTTGAGTATATTCTGGAAATAAAATTTAAAAAAAAATATAAATATCTCCCAGTTTGTGGCTTGTCTTTACCCTTTCTTAATAGTTTCCTTCAAAGAATAAGACATTCAATTTGAAAAAATCTGATTCAATCAGTTTTTTTCTTTCAAAGTATGTGAGTTCTTACTGTTGTTGGTAGGTTCTTCTACTTTAAGCAAAGTGATATAAAATGAAATCAGTTTTACCATAGGCTAATTGATATAAACAAGAGTTAAGCTCTCACAGCATATATCCAGCCAGGAAAACATCACTAAACTTCTAAATAAAGACACCAAACACTTCTAGTATTAAACATTGAAATAAATGTGAGCTATATATACATTTAAGAAAGATTAATAAAAACAAGGAAGATCATTATTTACCCAATTTCTCGTGAATCAGTGAGTGATAGCTGTCTTAGGTGGAGGGTTAAATTTAGAAATAAATGTTTCCAGAGTGAACATTGGAAGGAGCACCTCCTACTGCCACACAGTGCAGAAACAAACCAGAGCAAATCTCGAGGGTTTGCTGAGTGCTTTCAGACCTTGAAACCAGGAGGCAGAGGTTGCAGTGAGCTGAGATTGCACCACTTCCAGCCTGGGCAGCAGAGCGAGACCCTGACTCAAAACAAAACAAAACAAACAAAAAAACCAGAATAGACATAAAGACCAATGGACAGAATAAGAGAACAGAAATAGACCTATACACGTAGAGTCAATTGATTTTCTACAATTGTTTGTCATGCATTTGTATAACGATCACAGACTTCATGAATTTTTTTTTTTTTTTTTGAGATGGAGTCTTGTTCTGTTGCCCAGGCTGGAGTGCAGTGGTGCAATCTCGGTTCACTGAAACCTCTGCCTCAGCCTCCCTAGTAGCTGGGATTACAGGCACGTGCCACCGTGCCTGGCTAATTTTTGTATTTTTAGTAGAGAAGGGGTTTCCCCATGTTGGTCAGGCTGGTCAAACTCCTGACCTCAAGTGATCCGCCTGCATCGGTCTCCCAAAGTGCTGGGATTACAGGCGTGAACCACTGTGTGCGGCCTGAATTTTTGTTTTACAATAATTTGTATTCATTCCTTTATTTATTTTCCAACCCACTTATTCTAGCTCAGGGTCGTAGGTGGCTGGAGCCTATCCAGGCAGCTCAGGGTGGACAGACAGGATAGCATTCCATTGCAGGGTGCACTCACACACTCCCACCCACCCTCCTACGCTCACTCTCACTCACTCAGACTGGGACAATCTAGGCACAGCAGTGAACCCGAGTGCACTTCTCTGGGATGTGGGAGAAAACCGGCGTTTCCAGAGAAAATCCACACAGACAGGGGAAGAATGTGCAAACTTCACATAGGCAGTGGCCTTGGCCGGGAATCAGTTTTTTTTTTTTTTTCTCATCAATGTTATAACAAAGTGATGTTGAATGAAACAACATTATCTGAGGACTTGCTGTATGGATTTCTTGTGTCCTGTGTAAAATCTTTGCCAACTACCAGATCACGTTTTCTTCTAAAAGATTTATAGTTTTAGTTTTTATGTGTAGCGCTATGTTCCAGCTCAGGTTTTGTGCATGATGTAAAGTATGGGTCAAGATTATTTTATTTTTCTCGTACAGCTGTTTAGATGTTCCAGCACAATTTGTTGCAAAGACTATTTCTCCTGCATTGAATTATCTTGAGACGTCTGTAGAAAATCAATTGACTATACGTGTGTAGGTCTATTTCTGTTCTCTTGTTCTGTCCACTGGTCTTTATTCTTTTTTGTTTGTTTGTTTGTTTGTTTTGTTTTGTTTTGAGTCAGGGTCTTGCTCTGTTGCTCAGGCTGGAGTGCAGTGGTGCGATCTCAGCTCACTGCAACCTCTGCCTCCTGGGTTCAAGCGATTCTTGTGCCTCGGCTATCTGAGTAGCTGGGACAACAGGCATGTGCCACCATGCCTGGCTAATTTTTGTATTTTTAATAGAGACAGGGTTTTGCCATGTTGGCCAGGTTGGTCTCGAACTCCTGACCTCAAGTGATCCACCCTCCTTGGCCTCCCAAAGTGCTGGGATTATAGGCGTGAGCCACCGCGCCCAGCCTCTGTGTCTATCCTTATGCTCATAACACATTGTCTTGATTACTGAAGCTTATGGCAAGATTTAAAGTCAGTTATTGTAAACCTTCAAATTTTGTTCTTGTTTTTCAAAATAGTTTTGGCTATTCTAGTCTTTTCCATTTCCACATAAACTTTGGAATTAACTTATCAATTTTTACAAAAAAGTCTGCTGACATTTTTATTGGATTTGCATTATATCATGTAGATCATCTTGGGGATAATTTACATCATAGCAATATTTAGTTTTAAAATTTATGATATGGCATAACCCTCCAATTATTAGGTCCTTAATTTATCTCAGCAGTGTTTTAAGGTTTTCATTGTGTAGGTTTTATCCATATTTTGTGCATACTTATCTTCAAGTATTTCATGTTTTTTGAAGTGTACAATTTAGTGGCATTAAGTATATTCACAATGTTGTGTAACCATCACTACTATCTATACCTCACATTTTTATCTATAGCTATGAATTTGCCATTCTAGATACCTATTCTAAGTGGAGTAATACAGTATTTGTCTTTTTATATTTGGCTTAATTCAGTAAGCATAACGTTTTCGAGGTCCAATCCATCCATGTTATAGCATATATAAAAGTTTTGTCTTTTTATAGTTAAATATATGCCACTATACAAACATACTGTAATTAATACTGTATTTTGTTTATCCATTCATCTGTTGATGGATACTTAACACTGTTTCCACATTTTGTCTATTGTGATTAATGCTGCTGTGAACATTGCTGTGTAAATATCTGTTCAGGCCAGATGCAGTGGCTCATGCCTGTAATCCCAGCACTTTGGGAGGCTAAGGCAGGAGGATCACTTGAGGTTAGGAGTTCGAGACCAGCCTGGCCTACACAGTGAAACCCCATCTCTACTAAAAATACAAAAAGTAGCTGAACATGATTGCGGGCACCTGTAATCCCAGCTACTGGGGAAGCCGATGTGGGAGAATCACTTGAAGCAGGGAGATGGAGGTTGCAGTGAGCTGAGATTGCACCACTGCACTCCAGCCTGGGCAACAGAACAAGACTTCGTCTCAAAAAAAGAATCCTATATCATCTCTATCTCTATCTCTATCTCTATCTCTATCTCTATCTCTATCTCTATCTCTATCTCTATCTCACCTCTATCTATCTGTATATCTATATCTATAAATCTGTTCAGGTCTCTGCTTTCAATTCTTTGGATATATACCTAGGAGTAGAATTGCTGAGTCATATGATGATTCCATGTTTAACCTTTTGAGAAACCGCCCAGCTGTTTCCCACAGTGGCTGCACCATTTTTCTTTCCTACCAGAAATACAAGGTTTCCAATGTTATCTACATCTTCGCCAACACTTATTATTTTCTGTTTTTTTTCTTAAAATTTAAAAATTACAGCCACTCTAGTAGGTGTGAAATGTTATCTCATTGAGGTTTTGATTTGCATTTCTCTAACGACCAATGATGTTGAGTATCAGTTCATGTGTTTATTGGTCATTTGCACATCTTCTTTGGAGAAACGTCTATATGAATCCTTTGCCCATTTTTGAATTGGGTTATTTTTGTGGTTTTTGTTGAGTTGTTTATATAATTTGGAAATTAATACTTTATCTGATAAAACATTTTCCCCCATTCAGTAGATTGTCTTTTTTGCTTTCTTGATAGTATCTTTTGATGCACTAAACTTCTTAACTTAATTGAAGTACAGTTTATCTATTTTTTCTTTTATTGCCTGTGCTTTTGGTGTCATATCTAAGAATCCACTGCCAAATTCAAGGTCATGATGATTTACTCTGTGTTTTCTTCTAAGAGTCTTACAGTTTTAACTCTTAATTTTAGGTCTGTGATTCATTCTGGATCATTTTTTATATATGGTGTCTAGTAAGAATCCAATTTCATTCTTTTGCATACGGATATCTAGTTTTCCCAACACCCTTTGTTCAAAAGACTGTCTTACCCCATTAAATGTTTGGACACCCTTGTTGAACATCAATAAACATATATGTGAGGGTTTATTTCTGGGCTGTTTTATTCTGTTGGTCCCTATGTCTGTCCTTGTGCCACTGTTATATAGTTTTAATTATTGTAGCTTTGTAATAATTTTTGAACAGAAAGTGTGAGCTTTCCAACTTTATCTTCTTTTTTAGGATTGTTTCGGCTATTTGAGACTCCTTGCAACTTGACTCTTTTAAATCATTAAACCAACTTTGCATTCCTGAAATAAATGTCATTTACTCATAACATATTATTCTTGTAATATATTGCTGGCCTTGTTTTTTGGATTTTTTTGCATATTTTGTTGATGATTTTGCATCTAAGTTAATGAGGGATAGGTTGTAGTTTCCTGTTGTTATGAAATCTTTGTCAGATTTTGGTATATGGGTGATACTATCCTCATTGAATGATTAGGATATATCTGCTTCTCTTCTATTTCCCAGAAAAGCCTATGAAAGATTGGCATTATTTCTTCTGTAAATGTTTAACATAATTCACCTAGGAAGCCATGCAGGCCTGGAGTTTTCTTTGTAATTTTAAAATTTTGAATTCAATTTCTTTTATATATAGGGCTATACAGATACTCTATTTCCATTTGAAACTGTTTTGGTAATTTTTATCTTTTAAGAAATTTGTTCCATTTATCTAAGTTGTCGAATTTATTAAGTTATTATCCTTTCTATATTTTTAATTTTTGTACGTGATTTATCAACTTTATTAAGCTTATAAAAGAGAATCAGTTTTGCTGTTATTGATTTTTTTCTGTACTATTCTTCTGTTTCTATTTCATTGATTTCTGCTTTTTTATATTCTATTCCTTATACTTACTTTGGGTTGAATTTGTTCTTCTTTTTTCTAGCTTCTTAAGATGGAAGCTTAGACCGTTGATCATATACCCTTTTTTTTGTCTTCCAAAATAGCATTTAAAGTTTCAAAACTCCCTTGGAGCACTGCTTTAGATGCATCCCACAAGTTTTGTGCCTTGTGATTTCATTTTCATTTAGTTTATTAACTATGCATTTGAGATTTAAAAGATATCTTCCTGTTACTGATTTTCATTTTCTTTTCTGTTGTGGTTAGAGAATATATTCAGTATGGTTTTAATCTTTAAAATTTGTTGAAACTTGTATTATAGCCCAGCATATGTTCTATCTTTGTGAATGTTTCAGGTGCACTTAAACAAAAACGTATATTCTTTTGTGGTTGGGTGAAATGTTGTATAAATGTAAATTGATTAAATTGCTACATAGTGTTTTTCAAGTCTTTTATCTCTTCAATAATTTTTCCATGAAGTTGCTCTAGTAATGACTGAAGAAAAAATAATCAACTCTTTTTCTCTAATTGTGGATTTCTTCTTTCAATCTTTTGAGGGTTTTTATGTTGTTGTTGTTTTGTTTTTTGCTTCGTTTATTTTGAAATATCTCTTTGGTGCAAACACATTTAAGATTTTTTTACAACTGAATGATAAGTAGTTCTCTTTATTAATATGAATTTTTTTCCCTCTAGTAATAGTCCTTGTTCTGAAATCTACCATGTCTCATTTTAGTGTAGCCATTCCAAGTTTCTTTTGTTTCATGTTTGTATGATATCTCCTTTATCCTTATGTGAAGGAGTATATTAATTTTTGAATGTTAAACTTCTTTATATTCCTGGGATAAACCCCACTTGGTCATGAGGTATTATCCTTTTCTTATATTTCTGTCTTCTACTTGCTAATGTCTAAAAAATCCTGGTCTGTAATTTTATTTTCGTGGAATGTATGTTGGATATTAGCCTATGATTTTCTTTGCTTTCAATGACTTTTTTTTAGGTTTTAGTATCAGTGCTATGCTGGCCTCACCAAATGTGCGGTGAAGTGTTCCCTCTGGCTGAAAAAGCTGTTAAGACTAGCATTAATTGCTTAAGTTTACCAAATTATCTGGGCCTAGAGTTTTCTTTGTAGAAAGAATTTTCATCACAAATTCAATTTCAGTGATATCAAGCCATTCTTTCTATATCTTCTTGTGTCTGTTTTGGTGAGTCATATTTTTCAAGGAATTTGTCCACTTCCTATAAGTTGTCAAATTTGTTGTCATTTAGCCATTAATAACATTTTCTTATCACTTTATTATCTCTGAAATCTTATAGTGTCCTCTCTTTTTTCATTGCTGGTAGTAACTTGTGTCTTTTTTCTAATTTTCTTACTCAATCTCGATAGAGATTTATTAATCTTATTGATATTTCAAATAACCAAATTTTGGCTTCCTTTTTTTCCTACTTTTCATTTCATTAATTTCTGCTCTTTATTATTTCCCTATTTATACTTGTTGTATTCATCTGTTCTCATGCTGCTAATAAAGACATACCCAAGACCGATTAATTTATAAAGAAAAAGAGGTTTAATGGACTCACAGTTCCAGATGTTTAGGGAGGCCTCACAATCATGGTGGAAGACAAAGGAGGAGCAAAGTCATGTCTTACATGGTGGCAGGCAAATGAGCGTGTGCAGGGGAACTGAACTTTAAAAATCCATTAAATCTCATGAGACTTATTCACTTTAAGAACAGCACAGGAAAGACCCACCCTGATGATTCAATTACCTCCCACCAGGTCCCTACCACACGTGGGGATTATGTGAGCTACAATTCAAGATGAGATTTGGGTGGGAACACAGCCAAACCATATCACTTGTTTTGCATTTAATTTGCTCTTCTAGCTTCTGAGGATGGAAACATAGCTCATTAATTTTAAACTTTTCTTGTTTTCTAATATAAGTCTTCAAATTTCCCGGGAATCAGTGCTTTAGCTATATCTCACAAGTTTTTATATGTTGTGTTTTCATTATCATTTAGTTAAAAAATTTTAAAACTTATTTCATTATCTTATTTGGTCATTGAGAATATGCTGTTTAATTTCCAATACTTAGGAGTTTTCTAGATATCTCATTGTTATTTATTCTTAATTTTAATTTCATTGTGGTCATAGAACATGTTCTGTATTTCAATCTTTTGAAACTGTTGACACTTATTTTATGGCCCAGTAAGTGTTCTATCTGAACATTCCATATGCACTTGACAAATACACATATACGTTAAGTGGTTATAAGGTATACGCTTCTATAAAAGTCAATTAAGTCAAATTGGTTGATAGTGCTGTTCAAATCTAAATCCTTACTAAACTTTTGTCTGTTGCTTCTATTACTAGGAGATTGGTATTAAAATCTCCAACTATGATTATGGATTTGTCTGTTTCTTCCTTTGGTTCTGTAAGATGTATCTTATTTTAATATTTAAGATCCGATATAGATGCATACATATTTAGGATTGTTTGTAGTCTTGATGAATAGAATCTTTCATCATTACCAAATCACCTCCCTATCCCTGACAATATTCCTTATCTTAAAGCCTACTTTGTCTTGTAACAATATAGCCTCATCATCTTTTGCTTTCTGGGTACATGTTCCTTTTTCTCTATCTTTTTACTTTTAATTTGCTGTGTGGTGGCCTCATGGAGGGCAGGATTAACTTCGCTGCTCAAAATAGGTTTGGATGTCAAGACTGATGATGCCATTCTTATCAAGAGGGTATGAAAAAATTTATTACTCACATAATGGGACTTTTTCAGGAGAGCAGGGTAGGTACAAGGGAGTCAAGAATGGCTTCAGCCAAGAGGGTGACTGGGACAAGTGAATTTGGTTTATGTTGTGGCTGGGGGTGGGCCAGTGTAGGAGACTTGTGTGGTTTGAACTTTCAGTATCAAGGGGACAGAGGAGAGCCTGTGGGCTTTCTTACTGGTTTGCCTGTATGTGGGACAAAAGGGGCAAGGGTGGGGCTTGTAAGCTGTCGGCAGCCAAACATCAAGAATGGAGTCAAGGCTGAATGTGGTGGCTCACACCTGTAATCCCAGTACTTTGAGAGGCTGAGATGGGCGGATAAGTTGAGCCCAGGATTTTGAGACCAGCCTGGGCAACATGGAGAAACCCCACCTCTACAACAAAATACAAAAATTAGCCAGGCATGGTGGTGTGCACCTGTAGTCCCAGCTACTCAGAAGGCAGAGGTGGGAGGATTGATTGAGCCCAGGAGGTCGAGGTTGCAGTGAGACGTATGTGACCATGCCACTGCACTCCAGCCTGGGTGAGACAGTGAGACCATGTCTCAAAACACACACACACACACACACACACACACACACACACACACACACGGAGTAAAGACAGTTTATTGCAGGATCTAAGCATTCATATTTAAAAGCTTGTCTCTTGTAAAGAGTTTATAGTTGAGTTTTGATTTAAAAAAATTTTGTCTGGCAATCTCTGCCTTTTAATTATGTTGGTTATTTACAGTTAATAGAATTATTGATATGGTTGGATTGAAGTTTACCACATTGCTATTTCTTTTTTATTTTTTCAATCTATTATTGCTTCTTCTATTCTTCCCTTTCTGTCTGCTTTAGGTAAATAAAATTTTGTTTAGCATTCCATTTTACTTACTTGAATAGGTTTTGTTATATTTCTTTGTATTTTTTTAGTATTTACTCTAGGGATTAAATCATGCATCATTACTTATTGCAGTCTACTTAGAGCTACTATAATTCTCTTTAAAACTCTGTGGGCTTGCTATGAATTTTTTAGGGATCACATTGTTATATGAAAGTGATAATCCCAACTTTCCTCAAGATAAGACTCCACCTCTCTCTTTTGTATACAGGGATGTTGCTGTATTGCCCAGGCTAGTCTCAAACTCCTGGCTTCAAGTGATCTTCTTACCATGGCCCCGCATGGTGCTGGGATTATAGTTGTGAGCCACTGTGCTGGGCCAAGATAAGCCCTTCTCTATCATGAGATTTTTGGAAAGCTGTTGAGGGTCAAAACCCTTGCAATTCTTAGAACCTCTGTTGTCAGAGAAGAGGCTCTCTGTGACATGCTAAAATCCTCAAAGAGCTTTTGGTCTGACTGAACAGTTCTTGGAGGTGCCTGTTAAAATATTTCTGAGGTCTAAACAGATGACCATATAATCCCACAGTGGATTTGATCTTTGCTCTGAGGGTCTTTTTAGATTTGAGAGTTTTGGAAAGATTGGGAATAAGAAACAGATATTTTTAACCCAAGAATTTCTGGCTACTTGATATTTTCTATAAACTTTAAAATGGAATAATTTATTTTTTGGCTCATGTTTCTTCTTTTCCACTTTACTATCTGGAGCTAGAGAATCCAGGCAGTGACTTCAAAACTCTTACTTGGAATTCTCCTTAGATAAATCAGCCAGATTATTAGGTACAATTTATAATTCTACACATTATCAGAGATAACATTTTGCAAAATATTCTACCAATATGTAACAAAGCTTCTTTTCTTCAATTTCCAATAATATTTCCTTCACTTTTCCTTAAGCCCATACTGACAATTCCTCAAGTAACTTGGCTTGTGCTAACAGCTGTTTTAAAGCCTTTCACACTTTCATTATTAACACTTTTTTTTTTGAGACAGGGTCTTGCTGTGTTGCCCAGTCTAGAAGGCAGTGGCATGTCCATAGCTCACTGCAGCCTCCAATTCCTGGGCTCAAGCAATCTTCCGACCTTAATCTCCCAAGTACCTAGGACTACAAGCATGCACCACCACACCCAGCTAATTTTTTTGTTTTAATTTTTCATAGACATGGTGTCTCACTGTTTTGCCTGGGCTGGTCTCAAACTCTTGGCCTCAAGCGATCCTCCCAACTTGGCCTCCCAAAGTAGTGGGATTAACACTCTTTAAAAGGTTATTCCAACTTGTCTACGCACTTCCTGGTTCCAGAGTCATTCCCACATGTTTTAAGCTTTTTGTTGTTGTTGCTTTTGTTGTCACAAAAAACCCCACTCTCTGTTCCAGTCTGTATGGTTGCATAACAAGTTAGCCCAACATTTAGTAGCCTAAGCAACCATTTATTACGCTCATAAATTCTGTGGGTCAGGAACTTGGACAGAACACGGTAGAGACAGCTTGTTCTTGCTTTTGGTATTAGGGACTCAGCTGAAAGACTTCAAAGCAGGAGCTGGAAACATCCAAAAGATTGTTCATTCAAATGTCTTGCAGTAAATACTGGCTTTGGCTAAAATATTAACTGAGGCTGTTAGCTGGAATCTTTACATGTGTGCTCTCCAAGTTGCCTGGGTTTCTCTACAGCATGGTTTCAAGGGCTTAAGAATAAGCATCCTGAGGAGAGAGAGAGAGAGAGAGAACCAGGTGTAATTTCTACTGCACTTTATGATCTGGCATTGATTGGTTTGCAGCAAGTCTTTTGCCACATTCTACTCATTGAGGAAATCATAAAGGGCAAATCACAAGGGTTTCATCATAATTAGACTCCAACTTTTGAAGAAAGTACAATCTGTTATACCTATCCTTTTTGCTATTGTTGTTGAGTATTTTACATCTACATATATTATAAACTCCACACAATACTATGCTATTATTTTTGCTTTAAAGAGTCAGTTATCAGAAGTCTAGCTAGAGCAATCAGACAAGAGGAGAAATAAAGAGTATCCATATTGGAAAGGAAGAAGTCAAATTATCCTTGTTTGCAGATGATATAACCTTATAGTTGGAAAAACCTAAAGACTCCACCAAAACACTATTGGAACTGATAAACAAATGCAGTAAAGGATACAACACCAACAAATAAAAATCAGTAGCATTTCTGTGTGCCAACAGCAAAAAATCTGAAAAAAAATCAGACTCTTACTAGGTGTTTGGAGATCTAAATTAGGATCTTCTTTTCTGGACAAGACGATTTAAGAAATCCTTTTGATGGCAATAAAACAGAAGTTAATAAACACTGGAGATGTGCCTTTTACTCCTGTTGTATACCATGCCAGATACGAGCTACATTTCTTCTGGTTGCTTGTTTGTGAATGTCTACCCTCATTCAAATAGTTTCTGAGCCCTAGAACAGGTAGGAAACATTGATTTTGTGATTTGGAAAGCGGGTGAAGGGTTTTATCCCAAATCTTGACCTTTATATGTATGACAGGTGACTGTTCTGAGATCAGGAGAGATCTTGAAATATTTTTTAATTTCACTTATGGCAAAAATTAAAGACCTATTTATTAACCTAATTATGATCTCCTTTAATCTTATTTGAAATGCTGATAAAAACTTTTCTTCTAATCTCTCATATATAACTATATGTATATACCCAGTAATGTTTGATTTGTTCTATCACCCTTCCTTCCCTCCCTCCCTTCCTTCTTTCCTTCCTTCCTTTTCTCTTTCTTTCTTTCTTTCTCTTTCTTTCTTTCTTTTTCTTTCTTTCTTCCCTCCCTCCCTCCCTCCCTTCTTTCCTTCCTTCCTTCCTTCCATCTATCTATCTATCTATCTATCTATCTATCTATCTATCTATCTATCTACCTATCTATCTATCTATATATCCATCTAGAAAGGGCCCAAGGCCATCTTGGCTTTCTGGTTTAAGAACGAGGGCAATAACTTAGGTTACTGATTGCCTTACCTTGTTTCCTTCTCCCCTAAGAATTTGGGTTTCAAGATCTTAGTCCAAAAGCCCCGGAGAGCATGGACCTGGCTTTCTTATTATTTCCCATTTCACATCACATCATCATAAATGTATTTCTGCATCACTGTTAACAAAGTGAGTTGGTTTCTTGAAAATAATTATGCTCCTTTAAATAAAGAATGTGAGACAATAAATAGAGATATGGTGAACAAAAAAGACAATATTCAAAGTCTTATATCAATTTTGTTTGATTCTCATGAGAAGAAAAGATGCTTCTGTTTTGGAGTTGAGGTTGGGGGAAGATCATACTCTATGTGGAGGTAATTTTCCTGAGGGCTTCGCCAATTTCAGGTTATCAAAATCCTTTCTTAAACGTTATTTGAAGTGACCATATAGAATATCTATAGATGCACTAGAATTCATTTAATTCATCCATTAATAATGAACATTTAAGTAACTTGCTTTTTTTTGTTTATTTTGGATTTATATATATTGCTTAGATGAGCACCTTCTGGCAAGGGAGTCGGGAAAATATAGTTTCCAACATTCTAATCTCTGTCTACAGGGGGCACCGTGGGAGGTGGGAGACCATGCTGGGCTGTTAAACCTCGGTGTCTCCACCCTTGTGCATCTCCTTTGCCTGATTATCTGTTCTAGGCATGGAAGGCTTTGATCCTTTGATTACAGTCATTCTACCTTTGTCGTAATTGTTGTAAATCTATTTCCCAGTTTGCAACTTGCCTTTTAGATTTTTGAAAAGTCAAATGGTGAAGTTTTTTTTCACCATTTGACAAAATGAAATTGTGATTTCTTCTTACTTGCTTTTATGCTTAGAAAGTTCTTCCTCATTCAGAAAGAAGATATTCACTCACACACACACACACACACACACACACACACACACACACACACTCTGTCTCTCTGATTCTCTTTGTCTCTCTTTAGTTTTTAGAGGAGTTTTAGGTTCACAGCAAAATTAAGTGGAGGGTACAGACATTTTCCATATACTCTCCTACCCCCACATGGGTACGGCCTCCCCTACTATCAATATCTCCCACCAGAGTAATACATTCGTTATAATAAATGAACAATTAATTGACACATCATCGTTACCCAAAGCCCATAGTATACATTAGGGTTCACTCTTGGTGTTGTACGTTCTATAGATTGAGGAAAATGTATAATGACTTACATTCACCATTATAGTATCATACAGAGTAATTTCAATGTCCTTAAATTCCTCTGTGCTCTACCTGTTCATCCCTCCCTGCCCCGTAACCCCTGGCAACTGCTAATCTTTTTACTGTCTCCTTAATTCTGCATATAATTTTTTTCAGAATGTCATATAGTTGGGATCATACAGCTTTTCACATTGGCTTCTGCTGCTTAGTGATATGCATTTAAGTTTCCTCCATGTTTTTCCATTTACCTACTGAAGGACATCTTGGTTGCTTATAAGATTTGCAATTACAAATAAACATACATGTGCAGGTTTTTGTGTGAACATATGTTTTCAAGTAATTTTGGTAAAAGTCAAGGTGGATATAATTGCTGGATCATATGGTAAGAGTATGTTTAGTTTTTTAAGAAACTACCAAACTGTTTTCCAAAGTGGCTGTACCATTTTGCATTCCCACCAGCAATGGATGAGAGTTCCTGTTGCTCCACATCCTTGTCAGCATTTGGTGGGTCAGTGTTTGGGATTTTGGCCATTGTAGTGGTGCAGGTATAGTTGTGTAGTTGTGACTCACTATTGTTTTAATTTGCATTTTTCTAATGACACATGTAAAAGGAAAATAAATCTTGGGCCCCCCAAATCACTTAGCTCAAGGGAAAAGTCAAGCTGGGAACTGCTTAGAGCAAACCTGCCTCCCATTCTATTCAGTCACCCCTCTCCTCACTGAGGTAAATGCATTTCTGATTGCCTCCTCTGGAGAGGCGAATCAGAAACTCAAAAGAATGCAACCATTTGTCTTATTTCCCTATGACCTGGAAGCCCTCTCCCTGCTTCAAGTTGTCCCATTTTGCTTTGAGTTGTCCTGCCTTTCTGGACCAAACCAGTGTTCATCTTACATGTGTTGACTGATGTCTCATGTCTCCCTAAAATGTATAAAATCAAACTGTGCTCTGACTACCTCGGGCACAAGTTGTCAGGACCTCCTGAGGCTGTGTCACGGGCATGCATCCTCAACGTTGGCAAAATAGACCTTCTAAGTTAACTGAGACCTGTCTCAGATATTTGGGGTTTACATACATAATGTTGCACATCTTTTTATATGCTTATTTGCCTCTGTATATCTTCTTTGATGAGGTGTCTGTTCAAGTTGTTTGCTCATTTTAAAATCAGGTTATTTATTTTCTTATTTTTGGGTCTTAAGAGTTCTTTGTACATTTTGGATAAGTCCTTGATCAGATGTGTCTTTTGTAAATATTTCTGTCAGTCTGTGGCTTGTCTTCTCATTCTCTACACATTGTCTTTCATAGAGCAGAAGTTTTTAATTTTAATGAAATCCAGTGTCTCAATTTTTTTCTTTCATAAATAATGTCTTTAGTATTGTATCTAAAAAGTCATTGCCACACTTTTTGGAGTTGAGGATGGGGGAAGGTCATCTAGTTTTTCTTCTATGTTATCTTCTAGGAGTCTTATAGTTTTGCATTTTACATTTAGGTCTACGATCCACTTTGAGTTAATTTTTGTGAAGGGTGTAAGGTCTGTGTCTAGATTAACTGTTTGTGTGTGTGTGTGTGTGTGTGTGTGTGTCTGTCTGTCTGTTGATGTCTAGTCATTCCAGCCCCATTTGTTGAAGACACTATCTTTGCTGCATTACGTTGCCTTCGCTGCTTTGTCAAAAATTAGTTGACTGTTATTTATGTGGGTCTATTTCTGAACTTTCTATTCTATTCCATTGACCTATTTGTCTGTTTTCTCACCAATACCACACTATCTTGGTTACCATAGCTTTATACTAAGTCTTGAAGTTGGATAGTGTTTGTCAGTCATCCAACTTTGTTTTCTCCTTCAGTATTTTGTTGGCTGTTCTGGGATTTTTGCCTCTCCATATAAACCTTACAATCAGTTTGTTAATAGCCACAAAATAACTGACTTGGTTTTGGATTGGGAATATATTGAATCTACAGATCAAGTTGGGAAGAACTGATACCTTGACAATACTGAGACTTCCTATTCATATACATGGAATATCTGGATTTATTTATGTATTTATTGAGACAGAGTCTTTGGCTCACTTTCTTTCTCTCTTTCTCTCTTCCTTTCTCTTTCTTTCCTCTTTCATTCTAAAATATTTAACTCTTTAATCTTTCCAGAATTGATTCTGGTTTATGATATAAGAGAAAGGTTTATGTGAGTTTTTATTTTTGTTAACCAAACAATATCTTAGCAACTTTTATTGAATAATTAAAATCCTTAAAATATGAACTTTTTTCAAAGAGCAGATTCTGAGTTTCTGGTTCATGGCTCTTGACAACTGGTATTCTCAGGTTAAACCGAGTATTCAAAGATTAGTTTCAATTTTTCAAAAGACCTATCAGAAAACAGCGTATCCATTAAAAAAGTTTATTTATGATAAAACTCAAAGGAGTAACTACTTTTTTTGCTTTTAATTAGAATTTGATCAACTCAACTCCATGTAATAATCAAACATTTATTGAACACCTGCTATGTACCTGTTCTATGCAAAGTCCTGGATTCTTCATGGCAGTAACATTGGTTAGCTCTTGGAAAAATAAATAGAGATTAAGCAACAATTGAAGTTTCATGAGTAACTTCTTTCAAGACACAAGGTATATGGAGGAAAAGTAATAAAATGAGAGAACATTATGAGGTTTCTTGAAATCATGGACTATTGAAGCAGTATAGGGTCAATGAAGCAGTCTCCTCTTCTGAGGTGTTAACTGAGCTCTTTGTCTCATGACCAAGAAAATTAAGGAGCATGGACACCAAGGGTGAGGTTGGAGCGAAATTTTAATAAACAAAAAAGGAAAGCTCTCTGCAGCGGACAGGGGGCCTGAGAGGGTTGTCAGCTATGAGGCTGAGTTTGGGGTTTTTATGGACTCGAAGGGGAGGAGTGTGCTGACTGGTCTGCAGTCCATCTTGGAGAAAGCACCACTCAGAAAGAGGTATGATAGTGTAAAGAACCAATTGGAGGCAGAGGTGAAGTCTTGGCCCAGGACCTTGGCCCAGGACCAATCAGGGGCTAAAGTGATGATTCACCCTATGTAAATGAAGACTTAGCCCCAGACAATTACAGAAAGGTAGGCATATGTAAAATAGGTGAAAAGTAAGAGACCAAGATATGCCAAGGAGAGAGAAATGTGTCCAAAAAGGGATGGAATTTGTTCATCTGGGTTCACAGAGTAAGCATTTCCATTTAAGGATGGATGTGGGCTCTTGCTTTCTTTTTCTTTTTCTTTTTCTTTTCTTTTTTTTTTGAGATGGAGTTTTGCTCTTGTTGCCCAGGCTAGAGTGCAATGGCACAATGTTGGCTCACTGCAACTTCCACCTCCGAGGTTCAAGTGATTCTCCTGCCTCAGCCCCCCTGAGTAGCTGGGATTATGGGCGCCTACCATCATGCCTAGCTAATTTTTGTATTTTTAGTAAAGACGGGGTTCCACCATGTTGGTCAGGCTGGTCTTGAACTCCTGACCTCAGGTGATCCACCCGCCTCAGCCTCCCAAAGTGCTGGGATTGCAGGCATGAGCCACTGCACCTGGCCAGCAGGCTCTTTCTTATCTGGGGCCTGCAGTTTGATTGTCAGGCTCTTCTTTGTTGAAGGAATTTTGCCAAGGACCCACCCTAGTTGCCTGCCTGACTAGTTTCTTACTTTCTCCTCTCTCATTATGTCTATTTATTTTTGTGTACTCAGCACCTAACTCAGTGCCTGGCACCTGGCAAGCACTCCAGTGATTTAAGGAATAAAATTGAATTGAAAAGAAATTCTGTGTGATGAAAAGGCTATGAACCTCAGCATTACCTACATCCTTTTTCCAGTGATAGAGTTTTTAAGCTTTTTGGGGGAGAGAGTGAACCAAAATGTTGTATATTTGAGCATATTTTTCTAGAGGGAGGATCCATATTTTGTATCAGACTCACAGAAGATTCTAAAACCTGCACTCTTTCTAATGAAGAAACACTGCCTTTACTCAAATATACTCCTGTGAGTAGGATTTTGTAAAAAAAAAAAAAAAAAAAAAACGCACTTTATTGACTGAATTACTCCTGAAGACGTAGATTCAGGAAGGCAAGAGGGTATATTTTTCAGAGAAATATCACTTGGTTCTTTTCAGAAGTTCACAAAAGTGCTTCCTCCCTTCCCAAGTGCTTCAGAGGTTAGTGGTATGAAAAGTACCCCAGATGGAGAATCTGTGCTAATAAAATTCACCAGATTGATTAACCAGCCAGAGGTATCGCCTATTCCCCAGTGTTCTGAATGTTCACACTGTAATTCACAGTACTCTGTATTTGCTGCCGTTGTAGTCTAGAAATGTCCGGAGACTTCCCTCTGAGGTGACACATGTCTGTGAAAACAGTCTCTGGCAGTGCCACAACCACTGCAGGGGAGGCATGAGCCTATGAAAAGATCCAACTAGGTCCATGTCAGCACTGGCTTGAGAAAATGGAACACATCCCAGCATCCCAGCCCACACGCTCGGGTGGGACAGCCGCCATCCTGGGTGGGCTGTCTTAGGGTGGTCTGGTTTGCACGAGCTGCTCTGGGCGCCGTAGCCTCCTGGTCACGCTGCCATCTGTGCATATGCACACCGGGAGCTGCTTGGCAACTGCTGTACTAGGAACAATGGGCACTTCCTTTTTTTTTTGGGCACTTCTTGTAAAAAACACATAAAAACAAAACTCGGGAGTTGGAGCTCATAACTAAAGTTTTAAGGAAAGCAAATCCAAATGGTCTAGGTTATGCAGCTGCATCTTCAAAGTTATGAAAAGAAATACTGGAATGGGCTTTCCTATTAAAATCACTTTTTACCGCAAAAGCACCTCCTGGAAAAATAGAGACTGAGCAGGCCATCTTGCGTTCAGGGTCGGGCTGGGCTCTGTGGCGCGCGCACCGAGGATGTGGAAATGGCCACTAGATGGCGCCCCAATCCAGGCAAATTATCTCCAATCTTGGCAAAGAGACAGATTTTGGTATTAATGCCAATATCCTGGAGGCAAATTAACACAAGGCTTATTGATTCTTCACCTAGATATTTCCGTTTCTACTAGAATAATTCCCGTCTCTCTGAAACCCTCTACTAAGCTTTTTTTTTCCCCTCAAACAGGCAGCGGAAAATACCGACATTCCCTCATTTATTTCACGTTTAACTGTGTTCCTAAAAAGATGTGTATAAAGTCATTTAAATTAATTACAGCACATTTAGGGAAATTATTTTTACATTATTGGCAGTGATTCTTATCATGTTAGCTGTGGAGTAGAAACAGTCCTGAGTTAGGGTTGGGAAAAGCAGTTTGGGAACTTGGTTCTTCATGTACTCTAACATTAGCCAGGTCTTGGGAAGACTAAGCGAAGGTGGTCTCAGTTTCTTCACTGAAGTTAATAGTAACAGTATCTCATTAGCTGTAAAAAAAAAAAAAGAAAGAAAGAAAGAAACCATGCCAACAAAGAACTCTCATTAGCCAGTGACATATCCTGAAATATTGACTAGTGAAATAAGATGTGGAATTTATGTTTTAAAATTCCAGGAAAAAAAGGAGATAGAAGAAAAATTAGCAAAGTTTTGAAGATGAGTAAAGGTTGTTTATCTTATGGAGACTGCTTTTGTGTATGTTTAAAAGAGTCTATAATAAAAAGTTAAAACAAATACTTCTACTATAAGCTTGTTGTTTTAAGTATTAAACAATTATAAGTTACTGTTCATCTTCTCTGACTTCAGTAGTCTGCAAAATGAGGGGTTTGGACTAACTGAACTGTACGACCCTTTGGCCATGTAATTTTTGTGAATTTCTACTCTCAGCCTGTCTTGTAAGGGATGCACCAGCCAACACAGATCCTCCGGGTCAGGCCTGGGCTGTCCTTGGAGAGGGCTCATTTGACCACCCTATCTAAACACTAGTCCCATGACCTCACTCTTGATCTTGTATTTCTTTTATAATGTTTATCACTACTAGCCTTATGGACTGAGCTGTGTCATGCACCTTCCCCCCTCCAACCCCAGGTCATACATATGTTGAAGCCCTAACCTTCAATACCTTCAATGTGACTTGCATTTGGTAGTAGGGTTTTTTTTTTTTGTTTTTTTTTTTTGAGGTGGAGTCTTGCTCTACTGCCTAGGCTGGTGGAGTATAGTGGCACCATCTCAGCTCACTGCAACCCCCGCCTTCCAGGTTCAAGTGATTCTGCTGCCTCAGCCTCCAGAGTAGCTGTGATTACAGGCGTACGCCACAATGCCTGGCTACTTTTTGTATTGTTAGTAGAGATGTATTTTTAGTAGAGATGGGGTTCACCAGGCTGGTCTCAAACTCCTGACCTCAAGTGATCTGCCTGCTTCGGCCTCCCAAAGTGCTGGGATTACAGGCGTGAGCCACCGCACCTGGCCAGAAATAGTCTTTAAGGAAGTAATTAAGGGTACATGAGATTGTAATGGTATGGCCTAATCTTATAAGACCGGCACCGTTCTAAAAAGAGGGAGAAACTCCAGGGATACACACACAGAGGGAGGACCATGGGAGGACACAGCAAGAAGGTGACCATCTGCTAGCCAAAGAAAGACACCTTGAAAGAAGCCAACTCTGCTGGCATCTTGGTCTTGGACTTTCAGCCTCCAGACTATGAGAAAATAAGTTTATGTTGTTGAAGCTGCCTAGCCTGTGGTATGTTGTTCTGGGGGCCCTAGCAGACTAATATAACCAGAAATTATCTTCCTTGTTTATTTCTTTTAAATCCAACTCCCCCAACCAGAATGTAGAGGCTGTGTGTCAACGCCTGGCACATGGTAGAGTGCCAATGCACATATGCTAAATGCATACATGAATGAACTTTCGAATGCATCACAAGCACTCATTCTACACTTACTGATTTTGCAAAGAAAAGTCCTTCTGCCAATTAGAATGATCCCCCTTGAACTGTGATTTTATAAATGCTAAGTAGAGAGTCTTAAGTCAGAAGGCATATATATGGTAGGGGACAGTGCCACTACAGACATCCCCAGCCATCCCACTTATCAGCCTCTCCTCACGAGAGGCACCTGGAGTCCCTTAAACAGCTCAGCTCTGCTTTAGAAACCAGGATATTCTTCTCCGGCGATGATGCCAGGCTGCAAATATACGCTCTAGCAAGGCTGAGCTCCCGTCCTGTTTGTTATAACCTACTAGATACTGTCATCAAGAATTTACATTATCTGAAGTTAAAAATGAAACAACACAAAACCAGGACAATCCTGTTCACACTACTGCCAGGATGTTAGAGGAGAGAGTTCCCTAGGACCCCAGAATGGTCTCCTCTGAAAAAACAAAACAAAACAAAACAACCATTAATTACAAACAGTTGCCATTTTCAGAATTAAAAAAAAAAACAAAAAACACTTACCATCGCATTTTATTTATGTTTTCTTGTACATCTTGGTTTTTATTTCTATTTTTTATTACATATATATATATATATATCTTGTTTTTGTTTTTGTTTTTGTTTTTGTTTTTTTTGAGACAGAGTTTTGCTCTTGTCGCCCAGGCTGGAGTGCAGTGGCATAATCTTGGCTCACTGCAACCTCTGCCTCCTGGGTTCAAGTGATTCTCCTGCCTCAGCCTCCCGAGTAGCTGGGATTACAGGCACCAGCCACCACACCTGGCTAAGTTTTGTATTTTTAGTAGAGACGGGGTTTTACCATGTTGGCCAGGCTGGTCTCGAACTCCTGACCTCAGGTGATCCACCCACCTCGGCTTCCCAAAGTGCTGGGATTACAGTCGTGAGTCACTGTGCCTGGCCTATTTTATATATTTTTTGAGACAAGGTCTCTCTCTGTCGCCCAGGCTGGAGTGCAGTGACATGATCTCGGCTCACTGCAACCTCTGCCTCCCAGGCTCAAGCAATTCTTCTGCCTCAGCCTCCTGAGTAGCTGGGACTACAGGTGCACAGCACCATGCCCAGCTAATTTTTGTGGGTGTTTTTTTTGTAGAGATGGGGTTTCAACATGTTGGCCAGGCTGAGCTCAGGTGATCTGCCCGCCTTTGTCTCCCAAAGTGCTGGGATTACAGATGAATCATCATGCCTGGCTTATTTTTTTTTTTTTTTTTTTTTTTTGAAAATAGGGTCTCACTGTGTTTCCCAGGCTAGTCTTGAACTCCTGATCTCAAGCCATCCCTCCACCTCAGCCTCCTGAATAGCTGGGATTACAAGAATGAACCACCATGTCCAGTTATCTTGTTTTTTTAAATAAAGTTTTTATGTTGGATTAACCCGAGATTTACAGAAAAGCTACAATGATAGCAGAGAGTTCCCACATACCCTTTATCCATTTTCACTAATGTTGTCATCTTACGTGGCCACGATACCTTTGCCAAGATTAAGAAACCAACATTGGCATATTGCCATTAACTGAACTTCAGACTTTGGATTTCACTGGTTTTTCCATTTGTGTCCTCTTTCTGTTCCACGATTCAATCCAGGGTACCACCTTGCATTTACTCATCACGTCTCCTTGGTCTCCTTTGGGATGTGACAGCTTCTCAATCTTCCCTTGTTTTTCTTGACCTTGATGTTCTTGAGGACTAGTGGTCAGGCATTTTGTAGAATGTTCCCCTATCTGCATTGTTGGAGGCTTTTGTCATCATTCACCTGGGGTTATGGGATTTTGGAAAGGATACCGCTGAGGCGAAGCCCCATTCTCATCAGAGTACATTGGGGGTGTGTGATGGCCACACAACATCACAGATGATGCTAATAGGATCATTTGGTTAAGGTCACATTTGCAAGTTTCTCTCCTGTCAAGTTACTCTTTCCTCCTTTTCTTCAGAATTAAGTCACTAATTCCAGCCCATCCTCAAAATCATGAAGGGTTAAGCTCTACTTCCTAGAGGTGATGTCGTCCACATGTGTTATTTGGAATTCTTCTGTAAGGGAGACGTGCCCCTTCTTTCCCATGTACTTATGTATTGAATCATTTATTTATATCAGTACAGGCTTATGTAGAAAAGAACTATTTTAAACCATTGGCACGATCCTATCCACATGTAAACAGATGCTGATTTACTAAGTGGTTAAGAACTAAGCATTAACTGAAATGCTTCTTAAGGTGACAGCAGGACCAGTCTGGCTGTCCCAGCAGGTTCCAGGCCTCAGCAGGGCCACCCTCTGCACTCTGCTCCTGGGGTCTTGGGGCTGAGTTCTCAGTGGCTGCCTTCACTGCACATCCTGGCCCAGCTGATCTCACATCCTGTGATGTGATTTAACGCTGCCCTGCCCTCACTGGGGGTCCCCAATCTGCCCTCCTTTCTGTTTCTCTTAAGTTAAACTTTTTGGGGGGTCAATTTTAGATTTACAGAAAAGTTGCAAAGATAGTAGCGAGTTCCACTGTATTCCTCCCGCAATGCCAGTTTCTCCCATTGCTGTCATCTTACATTATTCTGCATATTTGTGAAAACTAAGAAATAAGAGATACAGACGCCCAAAGGATGGGCCCTACGTGAGTACCCCAACAAGTTTCATGTTCAGACAGGAGCTGGTCCCAAGAGACACCCATCACAAGAGGCTAACGATTGTGCCCCAGATGCTCTTTAGGTTTAAGGAAGCGCTTCCTAGTTTAATACTTTTTTCAATGAGGAAAAATTGATTTTAATAATTTAGATGCTTCAAAATATCAACCCTCTTAAATAGATATCTGCATTCTTGGATGACATTTACCTTTAATCCAGGACAAATTTCCATTCTCTAAGATCCCGACACTGCTTCCTTTTCTAGTTTTTAATACTTTAATGAACAAATATGTTCCTTTAAGTTATTGTTGCCCTTTTTGGTTTTATAGTCTATAATCATACAGTTATTAGCTTTCATTTTTCAGAATACAGTGATTAAAGATATTTTATTTCCCAAATTCAGTACTACAAACATTTATTAATTACTGCACCTGCTCTACCCTCCACATTAGGTCAAATATTATAGGGGCTAAAAAAGGGTGTAGACCCATGTACAAGAAAGTTAAAACCAAATAGGGGGATGTTTCAAGAGTGATAAACTGACCCTGCCACTTTTCGGTAAAGCCCTTTAGTGACTTCCGATTACTATCGAGATTAAAATAACTCCTTAGCATGCTTTCCAAAGTCCTTCGAACTCTGAGTTTTCTCATTATGGTCCCTCTCTTCTACTTCTTCTTCTTCTTCTTTTGTTTTTTGGAGGCAGAGTCTTGCTCTGTCACCCAGGCTGTAGTGCAGTGGCATGATCTCAGCTCACTGCAAGCTCCTCCCCCTGAGTTCAAGCGATTCTCCTGCCTCAGCCTCCCGAGTAGCTGGGATTACAGGCGCGCCACCACGACTGGCTAATTTTTTGTATTTTTAGTAGAGACGGGGTTTCACCATGTTAGCCAGGCTGGTCTCGAACTCTTGACCTCAGGTGATCCACCCACCTCGGCCTTCCGAAGTGCTAAGATTATAGGCATTAGCCACTGAGTCCTGCCTGGTCCCTTTCATCTTCTGTGTACCAGCCATGGAGAACTTCCTTCAGACCCTTGAACAATGACCCGCCTTATAACGTGTCATCTGGGTCTCAGGGTAGCCGCACTTCTTCAGGGAGCTGCTCCTAGACCTGGGCCAGGTTAGACTCCTCCTGCATGTCCTCTCGGATCTTCCTGGAATTCTCCTTTGCTAACTCAACCCATTTTTATGGTTCCCAGCATTGAGTGCCTACACTCTGGGTGTCTACAAGCTCCCTCCCCCTGGCAGGGGCTCCATGCCTTGTTCTCTGTGGTGTCTCTGGTGCCCAGCAGGGATCCTGGGCCAGTGTGTGGCTTCAAGAAATGTTGTGGGCTGACTGAATGAATGAATGAGTGAATGAATGGATAAATAGACTAAGGGATACGTGGATAAGGAGTATAAACAAAGTGGTTCTTGGAGGTTTCAAAAGAGAAGGAAGGGCATTTAGTTGGAGAGAATGGGCAAGTCCTCAGCGGAGCTCTGGCATCTGCACTGTCTGGCGGGAAGTAAAGGGCTGAGTTGAGAATCCAAGACACTGCTGATGAGAATCAGCACAAGTGTGAGTGTGGAAGCAGGAGGGGAGGGACGGTTTCAGGCAACAGTGTGGAACTATTGAGGCTGAAGTCCAGGAAAGATGTGAAGGAGAAGAGGAAAACCAGACCACATTACGCCAAGGGAGCCTGGTTTACAGGACCAGTGGGAGATGAACATAATAACCAGTTAATAACTATGTTAATTTAAAAAATAATTTAAATTTTTTAAATAGAGATGAGGTCTCACTATGTTGCCCAGGGTGGTCTCAAGCTCCTGAGCTCAAGTGATCCTCCCACCTCAGCCTTTCAGGCTGCTGGAATTACAGGTATGAGGCACCAGAACGGGCCCATTTAGTAGCTATTTTAAAATGGAACACGGCACCTCATGAAATAGTGAGCTTCCCATAACAGCAGACATGTAAGCAAAGACTTGATGACAGTCTGTCCAAAAATATTGTGATGGGCATTCCTACATTGGATCAGAGTTTCAACAAGATAAGAATCCTAAAGTCCTTCCAACTTCAGGTTCCCAGACTCTGCAATCCCATTCTGTTCTGTGGGTCGACAGGAAGAGCTGTAGGTCACTGAGCATGAGGGGAACGTGATGAAACTCAGCTGCAGGAAGGAGGCAGGGGTGTGGTGGCTTCGGGAAGGAAGGGGCTAGGCTACAGCTTGGGGCCGGGGACGGAAATCAGACAGGAGGTATGAGCAGGGCATCATCTTCCTAGGGAGAAGAGAGTGGAACCTATGGATTCCATGGAGAGGGGAAGAGGGTTGAGGGTGGGACGAGGAGGTGCTTCCCTGAAGGCACCTGTGGAGGAAGGAGAGGAGCAGGCTGGGAGAACGGAGGCATGTTAGAGGGGCACAGGGTGCCACGGCCACACGGGCAGCAGGGAGAGCTGCTAACCAAGGGATGTCATTCCCTGGGGTCAGGTCCTGGGGAGCAGGCAGGTGGGTTGCAATGAGATCACGTGCCTTTCTGAAAGCAGTTTCAGGAGAGCTATAGGGGAGAGGTCAGATTAAAGGCAATAAAAAGGAGGGGGCAGGGAGGGTGACTCATTTCTGGAAGCTGAATGGAAAAGAGCAGGAGCTGGAAGAAGCGCAGGAGAGGAAAGGGGAAGGCTACTCCTGTGTAGATGCACAGAGAAGCAGGTGGAATCCGGCGAGGGGAGGCACAGGAGGCAGCGCAGAAGAGTTAACAGCTCGCGAGGTCCCAGAGGAGGGGAAAGTGCTGGGTAAGGGTTGGCTTTGGCAAAGGAGATGCTGGCATCTTCGCTAAGTCTGCAAGGCTAGAAGAGGATGTGGGAATTGGAGGGTAAGGATTTGGGGACTGGAGGGAGGAGGGAGGAAAGCAAGACTCATCTATCTCAATGAAATAGAAGAGGAAGTTATTCTTAAGGGTGAGGCCAGGTGCCTCTGGAGGAGGGGACAGGGTCTGGAAGAGCTTAATAGTGAGCAAGAAATGAATGAAAGAACTACCGAGCATCACTGAGAGCTCGGCTGAAGTGAGCATGGCCTGGGAGTGGACGCAGCAGCAGGGTTTTGTGGCTTTTCCTTGACAGTGCAAGGCAACCAGGGAAGGAGGAGATGAAATAAGTCTCTGGAGGCTTTCCCTGGGTTGGGAGTCATCAGAAAGGAAGGGTGGGGTACAGACATGAATGAGTTCAGGAGACAAGTGATGGGATTGGAAGCTGCAAGAAGGAAGACAGTGCACTCACAGGGTGGAAAGCAGGAAAGGGCATGGCCATGGAGTGGCACCTGCAGCACTGAGTCTGCGGCGACGACAGCCACACAGGTGAGCACTCTCCATCCCAGCGCGGGGACTCCCCAACAGGCTCAGCAGTGGACAGGCACTAGGACTTGGGTGGTGGCAGGGAAGATGGTAAATGCCAAGAGGATGGTCTGCAGGGTGCAGGTAAGCCACATTTTGGGGGATCTCCGAACTATTTGGGGAAGGCGGAATCTGACATGGTCTGGGATTCGCAGTGAGGTTGAAGTCAGGGATGACAATCTTCTAAGAGTTTCATTGTGACTATTTTTATTGCCACGCTGGTGTGGCCTGAGGGATATAGAAAACAATGACCTTGTCGAGGAACTGCTGTGACAGTTAATGTGAGGACATGGGTAAAGCATTCGCCTGGTGTCGGATTCATGGTGGATGCTCTGTAAATATCAGTTTTCTTTCTGCCACGTGTTCAGCATCACACTAGATCTCACAGAGAAACAAAAGAAAGAATACAGCTGGTGCAGTGGCTCACACCTGTAGTCCCATCACTTTGGGAGGCCAAGGAAGGAGGATTGCTTGAGGCGGGGTTGTAGACCAGCCTGGGCAAGATAGCAAGACTCTGTCTCTACAAAACATTTTTAAAACAGCTGGGCCTAATGGTGCACATCTGTGGTCTTAGCTACTTGGGAGGCTAAGGTGGGAGGATCACTTGAGACCAGGTGTTTGAGGCTGCAGTGAGCTATGATGGCACCACTGCAGCCGGCCAACAGAGTGAGACCCTGTCTCTAAAAAAAAGTAATCAATTGTTTTTAAAAAAGAAAAGAACAAGTGGGCTCTGCTTCCATGGGATGCTCACATTCTAGGTGGGAAGAGAAAGCCCAGGTGGAACACCCAGGATGATCCCACAAAGCAGAGAAGGCTTTGCTGTGTCCAACTCGACAGCTGTGGGCAGCAGCCCCAGTCGGCGTGATTATATCACAGTTATATGCCACACCAGGTAAAACTAGGAAGCAGGGAAGGACGAGAGTTCGGCAGAGAGAGGTTGGCAAGGGCACAGTAATTCTCAAGGGCTGCTGGGGCGGATTGATCTGAGGTGGGCCCTGTGAGAGGAAGGTGGAACTTAGCTAAAGCAAATGATGATGTGTGTGCACAGCCAGAGGATTAGAACTGGTCAACATGCAGTTTGTTTTGATACATCGGCATGTATTTAACAGCAATAATCCTAATAATACTGAAGACAATGATGATGGGCAGGTACCGAGTGCTTCCCATGTATCAGATACTGTGCTAAGAGCTCTGTGTGTGCAATTGCACCTCCCAGCAATCCTGGGACATGAATCACTAGGGTTCTTTGGTTGCAAGTAACAGAAACCTTATTCAAGTCAGCTGGAAAATAAAGCTTTATTCTGGCTTGTAGGATAAAGACTTGCTGAAGAGTGGGATCCTCAGGCAGAAAGACCAGGAGGATGAGGAGGGGCAGTGTTTTAAGTAGGAAGACACCAAGGTCCCCCCATAGATGGCTCTCCCATTGACTCCTTTATGTGCTCATCCATAAGCCTGTGAATCTGGGGCCTGTCTATTCCTGGGAACCTCCAGAACTGGCAGGGGCCAGCTGCATTTGGCAAAGGCGCGTGCCTCTGGCAGCAGAAATTCACAAGCTCAGCGGCGCTCACCCAGGGCCGGGCTCCCTCCCAGGATGCCCCGTTACCGGCACACGCTTGCAGCCTTGCCAGTTGTCAGTCTCCCCGGGAGGGCCAGGCATAAACACAGGCTTTGGCTGAGGGGACCTGCTTTCTGAGCTGAGGTTTGTGGCCTTTGGTTTTTGTGTTTTCCCAGTTTGCGTGTCTGTAGTCTTAGCTTGGCCTTCTTCTTTCATTTCCTTTCCACAAGTAAGTACAAGCCTCTCCTGTGTGTCCAGCCACATACAAAGTGCTGGGAACTGGCAGAGAGGAGCCTAGAGTGGGCAGTGCAGCATCCCTCACCCCTCCCTCTCGGGGCAAGCGATTCAGCTGGGGAGACCTGTGTGTTCTGGTATCAGTTGGAAGAAAATCAAGATATGGATAATCCAGTTTCTTACTTGTTCTGCCTTTGGACTCTGGCTTATGGTTCCAGAAGCTCCCTGAAGCTGTTTTTTTTTTTAAATTTTATTTTTAGAGAGATGTTCTTGCTGTGTTGCCCAGGCTGGAGTGTAGTGGCACAATCATGATTCACTGCAGCCTCAAACTTGAGCTCCAGCCATCCTCCTGTTTCGCCTCCTGAGTAGCTGGGATTACAGGTGTAGGCCATTACACCTGGCTAATTTTTAAAATTTTTTGTAGAGAAAGGCTCTCACTATGTTGCCTAGGCTGGTCTTAAACTCCTGGCCTCAAGTGATCCTCCTACCCAGGCCTCCCAAAGTGCTGAAATTACACACATGAGCCACCAGCCCTGGCCAAACTACTGAAGTTTTTGATAAGCCACAACCTAGCTACATTTGAGCAGTTGATCTACTACCCTCACTCCAAAGTAGCTCTATTTGTCTTTTGTAGTTTTGCATTGTTGCATTGAGACATTCTCCAGAGCAAAAGGAAAGTAGGGGCTGGTGGCAGGAGGCGGGACAGAGCAGGGGGCAGGGTGTCACACAGCAGTGAAGACAGTGGGGGCTGTGACAGGAGGTGGGACAGGGCAGGGGGCAGGGTGTCACACAGCAGTGAAGACAGTGGGGGCTGTGACAGGAGGTGGGACAGGGCAGGGGGCAGGGTGTCACACAGCAGCAAAGGTGCTGGATGCTGCCCCCATGCCCATCTCTGGTTTCCTGAAGTCCAAGTTCCAGGATCATTAAGAGTGGCCTCCCCAGACCCCTGCATCGCACACCCTCCTTGTCCCTTGGCCCAACAGACAGGCTGGGGCTAATTACCTCTGCCCCACACATGCTGCATGACCTTGAGGGAAGCATTTGACCTCTCTGGGGCTCTTCCCCTCTCTGTAAAACAGGGTTAATAGCATTGACCCATCTCAGAGAGTTAGCACAGGAGGCATCACTAATAAAACTTGTCATAAAAGCCTTTGTTCCCTCAAGTCTCAGCAGTTCGGCAAAGAGCCTGGAGGCTTGAACAACAGCCCAGAGGAGAGGGGGCTGCTTGGAGAGCAGAGGTTCACTCGGAGCCACAGAGCAGGGAACGAAGTCCTCCACAGCCACACAGCCTGCACCGAGCGCTCCTCCCTTAGGGCTGCACAGAGAGGGACAGGGTGGCTCGGGCCTCTGACGGTGGCCATGCCAATGACCCACACTCAGTACATCTGCAGCATTCACAGGGGAGGTGATATGAGCTTCTCACACTTGCTGTCTGTCAAGTCCAAGAGTCTGTCCAACAACATTCAGTTGGAAGTTAAATGCATGAAAGAAAGGCCAAACTTGGCCGGGAGTTTGTTTTTGTAGGGAGCAATGGTCAGAGAGTACTGAGCTCTGCAGTGAGCGACTGAGCTGACCACAGCTCCCTATGGAAGGCTGGCCTGCACCAGAATTGTGTGTGTGTGCGTGCGTGCAAGTGTGTACATACGTATGCATGTTCATGTATGTGTGTAGGTGTTTTGTGTACTTGTCTGCATGTGGTTTGTATGTATGTGTGTGTGTAAGCATGTGTGTATGCATGTGTATGCATGTATGTATAAGTGTGTGTGTGCAAGGGGATGGCTAGAGGGTACATACATATCCGCATGCCTTATCTCAGGCCTTCGCAGGGTTGTGTCCAGGTCAGTAAAAGCTCCCACAACTCTCGCCCAGCAAACGTTGCTGACTCTGAGATGTGGGCAGTGGATATAGGGGTGTGTGTGCTGGGGTGGTGTGGAGAGAGGCTGCCACTGGTGGGTCAGAGCCCTGCGGTCCCTTCCCCGGAAAGCTGCTGGACAAGCCATTCCATGCTCATAAGCCAAAAATTGTCTATGCTGGTCATCTTTTGATGCTTAAGATTTTAGACATGCCACAAATGTGCCAGAACATGTCTTAGTTTGTGTTTTATATTAATGAAAGCTAGGAAAATCTTTCAAGTTGCATCTTATCAAGAAAGTTTTTCAAAATATGTATTTCAAAGTAGCCCTTTGAATCTTTTCTCACATTTCCAGCTAACACACATGTCGTCTTCCTTGCTACTTTTTCTAGTATTATTAATTGAAATTCACTGGATGAAGCCCAGGACTAAAAGTTGGCAGGCTTCGGAATGCGGTCCCTGAGCCAGACAGTTGTGTTTGAATCTAACAGAGTGCGTACATATCTGCATGCCTTATCTCAGGCTTTCACAGGGTTGTGTCCAAGTCAGTAAAAGCTCCCATGACGCGTGCCCAGCAAACGTTGCTGACTCTGTTTGGCCATGGGGAGGTTACTTGGCCATTCTAAGTCTTCATTTTCTCATCTGTAGAATGGGGGTGCCTCATAGGATTGTCATGAGGATTAAATGACATGTTGCAGAGCTTCCCAGCCTATGTGCTGATGTGCAGTTTACTGTGAAATATGCACCCCTCCAAGGGGACAGGGTCTGCTACAAGGCCCCAGCTACCAGTTTTAGGTGATGAGCAGTGCTGGGAGGGCCAGCTACATAACTTATGGGGCCAAGTGTGAAAAGTAAATGCAGGGTCTCTTGTTAAAAAGTCATTAGGAATTTCAAGTCGGTGACAACAGAGCATTAAACAACTGCAAGGCCCTTCTGAGCACATGGCTCTCTGCGGTCACATCGGTTGCATGCCCACAAAGCCAGCCCTACCTGCAGGTACTGAGCATGACAAGTGACGTAGGCACTGGCTTCGCTGCAGTGTGCTGAGGGGAGTCCTGCAGGCTGAGGTCCTGAAATCTATGACAGCAGCCAGGTGCTGAATGCTCCTCTGTCCCTCCTAGCCAAAGGGCCCAGGGACCACATGGCATTTATGCTCTAGGTGCCCAAGGTACAGGCAGGGGACACAGGTGTCCTGCAGGTAGCCTGGCAGGGGACACAGGTATCCCTGGTATGCCCAGTTCCAGGTGAGAGTCAAAAATTTCTGCCTTGGCTGGGCAATGATGACATACACTTGTAGTCCCAGCTTCTCAGAAGGCTGAGGCAGGCAGATTGCTTGAGCCCAGGAGTTGGAGGCTGTAGTGAGCTATGATTGCTCCACTGCACTCCAGCCTGGGTGACAGAGCGAGACCTTGACTCCAAAAACAAAACAAAACAAACAAACAAAACCTCTGGCTTTGTAAATCAGATGCTTGTCAGTCTGTGGTCCATGTGCCCTTTTAAAGTGTCATCTAAGCGAGCTGCAGGGTGACCACCCCCCCAAAATGCACATACACTCTACAAATTAGAGTTTCATCATGATTTTGAAGATTTTCTTTGAGAAAAGTTTGATGAGGTTCTGCTGCTCATAAGCCAAAAATCACCAACTCTGGTCGCCTTTTCATGCTTAATATTTTATAGATGCCATGAATGTGCCAGAACATGTTTTAGTTTGTACCTTATATTTATGAAAACTAGGAAAGTCTTTTGAGTTTCATCTTATCAAGATAGGTTTTCAAAATATATATTTCAGAGTAGCTCTTTGAATCTTTTCTTACCTTTCCAGCTGATAAATATGTTGCATGTGTAGACATGTCATTTGTATATGGTTTGTTTGGCCTCACCAAGTCTCATGTGGAAATTTGATCCCCAGTGTTGGAAGTGGAGTCAACAGGGAAGTGTTTGGGTCATAAGGGCAGATCTCTCATGAACTGCTCAATGCCATTCTCATGAGTTCTCATCATTTAGCTCCCACTTATAAGTGAGAACATGTGGTATTTGGTTTTCTGTTCCTGCATTAGTTTGCTTAGGATAATGGCCTCCAGCTCCATCCATATTTCTGCAAGGACATGATCTCATTCTTTTTTTTATGACTGTTTAGTATTCCATGGTATATATGTACCATATTTCGTTTATCCAGTCTACTGTTGATAGGCATTTAGGTTGATTCCATGTATTTGCTATTGTGAATAGTGCTGTGGCATAGGTCAGGGAATGAGTGAGTTCTCACCCTTTGTTGTTGAAAGGAGCCTGGCATCTCCCCCTCTCTCTTTTGCCTCCTGTCTTGCCACGTGGTCTGCACACACCTCCTCCCTTCACCTTCCGCCATGAGTGGAAGCAGCCTGAGGTCCTCACCAGGAGCAGAGGCAGGTGCTGTGCTTCTTGTACAGCTTGCAGAACTGTGAGCCAAATAAACCTCTTTTCTGTATAAATCACCCAGCCTTGGGTATTCCTTTATAGCAATGCAAACAGACAAACACAGCCAACATTATTACAAAAATTCCAAAGTTATATTTGCCAGTTAAAGACTTTATGGTTCTTTAGCTATAATTTATTTAGATTATTATTTCAAAGTGTACATTTCTGAATGGTTGTAAAAATGGTATAAAGATTGTGTTACCTATTTGAGTGAACAAAATTTCTCTCCAAGGGTGAACACCAAGAATTCAAGTGATTAACCTTAAGAACATTTGGGTCAGGGATTGTGCATAGCCATTTCTTTTTTCTTTTCTTTTCTTTTTTCTCTTTCTTTCTTTCTTTTTTTTCTTTTTTTTTTTTTTTCTGAGACAGAGACTCTCTCTGTCACCTAGGCTGGAGTGCAGTGGCACCATCTCAGCTTACTGCAACCTCCACCTCCCGGGTTCAAGTGATTCTTGTGTCTCACCCTCCTGAGTAGCTGGGATTACAGGCACCTGCCACAATGCCTGGCCAATTTTTGTACTTTTAGTAGAGATGAACTTTCACCATGTTGGCCAGGCTGGTCTCGAACTCCTGACATCAAGTGATCCACCTACCTTGGCCTCCCAAAGTGCTGGGGTTATAGGCATGAGCCACCGTGCCCGGCCATGCATAGCCATTTCCAGCGTAAAATGTAACATTAAAAAGATATGGTCAAAGAAGCAAGCTCTAGTTTGAAACATTTGGAAGTTTTATACAAGATCAACATTGAATATCTACCCTGTTACTCTGCATTTTATTTTTGTCTTAATTATAAAATGTAAATTGAGTGTAATGGATTGTTTCAGATGGCACACTGGAGGGGCATAGTTTACCCCAGCTTACCCTGGTGTGCCGTATCTCTGGTTTCATTTTCTTTGAGTGCCACAATGTGGAAACGGCTGGGAAGCACAGAACCACAGATGTAACGAGCTTCCTCATGTATAGCAAGCAGTCCATAATATTAATTATGCCATTAATGCATTATTGTCATCATTATTATACAGATAGCATGGATAAAGCTTGGAGCGGATTGTCAGAAATTGTGAGTTGGAGGCATGCTTTTCTCATAAACTACCTAATGACTATAAATGAATCCGTTTATCTTTTTTATGTCTGCTTAAAATGCAGATAATAGGCCGGGCGCGGTGGCTCACGCCTGTAATCCCAGCACTTTGGGAGGCCGAGGCGGGCGGATCACGAGGTCAGGAGATCGAGACCATCCTGGCTAACACGGTGAAACCCCGTCTCCACTAAAAATACAAAAAATTAGCCGGGCGTGGTAGCGGGCGCCTGTAGTCCCAGCTACTCGGGAGGCTGAGGCAGGAGAATGGCGTGAACCTGGGAGGCGGAGCTTGCAGTGAGCCGAGTTCGCGCCACTGCACTCCAGCCTGGGCGACAGAGCAAGACTCCGTCTCAAAAAAAAAAAAAAAAAAAAAAAAAAAAAAAAAAAAAAATGCAGATAATATTGCCCGCTCTTCCTGCCCAACATGTGATGTTATGAGACTCAAATGAGAAACTCTACATCAAAGATCTCTGAGAAATATGAACTATTTTGCTGGTTCTGTTATTTCTCTTTTTCAAACTCAATGCTATCCCATCACAGGTGTCTATTTAAATTTAAATTGATGAGAATGAAATAAGACTGAAATTCAGTTTCTCAGTTGTGTGAGCCACATGCCAAATGCTCAAAGCCGCATGTAGCTGATGGCTACCATGTTGGAAAGTGTGGCTTAACTACTCATTGCCCCTTAATGCACAGTGGTCACCCCCATGTTTCTACTTCCTGCCCCTCTTGTGGATCAGATAGGGAAGATTTAAGTTCTTATATAGTCTTAACCTACAATAGGTATAAAGCATTAAAGATCCTGACCTCTGTCACAGCACTATTCACAATTGCATAGACATGGAATCAACCTAAATGCTTATCAACAGTAGACTGGATAAAGGAAATGTGGTACATATACATCATGGAATACTAAACAGCCATAAAAAAGAATGAGATCCTGTCTTTTGCAGGAACATGGATGGAGCTGGAGGCCATTATCCTAAGCAAATTAATGCAGGAACAGAAAACCACCGCATGTTCTCACTTATAAGTGGGAGCTAAATGATGAGAACTCATGAACACGAAGAAGGGAACAACAGCCACTGGGTTCTACTTGAGGGTGGAGGGTGGGAGGTGGGGAGGATTGAAAAACTAACTATAAGTGGGACGTGGTGGCTTACACTTGTAATCCCAGCACTTTGGGAGGCCGAGGTGGGTGGATCGCTTGAGCTCAGGAGTTCAAGACCAGCCTGGCCAACATGGTGAAAACCCGTCTCTACAAAAACATACAAAAATTAGCCAGGTGTGATGGCATGCACCTGTGGTCCCACCTCCTTGGGAGGCTGAGGTGGGAGGATCACTTGAGCCTAGGAGGTGGAGGTTGCAGTGAGCCTAGATCGTGCCACTGCACTCCAGCCTGGGTGACAGAGTCAGACCTTTGTCTCAAAAAAAAAAAAAAAAAAACCCAAAAACAAAAATAACTAACTATTGAGTACTATGCTTATTACCTGGGTGATGAAGTAATCTGTACAGCAAACTCTCATGACACACAATTTACCTGTATAACAAATCAGCACATGCACCCCTGAACCAAAATAAAAGTTAAAAAATTCTGATCTCTGCTTCCTGTGGTATGGGAAGATGCCACTGCTAGCAGGGTGTGCACCTTGATGGGTTTGCTTTGACTTCCCTGGCCCCTCTTGCCCAGATACTTGGCATTTTCAGGTGGCAGAAGGGCTGGAGAGTTATCAGCAATATTGGTGGAAAAGAAAACTACCAGGTACAGCGAGGGTCAAATCCAGGACTGTGGGCTCCTTGCGTATGCTGTTTTAACCATCCTGACTGCCATCTGATCTTTACTATGACTAAATGTCATTGTCAAACTTTTTATTTAAATAACTCTAATTGACTCTGATTTTTTCACACTGGTTAAATAAATACCAAATGATGGTAGTTCAAAATGATTACCATCCATCCCCCTACCCACACCTAGAATTGGGCATCTGTTACCTAAACTATATGTGAGAACTACTTTGCTGAAGTTTCGGAACGTAATGTGGCTAGCCAATGGATTTTTGGAGTCTGCAAGAGTCATGACTGTTGCTACAAGGACACAGTGGAGAAGAAATATGGGACAAATACTGTGTAGTGCCTTCAACGGTGGTTAAAATATATTTGCGCCACTTCCCTATTTCCTCTAGGACATGTGATTGTGGGCCAGGGTGTATTTGCATGACTGCCTTGAGGGGAATCTTTTCCCTGATCCATTCTGGAACAAAATTGTGTTTCTTTTGGCTGTCAGTTATTAGTCAGTCAAATCTGCTGGGGCAGTTTGAAGAAATGCTGACTTTCTTCATTACCTTTGGAAAAGGCTCAAAATAGAATCATAGACTCCATGAACTCCCAATGACCACATTTTTCTGTTACATACACACAGCAGTTGCAAAGACAGAAGTGACACAGGGCAGGTTACTACATAACTGAAAGTTCTCTTGCTGCTTTTTAAAAATCATGGGTTAGCAATATTTGCTACAGACAAAAATTTGACACATAAGCTTTTTAAAACCTTACTAATGTTTAGAAATCGAAACTGACTTGGATATTATCTTTTAAACATCAAATATTCTTTTTGGTATACCTTTTGCTACAGACAAAATTTGACACATAAGCCTTTTAAAAGCTCAGTAATGTGGTTGGCGCAGTGGCTCACACCTGTAATCCCAACACTTTGGGAGGCCGAGGTGGGCAGATCACCTGAGGTCAGGAGTTTGAGACCAGCCTGACCAACATGGTGAAACCCCGTCTTTACTAAAAATACAAAATTAGCCAGGCATGGTGGCGGGTGCCTGTAATCCCAGTTACTTGGGAGGCTGAACCAGGAGAATCTCTTGAACCCGGGAGGCGGAGGTTGCAGTGAGCAGAGATCTTGCCACTGCACTCCAGCCTAGGTGACAAGAATAAAACTCTGTCTAAAAAAAAAAAAAAAAGCTCAGTAATGTTTAGAAATAAAAACTGCCTTGGATATATATGTTTTAAATGCCAAATATACCTTTAAGGAATCATAGATTTAGAAAAATTACCGATTCTCCTCTTATCTTTCTAACTGACATCAATTAGGTTGACAGAAAGCACAAACATTTTAACATGAATCCCGGAAGCCATTATTTCATAATACAATGTATCGTGACCCATTGTTGGGGTGTAGAATTGCTGATCTAAAAAACAGTTCAACTCTTTCAGCCTAGTTCTGCTAGTTGTTTAGGTCTGACATACCCTTTTAATTTCTTTATGATCCGGTTTTTCATTTGCTAAATGGGAATCATTCTTCCTTCTGTAACTTATGTGGCTATTGTGAAGTCAAGATGGGATAATAGATGAAAAAGTGAAGTGCTCTGCCAACATTAGAACCCACAACCCACACACAACTTAAGTTTATTCTCAATTTTCTGTGCTTTGCAATGTCACCCATTCTTCTTGGTTACTGAACAAATAAGGATCTAAGAAGTGGTTCTTTCTGTCACCGGTATGTGGCTGTGTCTGTGTTTTATCTGGAGAAGCTGGAGAGTGTGGAAAGAACAGTAGCTGAGGCGATGCCAGTACCTTCTCATTCCCATGATGAAAAGCTTGTACTGGCTCTTGACTTCATAGAGCCTCTACCCGCAACGTCACCCACTGAATGGTGGAGAGAGTTGAGGAACTTGGTGGGCAGGCAAACTCCACACTTAGTGCTGTCTGAGGACTCGGCTCTCCAAGGTAGTAACATGCTGGCAACAGATGTCTTGATAAGAAGGAGTTGGGTGCAATGGCCCATGGCTGTAATCCCAGCACTTTGGGAGGTTGAGGCAGGAGGATCACTTAAGCCCAGGAGTTCAAGACCAGTCTGGGCCACATAGTGAGATCCTGTCTTTACTTAAAAAAAAAAAAAAAAAAGTCTGGGTGTCGTGGCTTATGCCTGCAATTCCAGCACTTTGGGAGGCTAAGGCAGGTGGATCACTTGAGGTCAGGAGTTCGAGACCAGCCTGGCCAATGTTGTGAAACCCCATCTCTACTAAAATTATAAAAATTAGCTGGGTATGGTGATGTGACCCTGTAATCCCAGCTACTCGGGAGGCTGAGGCAGGAGACTTGCTTGAACCCGGGAAGTGGAGGTTGTAGTAAGCCGAGATCGCACTACTGCACTCTAGCCTAGGCAACAGTGCAAGACTCCTTTACAAAAAAAAAAAAAAAAAAGAGAGAGAGAGAGTTTTGGATGAGTGTGAAGGCCCTGCCCTGCCCTTCCTTTTCTGTCTTTTGCATAAATCTTTCCATTCTTGAGGGTCCCACAGCTCACACGGCACTCAGGAGCATGAGAATATCGCAGAGTGATGCCCCACAGACTCACTGGGGAGCCCACTCTATCAAACACACCCTGGGCACAGTTACCTATTACTCTGCATTTCAAACCAGATAAATAAAATTGAGGAAGTTGTGCTCCTCCCTCTGGTTTTGATAGAGCCACTCACTGGGGGAACATGCCAATCTGCTCCCCTCCTCACTCTCTACATTGACTTTATTTCCTTGCTACAATCTTGCTGTACTCATTTCCTGTGGGTGCCATAAAAAAAGTACCACACTGGTGGCTTATGCAGCAGAAATGTACTGTCTGGAACATATTGGCTGGAAGTCCAAGATCGAGAAATTGGCAGGGCTGGTTCCTTCTGAGGTCTGGGGGAGAATCTGTTCAGTGCCTCCTGCCTGGCTTCTGGCAGTTGCTGGCAGTCCTTGGTGTTTCTTGGCTTGCAGAAGCACCACTCTGCTCTTGCCCTCATCTTTGCATGGCATTCTCCCTGTGTTTGTGTGCTTCTCAGTGTCTACATTTCTTTCCTTTATTTGTAAGGACATCAGCCATATTGGATTGGGGCCCACCCCAATGATCTTACTTTCATTACATCTGCAAAGGCCATATTTTGAAATAAGGCCACATTCTGAGATACTAGGGATTTAGACATTCGCCACGTCAGGAAGTGGGGCAGGGGAGTCAAAATTCAACCCATAACACTTGTCTTTAACCAAATAATGTTTATTAGGAACAAGGGTATGAGAGGGTTAAAAAAAAAAAAGAAAAGGGAAGAGATGAGGAATAAGGCTGAGGCCGAGGAATATGTGGAAGAGAAGTGGTTATCTCCAAAGGAAGTTTGAAGAAAGAGATACAAACAGGATAACTGCCCAAGGGCAGGGTTAGGGCATTTTTTTTTTTTTTCCAGATAGGGCCTTGCCCTGTCACCCAGGCTAAAGTTCAGTGGCACAATCATAGCTCACTGCAGTCTAGAAACCCTGGGTTCAAGAGATCCTCTAGCCCAGGGGTGTGCAATCTTTTGGCTTCCCTGGGCCACACATAACATGCACTAATGGCAATGATAGCTAATAAGCTAAAAAAAATTGCAAAAAAAAAAAAAATCTCAAAAAGTTTTAAGAAAGCTTATGAATTTGTGTTGGGCTGCTTTCAAAGCTGTCCTGGGCTGCATGTGGCCTATGGGCCACTGGTTAGACAAGCTTGCTCTAGCCTTTACCTCTCTAGTAGCTGGGACTACGGGTATGCGCCACCATACCTTGGCTAATTTTAAAATATATTTGTAGAGATGAGGTCCAGCTATGTTGCCCAGGCTGGTCTTGAACACCTGGCCTCAAGCAATCTTCCTGCCTGGGCCTCCCAAAGTGCTGCTATTATAGGATTATAGGTGTGACAGGTGATTATATGTGTCCCTGCCATCCCCCTACTCCTGGCCTCTGGCGTGTTTTCTCTTAGAGGATATGCTAATAAACTTCCCCTGGCAATTCCCAGTAGAACAGGAGGAGGAAGAATTTGTGCTTTCTTGGCAGGGAAGCTGTGACCCAGGCTGCAGTTGATACTGTGGTGTGCCATCCTTCAAGCTCCCAAATGCTTGGAGTGTTGGCTGCTGGTAGCTCACAGCTATCCCCTTCTTAGTGAATTATGCTTGGTCAAAGGAAGCCACCTTACCCAAGTGTGTGCCTCCTCCCCTGCACCCCATGACTGGTTTATGTGAAACTACAAAGGCCAGGCCCCTTGTTTTAGTTCAGGACCTCTATGAAGGGTCATCCCAGCTCCAGCACTCCTTGAAGCAGTTCAACTTCTCTTGTCACCCAAGTCTACTTCTCTTGCTTCTTCACCAGCTTTGGTTTTGAGAGCACTTCCCAACGGAGTGCTTGTTCTCACCATTCTTAGAGTCCCAGGGTCTGTTTCTCTGGGAACCCAATGTGTAACATTTGGTACTGGGAGAGGTCCTAGGAAAAAACCCCTAAAAACAGGGCTTGAGAGGTAGGTAGATCACCTGCTGGAAGGCTGGCAGTGAGGACCATAATGTTTGTGGCAGGTGGAGTATGGAGAGTCCCCGTCCTATTGCAGTTATACAATTGCTAATTTTTCTGGTAGGAAAAATGGTGAGAGCAATGTTACTGGTGGGTGAACCAATGTCTTAGCAGGCTTCAGCTGCAATAACAAAATACCATAGACTGGGTGGTTTAAGCAACAAACAATTATTTCTCATGGTTCTGGAGGGTGGAAGTCTGAGATCAGGGTGCCAGCATGGTCCGTGTCTAGTGAGGGCTCCTTTTTTGGTTTACAGATGGCTGCCTTCTTGCTGTGTCCTCACATAGTGGTGGTGAGAGAAGCACTCTCTGGCTTCTTTTTATAAGAAAACTAATCCTACCACGAGGACTCCACTCACATGATTCCCTGTAAACCTCATTATCTCCCCAAAGCCCCATCTCCAAATACCATCGCATTGGGAATTAGGGCTTCAACATACGAATTTAGGAGTGGGTAGTGGGACACAAATATTCAGTCCATAACAGTGAGTCCATTACAAGGTCTGCAGAAGTGGATCACTGTTGCTGAGGGCAAAAGAGGCCTTAGAGAAGACCATGAAAGCCTGAGGGAAATTCATCACCAGCTAAAGGCTAAGTGCAGAAGCCAGAGGGCCTCTGGCAGCAAATCAAGAGACACTCATATCCTGCAGATGCCCAGGACAGATCCAGATGTCCAGGGCCCTGATTGGCTGAAATGACACCTTGAGAGATGGAATGACAATGTCTTCACTTGAATGTCTTGAATATCCAGAGCCCCTTGAACATTCTGGGCCTGAAGAAGTGGCCCACTCCTCCCTGTTAGAAGACAGCACTTTCCAATGGCTTGAAGATAATGCACAGGCCTCTAGACCCTTCAAGACAACCCATGCCCGTATTGGTCCACTTTCACACTGCTATAAAGAATACCTGAGACTGGGTAATTTATAAAGATGTTTAATTGACTTACAGATCCACATGACTGGGGAGGCCTCAGGAAACTTACAATCATGGCAGAAGTTGAAGAAGAAGCAGGCACCTTCTTCACAAGGCATCAGGAGAGAGAGGAAGGAGGAACTACCAAACACTTATAAAACCATCATATCTCATGAGAACTATCATGAGAACAGCATGAGAGAAACGGCCCCCATGATCCAATCACCTCCCACAAGGTTCCTCCCTTGACACATGGGATTACAATTCAAGATGAGATTTGGGTGGGGACACAGAGACGAACCATACCATGTCCCTTTCAGGCTCTGAGGCCACCTCCAGTTATGACCACCAGACTAATAACAAAGGTCAGGTCCCAACATTACCTGGCCAGGGAAGTGCTGGACCCACTAAGAGAGGAAGAGGACTGTGCCCCAAAGGACCCACTAAGATAGGAAGAGGACTGTTCCCCAAAGGGATTGATGGAACTTGCAAAAATGTTCTAGCAAGAGCCAGGAGAGACTGTAGGGGGATGGGTCCTGAGGATGCCAGATGTAGAGGGGGCAGAACATCAAGTTGGGTAAAGGGAGCCTGTGGATATGGGACATGCTGCATTACTAAACCTTAGCAAGGACCCTGGCACCTCAGGACTCTGGGATCCTAGGAGATGTTGCTAACACACTAAGGATGATTTGGAGAAACTTGTATACAAGCTTAGTGTCAGCCATTAGTGTCGCTTAGTGGCTGACACTAAATGAATTAGAAATATCAGAATTTTCATGAAAGACAGAAAAGAAGGGCTCAAAGATTTCAGTTAAGTGAGAATGCTACCTACAGCTGGGAAACACCAGCCAACTGTTTTCCTCAGGAGAACCCAGAGGACACTCTGTTCATGAGAGCAACAAGAAATGAGCTGGGCAGAGGGGCACCAACATCATTGAGAAATTCAGGAGTGGCTGTCCTGTGCAGGCCAGGGCAGATGGCAGGAGATGCTGTTGGGCGACTGGGCTTCCATAGCAATGGGGGTGATAGGATCCCTAAACAACAGATACCAAGTGGAAGCAGTTAGCCATTAGAGGCAATGTTGTGGCAATTACTATACCAAGGAGCTAAATCAGAGTGGCAGCCAGTGGCTTGATGAGGGAGAGCTACAGAGACAGCTAATAGAACATGATGTTATACAGAGGAGCCAAAGATGGCCCCTGTAGGTTGGCCCTACGTTGTTTGCTTCTTTGCACCAGGCTGGGACCATTAGCTCAAAAGCCTGCCAAACTCAAATTTTTTTAAATTCAAAGCATCCTGTTGCTTTAAATAGAGAACCAGTAAGTAGATTTTTAGCTATTTACAGGCTGTCTGCTTTGCCTACCTTGCAAAATATCTGTATCCAATGTTTGCTAGCCATAGATAAGACAAGCCCTGGGGTTATAAAAGACCCTAAGCCACTGCTGCCACTGGGAGCTCTCCAATCAGGACTCCCTGAGTGACATTGCCTAGACACATGAGGCTTCTCTGCCACTCCCCTTTCCCTCCTGAATTCTTTTGCCTTCTTCTCCTTCTGCATGGCCCCTTGTTTCTGGAAGGTTTCATTCTGGGAAGGGCTTCCCTTTGCACACAATCCTATCAAAGTGTTGCTGAAATCAAGTTCATTGTGTGCTACTATCACCTAGTGGTCATATCTCTGTCTCTTATCAGCCTCCAAATCCCTGAATTCACAGTGGGGATCCCTAGGGCCAAGATAGATGAGTAGCCAACAAGGGTACTGTTCAACCTGCAGAATAAACAGAAACCAAGGAGAGGAGATTGGAGGCTGAGAGCAGCCATCCAGATGGAAGTCATGCTCCTTGTCCAGTTTCTAGACCTGAGCCAATTTTCAGACCTACTGACTGAACCTGTTGAGGAAGGGAACCTACTGACTGAAACAGAGGAAGGGTCCTCAGAGGAAGAGACCCTGCAACTCTCTGACAAGTGTATAATTACGGCCAAAGTCCTCTAAGATCTATGGCCATTTACATGAGTGTTCCCTGGGGAAGGGTGACAATTCAGATATTTGGAGGATTGTTGGACACAGGTTCCAAGTTGGCATTGACTGGGTGCCCCAGGTGTCAGTATGGACCCCCTGTTAGCAAGAGGGGCCTGGTAATGTGTGGAGCCTGGTAATGTGTGGAGTTCTGTCCTAGGTGTGGCTCACAGTGGCTCACCATCATCCATCTGGTGTCACCTCCCTTGCCTCTGGATGTTTGATGAGAATGGACATATTTAGGAGCTGGAAGAACTCCCACACTGGTTCCCTGGCCTGTGGGGGAGAGGTATGGCAGTATGTATGCTTGGGAAAAAGCCAAACAGCAGCCTCTGAAGTCCCACATTTCCTCTGGCCAAGAGAGCAAATCTAAACAAAGATCACATCCTGGGTTGGGAGGAGAGAGTAATGCCATCCTTAAAGAGCTAAAGGATAAAAGGATGGTGGTCCCCATTGCATCCCTAGATAATTGCATCAGCCCAGCTCCTACAGAAACCAGACACCCTTTGGGATGAATATGGGCAATCACACACTAAAAGAGTAGCCCCAGTTCCAGCTGCTGCACTGGACAGAGTATAATGTCTTTGCTAGAGCACTTTAAGATAGCCTCAGCCCTAGTATGTAGCTATTAATCTGGCAAATACTCTTTTCTCCATTGCCATTAGAAAGGAGGATCAGGAACAATTCACATTCATATGGGACAAGCAGTATATCCATTAACAGTAGTGCTCCAGGGTTATGTTTCTCACTCTCTGTCATATGTAGGCTGAAGAGACCTGGACAATCTAGACATCCCTGCAAATATCACATTGGCCAACTATATTAATGACTTCACATTCATCAGACAGATGAACAAGATGTGGCAAGTGAGTTGAAGGCCTTCATGAGACACATGTTCTAGAGGGTGGGAGATAAACCCAACAAAGATTCAGAGACCTGCCACAATAGGTAAGTTTTTAAGGGTCCAGTGATCTGGAGCACAATGGAACATCTTCAAAGTAAAGCACAGATTGTTGCATCTTGCACCTCCTACCACTAAGAAGGAAGCACAATGCCTGGTGGGCCTCAAGGTCTGAAAGCAGCATATTCCACACTGGGGAATACCACTCTCCCACCAGCTGTAACTCTGGAGTACCCAGAACTGGAAAGAGCTCTATAGCAGGTCCAGGCTGAGGTTCAAGCTATGCTGATAATTGGGCTTTATAATCCAACAGACCCTATGGAATTAGAGGTGTCTGTGGAGTCAAAAGTTGCCACATGATGTTTATGGAATCTCAAATAAAAGAATCACAATACAGACCCTTAGAGTTTAGGAGTGAGGTCAATGCCATCTATAGCAGGGAATTATGTGTTTGAGAAACAATTTATAGAAAGTTTCTAGACCCTAGAGAGATGAAGCAACTGTCCATGACACATGAAGTGATCCTTCAGGCAGACTGCCTGTTATGAGCTTGGTTCTGTTAGACCAAATCATATATCTGGAGAGACCCGCAGCACCATATTTTGAGATGGAAGTAGTACATCCAGGGAGGCCCAAACAAAGTCAGAGCATCAGAAAGCTGCATGGGCCAATGGCCCAAATCTCCAAACCTCCACTGAACTCACCACTGTTTTTGTATCATTGCCTCTCCTGAACTCATGCCTCTGGCTGCATGAGGTTGGGTGATTCCTTATGACCAGTTGATTGGGGAGGAAAAAGGCCAGGTGTGGCTCACAGATGGATCAGCATGGCATGTGGTACAAGCCAAAAATGGACTGCAGCTTCCTTACAGCCCCACTCAGGATTGGCCCTAAATGACTGGCAGGAGAAATCCTCTCAACAGAAAATGCTGTGAGCAGTGCACCTGGGCATCCATTTCGTGTGTAGAAAAAAGGAGGTCCTTAAAAGAAGAATAGGCCAGGCATGGTGGCTCACGCCTGTAATCCCAGCACTTTGGGAGGCCAAGGCAGGTGGATCAAGAGGTCAGGAGATCGAGACCATCCTGGCTAACATGGTGAAACCCTGTCTCTACTAAAAATACAAAAAAATTAGCTGGGCATGGTGGCGGGTGCCTGTAGTCCCAGCTACTTGGGAGGCTGAGGTAGGAGAATGGTGTGAACCCGGGAGGCAGAGCTTTCAGTGAGCCAAGATCGCGCCACTGCACTCCAGCCTGGGCGACCAAGCAAGACTCCGTCTCAAAAAAAAAAAAAAGAATATATATGGACTTGTAGGCAGAAGGAACTGGCTGGTTTCTCAGAAGCTTGGGAGGAGAAAGATTGAGAACAAAGAGTGCTGGGAAAGAGGCCTGTGGTTGGACCTAATGGAGTGGGTATGAAAGGTGAAGATCCCTGGATCACACGTGAATGCACACCTGAGAAAATCTTCCTGGAAAGAGGGACTGAACAACCAAGCAGATGTGACGACTCAGCCAGTTGTCATCAACCAGCCTCTGTATTCAGCCCCCACAGGGCTTACACAATGGGTACATGAACTGTGTGGCCATTGTGGAAGAGATGCATGGGCCCAATAGCATAAGTGTCCACTCATGAAGGTTGACCTAGCCACTGCCACTGCCGGATGTCCCACCTGCCAGCAACAGACACCCACACTGAGCCTCCAGTACAGCAGCAGCCCTCAAGCAGACCAAACTGCCACTTGGTAGAAAATGGCCAGTGATTCATCTTGACTAGAAGGAACACATAATTGGGGTATGGATTTGCCTTTCCTGCCTGTACTGCTAAAACCAGCACAGCTCTCTGATTGTTTACAGAGTATTGATCCACCAACACAGGATCCTGCAAAACATCACATCTGACCAGGGACTTACTTTCCAATAAAGTAGGCATGGCAGTGGGTGCCTGAGCATGGAACCCACTGGCCCTGTTGCATATTCCACCATCCAGAGCTGCTGGCCTTATAGAGTGATTAAGGTGCCATCCTCCAGGACTCAGTATGCCCTCTAATCAATGACCATTATGTGGTGCTACGTTCCCAATAGATAGAACACATGGGGCTGGAAAACATGGCATGGAAGCAGGAGTGGCCCCATGGTCTTCATTCCCAGTGACCCCTGTGAGGAACTTAAGCTTCTTTTCTCTGAAACTCTAGGTGGGCCTAGAGGTCCTGGTTTCTAGAGAAGGAAATACTTCCACCAAGAGACATAGCAAGAATCCCTTTAAACTTTAAGCTATTGCTACTGTGAGACTATTCTAGGCTTCTTGTGCTAAGAGACCACCAGCCAAATAAAGGTGTCATCATCCTGACCTGCATGGTTGCCCCTGATCACTGGGAGCACGTGGGTTTGCTGTTATGTAACGGAGAAGGAGGAATGTATTGGCTCCCAGGTGATAAATGGGGGTGATTTCTTGGTACCTCCCTGCCCAATTCTGATGGCAACTGGAAAAGTGCAGCAGCCACAGTCTGAGAGCATGGTCTCCAGAGGCTCAAACTTCTCATGGATGACATTCTGAGTCACTCACTAGGTAAGTGGGCAACTCTGACCTGCAGAAATTTTTTTTCTTTTTTTTTTTTTGAGACGGAGTTTTGCTCTTGTTGCCCAGACTAGAGTGCAATGGTGCAATCTCGGCTCATTGCAATCTCTGCCTCCCAGGTTCAAGTGATTCTCCTGCCTCAGCCTCCCAAGAAGCTGGGATTACAAGCATGTGCCACCATGTCTGGCTAATTTTATATTTTTAGTAGAAATGGGGTTTCACCATGGTCAGGCTGGTCTCAAACTCCTGACCTCAAGTGATCCACCTGCCTTGGCCTCCCAAAGTGATGGGATTAGAAATGTTATTTGAGGGTGGAGGGAGCCTAGAATGGAGGGAGATGATGTGTGTCAGTTGTAGCCTTGAGACCAGCCATAGCAGCAGGCCTATCGTTTGACTCATTCCTCTTCTTTCTATGTTTCCCTTGAAAAGGAGACCATTCTGAATCCCAGAATTGGGGGGAACTTGCTCCATGAGAGAGGTAATTGAGCAGCACAAGGGGTGGACTGTAGTGGATACTTTAGTAGGCCCTCCCAATGCTCCTTTGGGACCCTAGCACTCATTGCTCCAGGTGCTGGGTGTGTTGGCTGTTGAAGGTCTGCAGCTGCCTCCCTAGGAGGGAACTGACCTCCATGAAAGGAGGCTGCCTCACCCAGGGTTAAGCTGCCTTCTCCTGGTCAGCTCACATCCTGTGACCAGTTGATGCAAGAGTACAAAGGCCTAGGCTTCTTGCCTTGATTTGGAATTTCACTGCAGGTCCATCCCCATTTCAGTTTTCTCTGGCCCATCACAGTTAACTTCTTCCTCTGCCCAACCTGACTTCTCTCATTCCCTCTTATTTACTGTTGACAAGAGCAGTCCACAGTAAACTTCCTGCATGCCAGTCTGTGGCTCTGAGTTGGTTTCCCAGGGAATCCAGGCATATTGTTATTATTCTTTTATTTTTATTTTTGAGACAGAGTCTCGCTCTGTTGTCCAGGCTGGAGTGCAGTAGTGTGATCTCGGATCACTGCAACCTCCACCTCCTAGGGTCAAGCAATTCTCCTGCCTCAGTCTCCCGAGTAGCTGGGATTACAGGTGTGCACCACCATGCCCAGCTAATTTTCGTATTTTTAGTAGAGACAGGGTTTCACCATGTGGGCCAGATTGGTCTTGAATTCCTGACCTCAAGTGATCCACCCACCTCGGCCTCCTGAATGCTGTGGTTACAGGCGTGAGCCACTGTGCCCAGCTGAGGCATATTTTTTCTCTATCATTCTTTCACCCCATCACTTCTCTTTCTTCTCTGTTTCCCTATGCATAGGGTGATCACATATCCTGGTTTTCTGGATATGTTTTCACATGTCCTGTTTTACTTCTGTTACTCTGTTGACCCACCTGGCCAATATCTCCTTTCATTCTCAAAAGGATCCTGATTTAGACTATAAATTATGTGACTATCCTACTAATTCATCTTTTCATCACAGATGTATTCTTTATACTTACTACATTTTACTAGGTGCTGGGAATACAGAGTTGAATATGAGATTCCAATCCTCTGAGACCATGCTGGAAATTCCTGTTGAAATTTCTAAAAGAATATAATTTCTAAAAGCCCATTATTGCTGGAAACTAGAGAAAGGTGCCATTCTCAAATCATAAACTTCAAGCAATTTCTCCAAGACATATTACAGGCACAAATCAATGAAGGGGAGGGTCTGCCTAGACAGGTGTTTCCTTTGCTTCATTTCATGCATTTTCTACAGATGAGGAGCTACCCAGGGACCAGTGGGAGTCACTCCACCAGCATGCCCTAACTCAGAGCAGACGGACCTGGAGATGGCATGGGGAGCTGAGTTCTACCTGTGCCTCCCAGCTGTGCACTGGGCACAGGGAGAGGCTCAGGGTGAGGGCCTACTCTGACACACATAATATTATCTGTTTGGGATGTATCCTAAACACGGTATGGGTGCTACAGAGATTGACCCTAAGGAGGGCAGAGGAACCCTAAATAAAATATCACTGTTGCAGTTAACATTAGGTTGTCCTAAGAAATATAAAGATAAAACTCTCAGACATGGGCTGGGCATGGTGGCTCATGCCCGTAATCCCAGCACTTTGGGAGGCTGAGGCGGGTGGATCACCTGAGGTCAGGAGTCCTAGACCAGCCTGGCTAACATGGTGACACCCTGTCTCTACTAAAAATACAAAAATTAGCTGGGCATGGTGGTGCACACCTGTAGTCCCAGCTACTCGGGAGGCTAAGGTATGAGAATCACTTGAACCTGAGAGGCAGAGGTTGCAGTGAGTAGAGATTGAGCCACTGCACTCCACTTTGGGCAACAGAGACTCCATCTCAAAAAAAAAAAACAAAACCCTCCGACATGAAGATGAAGCTCCCTGGTACGGCTGCTTGTAGTTGTAGCTGCCTTCCTGTTCTCCATAGCCCATTGGAGCTTAAATCTAGAGAAGTAAAATGCACAATAACCTAAAGCTTCTGATTCTTTTTTCATTAAGGCCTGGAGGATCTGAATAAAAATCCATCTGGGACTCAGTCTCAACTCCCATTACCTGAAAAACAATAAAAAATTTCTAAACTATATCATCATTATGTTTTATACATGAAAACAGTGAAGCATGCTGATGTTAAGTAGCTCACCCCAAATATTCAAATTCACTCCCCTCTGTAGGAAGAGCACTGAATATGTAAAGTCCTTAGACATAGAAAGAGAATTGGCAGTTTAAAGAAAGAGATCATTTATGAACCATTGTAGAACTACTGGGAAAATAACACTTTAAACAACTTAAATTGTCATTTCAATGAGAGTAAAAATACTGGGAATTAACACTTAAAGATTCTAAACAATTCTTGGGAAGTTTTACCAAACAGAACTGTAATGGAGGCAGTGATATTGTTGTAAAAAATGATAATATCCACATGTCATGTCCAAGAAACTTCTCAAATACTGAGAAATATAATTTTTAAAAGCCCATTATTGCTGGAAACTAGACAGAGGTGCTATTCTCATATAATAAACTTTAAGGAATTTCTCTAAGACATATTACAGGCGTGAGTGGATGGAGGGGAAGGTTCATCCATACAGTCTTCAGTTCTATCTAGAAGAGCTGAAGACTATGTAGGCTGTTGTTAAAGTACCCTTTCTGAAAAAATTCTTACAGGCTCATGTCAAAGCTTTATTTCAGATTTGCCCTGGGGAAAGAAGGTCCTGAGCCAGCCATTGCAGATTTTTTTCTTTGAAGAAGAGGTTGTAGAAAAATACAATAAGGCAGTGCCAGTTAATGTTATCAGACTCTTCTCAAGACTGATAGCTTCTCAGAAGATGCTCTTGAGCTCAATAAAGTCTACCAAAAAATCACACAAGGATGCTAATTATTTCCCAGAAGGAATTATAAATTATATCACATACATAAAGAAAATTGTGTCCCAGACCATATTTGGGACAATTTTCTTTCTTGCCATGCTACAAGGCATTTGGTGGTATAATAGTTCAGTTATAGCTCATTTAATGGAGAAAACAGAATCTGGACCACTATTTTAGACAATGTCACAAGTTAATCTCATATGCATGGGATTAAACATGTGGATGTAAAAGACGAAATTAGAAGTGTTGGATTTTTTTGTGTAATTTTGAGGTGTAGAAAGACTTCTTAAGTAGGACTCCAAAGCACAAAAGTGGACGGAATTGACCAGATAAAAATAAAGCATTGCTAATCAGCAGAGGACAACACTGACCAAGTTATAGACAAATGACAGATTAAGAGATAATATCTGTAACATCTAAAACTGACAATTAACATCTAAACATATAAAATCCTTCCGCCAATCATCAACATCAACAGCAGCAGAAGCAGCAGCAACAACCATCTCCAAGGCTGAAAATCCAGTGGAAAAATGCTATCAATAAGTGGTTAATTGGTGGGGGATCCAAATGGTTAAAAAACGTTTGAAGAGATGCTCAACTTCACCAGCAAGCAAAGAAATGCACATTAAAACAACAGCAAGATATATCTTTATACCCATCAGATTTGCCAAAATTACAAAGTCAGATAATACCAAGTTTCTGGTGCCCTGTTGATGGGAGTATAAATTAGAAAAGTCTGGAGGAATAAAAATAAAACAGGACATTTAGGTTGGTTCCAAGTCCATCGGGGGGTGGGTGGCTAGGGGAGGGATAACGTTAGGAGAAACACCTAATGTAGGTGGTGGGTTGATGGGTGCAGCAAACCACCATGGCACATGTATACCTATGTAACAAAACTGCACGTTTTGCACATATAACCCACAACTTAAAGTATTAAAAATAAATAAATAAAACAGGATGCAAAATGAAAATATTCAACTCTGGCAATGGGAAAAAATTGTTTCAGATACAGAAAATTAAAGTTATAGCAGAATACAAGGTACAGCTCTATGGTAATGTATTTAAAAATATTAATGATATAGATTATTTTATATGAGAATAAAAATTATCCAAATATACTCAGTAAGTGATAGAAAACCTGAATAAATCATTAACCATCAAATAAATTAGATAATTTATCAAAGCCTTTATGGGAAAGTTTTGTTAATTTTTTTTTAATAGAGAATGGGGCGGGGGGGGGCGGGGGGTTCTTGCTATGTTGACCAGGCTGGTCTCGAACTCTTGGTCTCAAGTGATCCTCCCATCTCGGCTTCCCAAAGTGCTAGGATTACAGGTGTGAGCCACTGTGCCTGGCCAAGTTCTGTTAATTTAAAGAAAATATAGATCCTATGCTATTTAAACTAAACTTGTATATTTAAAAAATCATAGAAATTATTTTTACAGAGCTTATATAACCCTGATACCAAAATCTGATGTGCTAGTTGGAGATTGGCATAAGAAATAGAAAATCTTCCAAACATCATAGAAAAAGAGATTTAAAAAAGGGGGTGTGGAGTTTGTAAAATTGTTGGAAGAGTTGGAGAGGCAAACTTCAAGCAGGGCCTTCTAAAATGATCCACAGAACACCAAAGAAGTAAATCTCCAGGACAGAAAGGCACAGAAGAGGAGGTGAGAATAAATGATGGATGTCAGGTGAGTAAATACACAACACACCTGCAAAGACAGAATTAACATGAGAAAATTGCAAATCAATCATCATCTTTTCCCTGGAGTATAAATTTCTCAGGGGTGTGGACTTGGTGTCATTTACCATGGTGTCCCTGGTAAGGTGAGTGTCTGATAAATTTGTAATGGATGCATAAATGATTAAATGACCATGTTGGGTTTACTATAGAAATTCAAAAATATGTCATTATTAGTAAATATATTAATTAATAACAATAATAGAAAGATGAGGAAAAGTCTATAATCACCCTAATAAGTGCTAACAATATATTTGATACAATTCAACATCTATTTATAATCAAAGTTCTCAGTAACCTGAGATAAATCTGTACTTTATAATATCAGACACCAATCATCAACTTAATAACACATTATAAAAATATCCATAATATTCAGACACAATATAAAGTGTATCTCTGATACTTCTACTCTTTGCCATTGTATTCTAATACAATGAAACTAAACAGGTAAACTAAACAGGTAAAATAAATCAGGTTTACTTTACTAGAAAGAAAAAGACCAAATTATCATTAAGTAGGTGATATAATTGTCTACTTGGAAAGTCTAACTGAATCAATTAAGAAACTAGGACAACTAATAAGAGCTAAGAAAGATATCTCTGTGTGTAATAAATGAACAAGTTCCCCATATTTCAGCAATAATCAGGAACTACAGTAGAAAAAAAATACAAACTACCTAGGAATAATTCAAACAAAATTTGTGGTGGACCTATATGAATAAACTACAGGCTTTTTTTTTAAATTTATTTTTATTTTTTTACTTGAGACATGCTTTCACGATGTTGTCCTGGCTGTTCTTGAACTCCTGGGCTCAAGCAATCCTCCTGCATTTGACCTCCCAAAGTGCTAGGATTACAGACATCAGCCACCAAGACCAGCCAATACTACAAGGTTTACTGCAGGACATAAAATAAACTGCATAAACTAAAAAGCATGTGGTTTTTCTAGTTTCTAAATGTCATAAATTTCCAGTTCTAATTTTAAAATCTCTCTCTCTCTCCATATATATATACACATGTATATATACGTACGTACGTATATATACGTGTATATATACGTACGTACGTATATATACGTGTATATATACGTACATGTGTATATGTATACATATATATATATACACATACCAATGTTTCACATTTTGGGAGAAATTAAGGATTATTTAATAAATGCTGTTGGTACAATTAAGAGTTTAGTGACAGAAGTTTGATTTCCACCTCTTAATATAAATGGAAATAAATTCCAGATGGACTATAGTTGATAAATAAACATCAAAATATTTTGAATAAAATGGGCGGGGTGTGGTGGCTCATGCCTGTAATCCCAGCACTTTGGGAGGCGAGCGCATCACTTGAGGCCAGGAGTTCAAGACCAGCCTGGCCAAAATGATGAAACCCAGTGTTTCTACTAAAAATAAAAAAAAATCAGCTGGGTGGTGGCACATGTCTGTAATCCCAGTCGTTCAGGAGGCTGAAGCACGAGAATTGCTTGAACCTGGGAGTTGGAGGCAGCAGTGAGCCAAGATTGGCAACAGAACAAGAACCTGTCTCAAAAAAAAAAAAAAAAAATTTTTGATATTTCAGTATCTATAGCTAATCTTCTGTTTAAATTGGCCTTCTAAAACTTAGTCTTTATTGTTGAAAAGGGAACCAAGACCATAATGAACAAATCTATTTACTTAGGGCAAAATTTTTAATGAAAATAGAGAAATAAGAAAATATACATCAATATTTATCTTGGAATGGGGAAGGATTACCTGCAAACAACACAAAATGAACATATTATGCTTTAAAAAGTTTTATTTTTAATTATGAGTACATAACAGGTGCTAAATTTTATTTTTAATTATACACAAAAGATATTATAAAGAAAAACATGGGTGAAGTTAACTACACACAAGTTAAAGACCTATTGCAGGACATAAAATAAAATGGGCTTGTCTAAGGCCAGGCGCAGTGGCTCATGCCTGTAATTCCAGCACTTTGGGAGTCTGAGGCGAGCGGATCACTTGAGGTCAGGAGTTCAAGACCAGCCTGGCCAACACGGTGAAACCTCATCTCTACTGAAAAAATGCAAAAATTAGCCAGGCATGGTGGCACACGCCTATAATCCCAGCTACTCAGGAGGCTGAGGCAGGAGAATCGCTTGAACCCGGAGGTGGAGGTTGCAGTGAGTCGAGATGGCGACATTGCACTCCAGCCTGGGTGACAGAGCAAGACTCTGTCAAAAAAAAAAAAAGGGGGGGGTTTGTGGGGAGGGGGGCTTGTCTAGCTGCCTAATCCAACTGCCATTCTCAACCCGCCCTGAAGTGCTTCACAATGGAGGCACTTGCTTTCCCAGATAAACGTCTAACTATGGATGGCCACGTGACTCAGTTATGGCAAAGGAGGCATAAGGGCTGTTTCTGGAAAAGCTTCTACTTTGCAATCCACTGGGCCAAACCTGCTGGTGGCTCTGTTCCTCTTGCTTCCTGCCTTGAATGTGCGCCACTATTGCCGCCGTATCCGCCACTAGGAGGCAGTAACGGTGAGATTGAAACTCAACATGCAAAGCAAATGAACCAGGGTTGTTTGTGGCAACCTAACTTGGGGCCATCTACCTCCCGGCTTCTTGGTATGTGAGATAATTAAATGATTTTATTGCTTAAATTAAATTGCTGTTAGTCGCTTATTTGGGTACTTGCAGACGAAAACATTGTAACTAAAATACATCTGTATTTCTGCCACCAAAAAATTATAAATAAAATTACCAGCAAGCAAAGATGGAAAAAATATTTTCAACATATATGATAAATTAAAATTCAACGTCCTTAATAAAATAATATTTAACTCCCCAAAGATGTACACTGGCCAAAAAGTGTATGAAAAACAATTTCCCCTTACTGGAAATTCACTAAATATAAATAAAGTACAAATACTAAAGGACATTTCCAATCTATCAAACTGGGAAATTTTAAAAATAAGACTATAACTTCAAAGATTCAGAAGGTTGAGGGGTGAGGGCCAGAAGGGGTAATATCAGGTATTGCTGGCAAAAGTGTACATTTAGTCTTTCGAGAGGCCAAATTGTCAATCTGTATTAAGGTGTAAAAACATGCAAAGCCTTTGATTTTGCAATTTTACTTCTAGGACTTTATCTTAAGGAAAGAATCATAGTTATTGAAAAACTAAGCTACAAAGATGTTCATCATAGTATTGTTTATAATAGTGAAGAATTAAGAGCAACTTAAATGTCCAATCCAATAGACTGGTCAAACAATTTATGGTATGGATAGGGAAATACTATGCAAATATTAAATGTTACTGTAGAAAAATATTTAATGGCATAGGAAAATATGCTATATTAAGTGAGCCAACAGGTTACAAATCAGCATATAGTCTATGCTCCCATTTAGAGTACTGTATATAGAAATATGCATAAAATAAAGGGAGAAAACCCATCCAAATGGTAGCAACAGTTATTTATGTTGATGCCATTGGAGGCGGTTACAAATTTCTTTTGTTTTTATTTGTATATATTTTTCTGCAATAAACATGCATTGCCTTTGCATAAAAGATGCTGCAAGTTTTAAAAGAGCTTCTAGTTCTGTGGAATGGAAAAGTCTGGAACCTCACCCCTTAACACCGCCTCCCCCCTCCCCCCGCCACCACTGCCGCACCCCGCAGCCTCCAGTCAGCCACCTCCTGGCTGACAGTGTCTCAGTTCTCCCTCCCAGCTTCGTTTAATGCGGGCTCTGGAAAGCACCACTCGGGGAGCTCGGCTCTGGCTCTCGGGAGACAGAGACCAGTAGTGTCAGGCGAGCCGCGTCTCTTCCTGAGGGCGCAGGGCGGGGAGGGGCTCCCCAAGCTCTCTGTGAACCACTCATCGACGGGGGTTTGTCGTAGAAACCGAAGATCCATTTCAGAGCTCCTCGAGATCTTCAATTATCTAGCGAGTTCCGCGATCCATCCCAGCACGCGGCCACGCAGCGAACCGCACTTGCATTCGGGGTGCGCCCTACTCACTGCCGCGCGCAGCGCGGAGCCCCCAGCACAGCCTCCTAGGAATGAAGTCGCATTCTCTCCCTGGGTGAGACCCCGCTCAGTGACCTACGGTGCCCTCTGACGCCCGCGTGCACCAAACAGCTTCCAAAGCGCTTTTCTCACATGCAATTCCATGCGGAACAAACAAAAAGCTTATCACCCACTGAGCGATCCAGTCCCTGTGCCAGGCAAAGGAGCTGCAAGGACAAGCGAGTCAGAATCCCTGCCTCAGGAGCGCATAGGTCGGGGGAAAGGAAACCCATCCCCATAGGAGACTCAGGACCCAGTGAATTCCATAAGCAGATGTGATCATCCTCATCTTACACCTGCAGATGCTGAAGGAAAGCAAGCGTTTATTGAACACCTACTGCGTGCCAGATACTTTCACCTAAGCTGTCTTATCCGTAAGGCAAGCAAAGCTCTGAGGAATAAATATCCCCATTTTACCAGTAAGGGAGCTGAAATTCAGAGGAATAACATTCCCATTTAACTGGCTAGGAAACCGAGGTTCAGAGGAGTAACAACAAATGCCAGAGACCTTATTAGTAAATGCCAGCCTCTAACCTGGGTCTGCGGACACCAAAGTTTCTCCTTCGAGTGAGGACAACAGAAACGACCGAACTTGCCCGGGTTCAGATCCACGGAAAGTGGACATCACGGGTTGTGAGGGTTTCTGGGCATTTAGTCCAGCGACCCCTACGCGGCGAGGCCAGCATTGCCCTATAAACGTTGCTCTAAGCACTTACCGCGCGGGGTGACTGTCTGAACGCAGTGACCCCCAAGCCCTGTGACCCCCATCTGCTCTCCTTTGGGAGAAAAGAGTAAGTGGAAGTTGTGTCCCCCTTCGAGGGTGGTATGGAGCTGCCCGGCCAGGAGAGCGATCTCTGTTTTCCCAGCTGGCTCTGAGGTTTTCCGTGGGTGCCATGTCCCGTGCGCCCTGGACCCACTGGCGCCCCGAAATGATTGCCCGGCTCGCGGCAGGTGAGGGGGTGGGGGTGGAAGGTTCCGTGAGCCAGAAATGGAATTTCTAGGCCTTGGGCTGTGTTTGGAGAGATCCCATGATTAGAAGTCCAGTTTGCACCGTCAAAGACTTCTTGAAATCCGTGCACTCTATGCAAGTGACTTTCCTGGATTTTCTCTCTTGCCACCTGAGTGAGGTGTGCCAGTGTAGGTGGAGGTGATCGTGATGGTGTGCGAGTGCGTGTGTGTGTTGGAGGAGGAGGTTGCCTAGTGCTAAATGGAATGAAATTCTAGATGGTGCCATATTTGCAGCTGACCCCCGCCGCCAAAGTCTCCCCCATCCTCAAATCCGGGAGGCGGGAGTCGCGGTGACTAGTATATTATGAGGAAGAAAGTTGGATCTGAAAGCCAAGGGTGTTTGTGGGGGCCTGGAGGAAAAGGCAGCCGGGTTGGGGGTGGGTAGGCAGCAGTGAGCGGGAGACTTTTGTCACCCCTCCCTTATCCGAGGAGGGCCCCGGGCGCGCGGGGCGCTGCTTGCGTGCGGGGCCGAGTGAGCGCTTGTGCATGTGGGTACGTCAGTGTACGTGTGAAATGTGGCGGCGCCGGCCGCAGCAGAGTATGCGCTCGGTAAAAATATGAATAATCAACACATCGCTCACACCTCCGCCGCGATCCGGGAAGGAGCTGGGAGGTCCCTCGGGCTTTCCCCTGCCGGCTGGCGGGCACCACCAGGAAAAGGGGGGCATTTCAGAGTAGCTCTTCGGTTATCACTGAGCTAAGAAGCCGGAAAAAAAGAAAAAAGAAAAATGTCATATTTAACTTTTTCTTTCTGAAGGCCTTCTGTTGCACCCTATTGTTGAGTATTAGAAGTGGAAGATCGGGGAGGATCCTTATTCCCCATTTAGCAGCTGGGATGCCACTTGTCATCTCCCACCCTCATTTTGTTCATCTGTAAAATGGGGGCAAACAAATCAATAAATTCCACTGGAAGTGTTGCTGTGAAGTTTAAGGGCGAGAAAGGGCCTGGGCAAGTCCTGCCTCTGATCGTTAGTACCTTCCTCTTGGTCTTCCGTTTCACGGAGACCAGCATGATTAGGCCTTTTAATGCGGGTCAACTTGCCCTGATCGCTGCACCGTAAATAGTGATGACAGATGCCACCGCCTTCGTGCACAGTTCCCTGAAAGGGGCTGTAATCGGCCAGCCGATTTACCCCAGCAAGGCCCCCAGCAGGGGCTTCACGTGAAAGTCACCCCTCCCACCTGGGAAATCGGGTCCCCAGGTTCGCGTGGAAGCTATCAATCACTTCCCTATACAGACAGCCTGTTCCGCAGCACACACACCTCCCGGGCCTCTATTTCCGCGTGGTCACCCGCGCTCCCCAAGCTGCTGCTGCGAGAATTTGTTCTCTTGACCTTTCCGCTTTGCTTCCTCGCTCGTTCTGCACCCGGAATAAGGAGATGGGAAAGAGGGATATTTCTGAAGGAGAATACCAGGGGGAGGAGGAGCAGAGGAGAGGAAGACGAGGAGGAAGACTTTCTGGAGTTGCCAAGTGTTAGGGTAGCGGTGAATCTGGCTCCTCCAGTCTATTTTGGGTAAACTTACTGCAGTGCCCCGACTGGCCTGGATACAACCGACATCAAGTGTCTCTAAAACGTTCCTCCACGACTCAGTATTTCTGCAGCTGTTGCCGCTGAATCTCCTTCACTATGCGAAAACAAAAGAAGCGAATCCACTTCTTACCCAAATTGTCCTATAAGGGAGCTGTTTGGTATTGACGGCGGAGTCCCCCTGAGATATTTGTCGTGCATTTATGATTAGTTTCTTTTCTCCCACCCTCTCTAGGGAATTTGCATTTATAGAACATACAAATCTAGTTTCCGGAAGAAAATGCCAAAGTTGCAATTTGGTGTGAGAGTTAATGGAGTTCGATATTTAAAAAAAGCATTTCATAAAGAATTGTGAGTTAAATATTCGGCAGGTCTCTGATATGCCAAGTAAAGCTATTTCTTTGTAGTCGGACAAAGAGTAAAAGTTCCAGCTTAAAAAATAAAAAACCCAAAATTGTAAAATTCACGTTCGAAGACAGGCCAGGGGGACAGCCACTTTTTCCATTTATAAAACCCAGACTGGCTCTCCCTGTGAATCGAATTCCCCGGCTACTGTCTGGCTCTGTGCTTCGGCGCAGGGGGTGTGTGTCTGGAAGAGGGGGTGAAGGTCGTATTTAGGGGTGTGTTCTGACATCTCTGAATTCACCCCAGTGTCCTGCCGGACAGGAACACAGCCAGGAGAGCAGTTTCTAAGTAAAATTTCCGAACCTCTGATCGGGAGGAGAGACTTGGCGCCCAGATGACTGGACCGGACGAGATTGAGCAAAGGGGCTTAAAACCAATTAAAAGGAAATCGAACATACCGCACTGGGTTGCAGACGTGAAACAGAAACATGAAAAAAACGGGGGTGAGGGTCATTTGGGAAGGGTAAATGAAGAAGGGGACAGGGTAAAAGACAGACACCCCCAGTTTTGTATAAATAGATTGTGAATAATTTTAATCATAGTGTTCATTTTGGATTTTTCTTGACCCGGGCTAGAGGCAGAACCGAGCTAGTTGGCCGGAGCCTGAGGAGCGCGTGGGCTCCGCAGTCCCGCGGGATTGGGCTTCCCGGGGCCGCAGCTGCGCTTGCCAGGCCCCCGCACAGCTCGGGGCAGGTTTTGTGTTGCACGAGATCGAAAAGGAGGTTTGTTTGGGGGTAGCTGGAGGCGACAGAGGTGGGAGCAACCCTCCAGGCGCAGCCGCCGCTGCTCATTCCCCCAACCAACGCATGTTTCGCGCGGGTGGCGGACTCCGCGAGCATTCCTACCCAAAACCTATACAGACGCAATTAACCCCAACTGGGTTGGCCGAAACGCCGCCACGCTGGGCCCAAGGCAGTCCTTGTCCCCTCACGCTCGCGCAGGCACTTCAGCCTGGCCAACAGGGAACTTCAACGCCCGCAGCGAGCCACACAGCCATCCCTGGAGCTCCCAGCAGCACTGCCGCGGGGGGCGCCCTTAGCGCAGCCGGCAAGTAGTGGGGAAGCCCCACTCTGTCAAAGTTCGGGACCACGGCTCCCCCAAATTGCCTCCCAGCGGGGCACCGAGGCCCCTGAGCGCGTCTCGGGGGGTTGGCTGGGAGGAGGGGCGCCCGCCGAGCGCGGCCCCGTCTGTTTTGGGGCGGGCAGCAGGGAGCTGGGAGAAAGGAACAATTCATTCGCTTCCTGAGGGGGCATAATTTGGGTGGCAGCTGTTACCGCCGAGAAAAGCTGGTGCCCTCGACCCTGACTTTGCCCTTTAACCCCAGCCAACCTGAGCCTGAGGGGTAAACTGTTGGGGCTTGGCCCAGGCCCACTGCTGACCAGAGGCCTCTCCGGGTGCCCTGCGCACCTTTCCGGGGCAACGTGGAGGTACAGCTGATCAAAGCCCCCTTGAAAAAAAAATCACCGGGCTCATAGGCATGTCTTGAAGGGCTCACGGCTGTTCCACACTCTCTGCCAAGGAACTCAAGGCTTTGGCCCCGCTGGGCGCAGACCCCAGACGAAGGGGGTGGGGGGGAGTTGCTTGAGGTTCGGAGAGATTTATAAAGAGAGACCGTAGAAGACTCCAGGTGATCAGTTTTTGCTGGGACCGAAATTCTCCGTAAAACCTGCATGTAACAGAGAATTGCCGAGTTGAAACAGGGCAGTGAATCTCATCCCTACAAATTTCCCTCCCTACCCCCTTCTTCCTTTGGACACTCCTGTCTTACTTGGCTTTTACTAGCCACCCGATCCATTTCCCAATCGCCCTGTATGGCTCTCCCGCCCCTTCCAGTCCAACAGGGAGGACCAAGCCAGAGCTCTGGGGTCGGGGTACCACAGTCAACACAACCCAGAGGCGGGGGGTTTACCTTCTCTACCTTCCCCCAAATCAATGACCCCAGTCCCTGGATCCCGGGGCCTGTGCAGAGACGGTCCGTGCACCCGCCCCGCAAACTCCCTAACCCCCTATCCGTTTTCAAGCGAATCTCCGCAGTTCGGACCAGCACTTCCTAGTCGCAATCCCGCGCACGCAGCGTGGTGCCGCGGTTTGTCCCTTGGGGAGGTGGAGGCGCGCACCGGTCCCTTTCTCGAGAGAGCCGAGTTTTCTTGAAGTGCAAGCTTCCTGTCAGCCTAGGCAAACCAGTTGCAAGGCGCTGTGTCCTCTAGCGGCAAACTCTAGCAGTTCATTTGCGAGCGCTCACCTACACCTAAGGGATCTGGTCTCTCAAATCTGAGACCCAAGAGGGGAGAAAGTGCCCTGAACGCAGTCCAGGCGCTCGCAAATGCCCTCCCCGTAATGAGACCGGGAGACTGGGGCGCAATCGCTCGAACTACGAACAGCTGATTGTCTCCTCCACGGCAGATGGTCTTTGAGCACAGATTTGCATTCATTGTCTTCAAATCTGTTTTCGCGCTGGTGTTCTAGATTTCAGCAGCAGCAGATCTATGCGCAGATCAGAATACAAAAGGAGAAGCAAGAAAATGACACCCAGCCAGGAGGATGTTTAATAGGCACCGCGAGCAGCCCCGCGCAGTTAAAAAACCGTCTAGGGTTTCAGCTGTTCGGTGAGGCTGCTGCCACCGCCTGCCGGCCACCAGCCCGCGGCCAGCACCGCGGCGACCGCGCGCGGTGGGCGAAGTTTCCACGACTCCCCCGTCCCTCCCCGCCCACTACCGGGGGCTTCGGGAACGGAGAGGTGGGGAGGGAACCGGAGGACCCGCGGGAATACTCCCCGGCCGCTCGCGCACTCAGCCCGCCTCGATCTGTCAGCAACCTCTCCTCCACACGGGTGCGACTGCCGCTCGCGCCCGCCCGCCCGCGGGTGTTTTCCTTAGGTCCTGGACCGTTTTCCCCAGCACTGTATTTGAGCAGCACTTGCCCCTCGCTTGTCCGCCCCACCCCATCCCCCGCCTTCTTTCATATGTTCTCCACTCTCAGCAACGTGCAAGCCGCACACAACATCTGATATCACCATGGAACTCCAGGAGACCTGGGGAGCCATTCAGGGAGCTGGGTGCTCTGGGGGACGTTTGCGCAAAACATAAGCACATGTGGCCACGCTCACAAGCATGCACACAGATCCGAACCCCGGGAACGAACGTGCCTCCCGGCAGGCTACAAAAGCCTACATCTAGAGGCAGGATCCAGGGAGGCTTCCCGCAGCCAGGCCGAACCCCTGCGTCCCCAGCCCGCAGAGACCTGCTACCCTAAGTCAGTGCAGGGTGTGGGGGCCCCCCAATCCTGCGCAAGCACACGGGGTTCGTGCTAGGACTCGACGCCCGCAGCTTTCTGTCCCCTTTCACCTCCCGGAGTCCCGGCAACGCAGAGCGTGGCGCGCGCCGCCGGAGGACGTCGGCCCGGCTTGCCAGGCGCCGGCCAATCCCGCGCGTCCATGCAAATGAGGCTCCTTATCGGGCCGCAGCTCCGCCTCCCGCAGCCAGGGCCGTAGTAACCCATTCATGGGGCCCGCGCGCGGCTGCAGCCGGGCTCCGTGGCGCTCGCAGCCACCGCCTCCTCTCGGCTCCAGGTCTTCCCCTTCTTTTTACAACTGATCCTGTTGGGGATTTTTTTTTTTTCTAAATTGGAACGGTGGGGAGGAGCAGGGAGGGGGGACCTGGAGGAAGGGGAGAGATTAGGCAGCCATCAATTTCCTCCAGTTTCTCCCAGAACAGGTGATGCTTCTAAATTGTGATCACTTTCAGGAGGCAGCACTGCAGCTGGAAGGATGCGAGCGACCTAGGGTGGAGTGGCTGAGGCGGCAGATCTGAACTTGCGGAGGATAAGAACCCAAACTTTGACTACATCAGTCCGCACCTCGCCAGTGAAGCAAAGGACGGGTTATCTTTTTTTTTTTTCTAAGACTCAAACTTGGGCACTTGATCCCTTTTCTTGGATTGCTTTGGAGGAGACGATTTGCTGGCAACGTTGGGAACAGTCAGGACTGTGTTGTAACTCTTACTTTTAAAGCGACAGTAGAGGATCAGACTTTTTAAATGTTTGGAATTCAAGATACTTTAGGAAGAGGACCAACTCTGAAAGAGAAATCGCTGGGCGCGGAGATGGATTCGGTCAGGTCCTGGGTCCGGAATGTCGGAGTGGTGGACGCTAATGTCGCCGCGCAGAGGTAACGACACGGCCGCGCAATTATTATGCTGTCTCTCGCTCTTACGGTCTGTCTCTCCGTGTGCACCCCCCCCGCGCACCCCGTGCCTTTCTCTCTCCCTGTCCCCCCATCTGTCGCCCAGGCCCTGCGCGCTGGGGCTCGCCCTCGGGCAAGCAGATCGCTGCAGTCAGGCGAACGCTCACCCGGCAGCCGGCACTCGAGTTCCTGAACTGCCTGGGTCGTAGGCGTTTCTCTCCCTCTCCTTTACCACAGTCCACTCTTTGCAAGGAAAAATAAAGTAGCCCCCAACATCTCCCAGCTCAGCCCCTAGTCCTGCAAGCCGAGCCGGCCTGGCCCCGAACGGAGCGTGAACACCGGCGCTGGCAGTGGCGGCGCGGGAGGAAAGCCGGCTTCCTGGCCACTCTTGGCTTCGCCACGCCGCCTGCGAGCGCCTACCTCCCGCATCTTGCTGGGCGATTCCTGGAGCCTGGGAGGCCGGCGGCCAGAGGGTGGCGGCGGCGAGGGGAGCGGGAAAAGCCGGAGCGGCTGCCCGGGAAGACGAGGCGGCCGGGAGCTCTGGGAGGGGGGACAGGCTGGAGGGTCCCGGCTCAAAGATAAAACAGTGAGCCAGACGAACGGAGCTAGGGAACTGGAGAAAAGAAGAGATTTAAAAGAAGAGAAAATACTGAGTCACAGTAGAAAGAGTTGCGGAAGAAGAAAGAGGCGAGAAAAGGCCACCAGCAGCTAGACTGGCTCAGGGATCGCCAGCCTCTGGTTTTGCGGATCCCTGAAGTTGACTTTGTGTTTAGGCGTCTGCGTGCTGGGATAGTAAATACCATGTCCGGGGTGCCACCCTACGAAGACATTACGGTCCCACTCTCTCATCACCACTACTGAGTTGGGATTTGTGGCCTCCAGGTCCTTGTCTGCGAGAGAGGCAGCCCTTCTACCCCCAAAGAGCCGATGAACTTCTTCCACTACCCTCGCTTCCCCTGCTGCCCTCCTGGCCACCCACATTTAAGTGCCAACATCACACGGAGAAATGATCCCTTTCCCAAACTGGCCAGGTGTCCCGGGTAGAGCGAACCGGCCTCTACCCTTGGAGCGGAGAAAGCAGAAGTTTTATCGCTCCGGGACTTGGGCCGGCGGCGGTTCCCTCCCTCCTGTGGCCCGGGGAGCGCGGATTTCCCTCCGGCAGACCGCACAGCGCGGCGGCCGCGGCTTTCCGCAGCGCTTCGGGACTGGCCCGCCTGCGAGCTAAGGGAAATAAGGCAGCACCGCAGAGCCAACTGTGCCGCGCATTTCCTTAGCTGGGCTCCTTAAAGACGCCTCCCTCGCTTTCCTTCCTTCCCGGGATCAAAAAGTTTGTTGAAGCTGGAAGGAGCAGACTTAGTGGGGGAGAGCTTAGCCAAAATGTTACCCCTTTCAAAAGAGTGAATGAAGGTGCTTGCGCACCGGGGTTCAACCTGGGAGACCCCAGCGCCGCAGGGCAGCTCCCGCAATCTGTGCGTTCACCTCAGCCCCAAGTCTTCGGTGAAATGGGATCTGATGGCCAGGTGGGCTGTGACTGCGACCGGTTGGCTGGGAAGCGTGTGCACACACTCAGCACGCTCGAGGGCGCCTTCCGGGTCCCCCAACTTGGGTTTCACAGTCACTGGGTTCGGCTGGCGCCGCCAGAAAACGCAGCATGAGTGGGGATCGCGTTGGCCCCAGGAAAGGAGGTTCTCGCCTTTTAACAGTTTGGCTTTTCCCCACCTAGCACCTCTGGGAGGGAGGGCCCCCTATGTCGGTCATCTCATTTGTGGTGGCCAGCGATCCCCGGGGCTGGTCGCGAGGATTCCGCCCTGTCTCTGTCCCAGGCACAACTTTTCGGAAGAGCGAGGCAAGCAGCCCAAGGACCCAGACCTGGACTCTGTGTTACTCTCCCGCCTGCCCCTTGGGGTTCTTACCCACTACCTTTCCCAGTCAGCATTTGGGCGTTGTGAGCAGTGGGTCCAGGACTGATAACTCGAATTAATACTAAATAAAAGGGTCGCTTCTTCCAAAGCAAAGGAGGCACTTATTCCCCTAACCCTGGGCCCCAGCTCTGCATCCTGATACACCCAGCAGTACCACCTGAGGGAGTGGATGGAGACAGCCCCACGGTATAGGACGCGGGCCACCTCCTTAGGGGACCACTCTGGGCCTCTGTCTGCAGCCGGGGTCTTTCGGTTTCGACTAAAGACGGGATGGTGAGTGGCCCAGCGGTGGGATGCCGGACCACTTGGTGGTGTCAGAGACCCCAGGTATCAACCCTGCCACCCAACCCCCGTGGCCACGGTGACTCCTTTAAGGAGTCTCCTCTTCCTTATCCGAATTGGAAAAAAGGCCCGAAGGGTTCAGAACTCTGGACCTGGGAAGTGGACCCCTTACCCCTCTGCAGTGTTGTGGGCGGTTAGTAACATCGCCTTTTTGTGCTTCCCCGTGTCTTGTGTTCCCCCGTTTTTCTCCCTGTGCAGCGGGGTCGCCCTGTCCCGGGCCCACTTTGAGAAACAGCCTCCTTCCAACTTGAGGAAATCCAACTTCTTTCACTTCGTCCTGGCGCTCTATGACAGGCAGGGCCAGCCGGTGGAGATCGAGCGGACGGCCTTCGTGGACTTTGTGGAGAATGACAAAGTAAGCGGAAAGTACCCCCCAAACCCCGCGGCCTAATAACTCCCTCTTGCGAAGCACTAAAGATTCCATCTGTCACTCTCGCGACACTTTTCCACTCTCACCATCAGGGATGATAAATCGAGGCTACTCACCCCCAGCCTCTAAATCAGTCGATTTCCCGAACCTCCTCCCACCCCGACTCCCCCAACCTGGAGCTGGAGGAGCGCTCCCGGCTCTGCGCACCGAGCCTGGAGGCCTTAGTAGCGCCTGGTTATGGACTGACGGCGGAGCAAACGCCCCTTGGACTAGTTAAAAAGTACACCCAAGGCCGCCGCTCCCCTTCTCTGGGTTAATTTTAATTATTTTGCACCTGCGAGAGCCAGGTGGCCTGAGTTGCGGCACTAAGTGGAAACCGGCAGCCCAGCCTTGGCCTGCCTTCTGGCCGTGTCTTCTCTCCTGTTCTGTTCTCCAAGGCAGCGCCTCCTCCAAACTCAAGCCTGGAATTGGGGGCTGGGTTCGGTCTCAAATGAAGGACAGTCCGCCGAAACCTATGTGTGACCAAAGGAAAATCCCTTGCCCTTTCCGGGTCTCCGTGTCCCCAGCTGTACAATGTGAGCTTTAGAGTAGGCACTTCCCAAAGTCCCTCCTGAACCTGGAACTCAGTCCCTGAGCTCGTGGCCCTGCGTGCGCAGTCCTCGCGGGATAGGCCCGAATGCTGCCTTTCCAAATGACAAGTCCCTTCACTTTTCTGCCAAGGGAAGCCTTGGGGCTTCCTAAGGACAGACAGAGCCCGATGGGTTGGGTGGTGCCTGTTTAAAGGCAGCTTTGGCAAGTGGTCCTGTTGTCGGAAGCTCAAGGGTCACACTTCTGAGGACATTTTTAAGGGAGACAGAGGGCTGGAAAGGGTCAAGTGGCTACGAGTCTTGGCAAGTTTCCGGGGGCGGCCAAGGACAGGCAGATGCTCATGCCCTTTGACCTAGGGCTGAACAGGGGGTTACTCAAAGCTGCCTTTTGATGGGGAGAAGGGATGTGAGGTGGGGATTCACTGTCTCCTCTTTCCCTCATTTTGGGGGGCTGAAAGGCAAGGGAATCGAACGCTGCCTGTCTTTTCAGGAACAAGGCAACGAGAAGACCAACAACGGCACTCACTACAAGTTACAGCTCCTCTACAGCAACGGTGAGCTCTTCTACAGCAACGGTGAGCCGGCGCCTAGCAGCCGGCTTCCGGGCCGCACGCGCTGACCTTGCCATGATCACTCTCAGGGATCGCATGGAGCCCAGGGCGGCGGGAGGCTTGCCTGGGACAGGGGATTGGGAGGTCACCGTCTCCAGGGCGGCTCAGCATGGAGAGGCTGCTTGGGCCTCAGACCCATGGCAGAGAAGGGTTTGGGGTGCCCGGAAGGGGCTCTACGGCCCTTGACTCGTGCCCCTCCGGTCCCCGCAGGTGTCCGCACGGAACAGGACCTCTATGTCAGGCTCATCGACTCGGTCACCAAGCAGGTGAGCCGGAGGCCACTTGGCTTCTCTTCGCCTGTCTCTGACCCCGACCCCCAAACCCCCCAGTTTGTTTCTGACCTGCCCCTCCTCCACGATTTCCTGGGTCAGACTCCACAGCCCCCTCCACGTCCCCCTCCCAGCACCTTGTCTGCTAGGGAAGATTTTTTTTTTTTTTTCTTCCCTGTCTCACCAAGTGACCTGTTTTGTCTGGCTCAGGGAAACCCTGGGGGCAGTAAGAGGCGAACAAAAAGGATGGAGAGGAAACAATTATTGGGAGATTCAGTTCCCGCAAACATTCCATTTTGCTAAGAATGATGTTCTCACTGGGGCAAACTTCTCTATGATTTCAGTCGAGTCCAAACTCGGCAACCGCGCAGAATGTGCTGCGGGCGGGAATTCCTAATGCGGTGGCAGGTAGTGGGAGGGAAAGCGATGTTGTGCTTGTTCTGAAGTCCCTTCTTTCCTTGCCCCCCACCCCTCTCCACATCTTCCTTTCCTGCCACTACCTCCTTCACAGCCCATCGCTTACGAGGGACAGAATAAGAATCCGGAAATGTGCCGAGTTCTCCTGACGCACGAAGTGATGTGTAGGTAAGAGCCGCCTTTTCCCAGGCCTTCCTGGAGAGCCCGCAGGTGCTCCAGCCCCGCCTTGGCGCGCCGCGTTCCCGGGACTAACTTTCAGGACTGAGCGCTCGCAGCTGGGAGGCCTCGCGGGCAGACGGGCGCAGAGTGTAGATCCACGGAAACCCCTTCATGCAAGTGTCTTAAAGCATAACCATTGGGACTCAGAACGACTCGGGATTCCACCTCTCTGATGTCGCAGGAGTTTCCTCCGGCTACGTGGAAAGTCTCCACTGTGCCCTTGTCAGTGGTAGTGGTGGAAGCGGGCTGGGCAACCCCGGGCCGGGTTTGGGATCGGCTGGAGTTCCCGCCGGGCCTCTTGTGGTAGATTTCCAGTAACTCCACTTGGAGTTACTGAGTGAAAGCCCTGGAACGACTCCTAGTCTGGGCGAGGGACCACCAGAGGGTCCAGCGGCTCATTTCCGGGGTGCTTCCTGGCACCCAGGCACCTGCTGTGATGCGTGGGCGTTTCTTCCTCCCGGGAGGTTGCTCTCTTAGGAGTTCTCGTGTCGGGGGAGTTTCTCAGGTCAGAAGGAACTACCTGGAAGAAAGATCAGTCCAGTTCCCACCAGCGTTAGGAGGGGCAGGGAGAGGACCCGCTGGGAGATCTGGAGTGTGGAGCAACAGCTGGATTCTGATATTCACGTCGTGAAAGGTTCAGTCTACTGGCGTTCCTGCACCTTTCCCATCTTCCTTTCAGAGATCAATCCATTCCACCTTGAGTCCTGTGCATTCCCCCCCCACCCTTTTTTTCTGCCTGACTAGAAGAAAGTTTAAAAAATCAGAAGAATTGCATCTACCCTTATTCTTTCAACAAATGTTTATTGAGTGCCTAACGTGTGCCCGGTATCGGTTGGGTGCTGGGGATCCCACCGCAGACAAGAAAGGATATAAATAGGAAACTCTGGGAAGAGTGTGGCTATTTTATTATGAAAATTTAAATGTCTGCTCCATACATGCTTTTCTTCCTCCAAAAATCTTTGATTGGAGGGAAAGTCTCAATTCTTCCTTACTTGGCTATTGCTTTAGTCAATGTCTCCTAACTCCAGACTTACTAGCTTTGGGTAATTGCAGATTATCTGATTTAGTGTGTACTGTTTTACGGGCAGCTCCCTGAAGCCCTGTCTCCCTCCCCAACCCAGTCAGGAAGAAACCATAACAATCAGACATGTTTGTTTTGGTTTTGACCAAGTACCAAAACAAACTTTCCAAATGCCAGTGGCTTCAGCTGAAAGCAATGGAGGCTTCCTTGCTGGAGTAGCTGGGGGGAAGGCATTGGGAGGAGTAAGAAGATAGATACTCCAATATCTCAGGGACGTTTGATAGATTTGTTCAGAAAGAAAATACAGTTCTGAGATGTAGTTCATATAATACCTAGATTTAAATAGAACGCTTTGATTAGGTTGGTTAGTTGAAGGGAGGTTTTTCTTTTTATGCCTTTGTTTGGAGAGATTACCTCCTGAAAAGGAAAGAAAACAAAAAATTGATCCATTGTCTAATGAATTATACCTATCATTTAAAATAATACTTGCATGCCCCATCCAGCTGTAGTTAAGACTGACATTTTTATTTTTAAGCCCAATCAAATCCTCCTCATTTTATGCTGTTTAAGTAGCAGCATCAATTTTTAAAGCCTCTAGTTTAGTCTGCATTAGTAACACAATATAAAAATTTAATGTACTGTAACTTCTCTGCATTGGAGACCTGGGAAGATGCTCTGCTGTTTTCTTCCCAAACTACAATTTAAAATAAATATTAATTATGTGTAAATAAATGATCCATTGGATGGATACTGTCTGCAGCATACATGTGTGTGTGTACATGTGTGCAGATGAGATGGGTAATGGCAAATATTAGATGCATCCAAAAGGGAAGTTCTCATTCAATCTGTCAGTTAGAGCTGGTTGATACTCCAGGAAGGGGGAAAAGTTCCTTCTCTTACATTTTAAGAGCCAGTTGTAGCAGTCAATGATTGAGAGATGAATCAGGTGCCCTGTTTCTCAAGGGTTATTGCATATACTTAGTTTCATTTGCATAGTGTTATTTGGCATACCTGGGCACTTCCCCGGATGGTTTTATGTTCCGTAATCTTTAGTAAAAGCCTCATAAATCTGTGTTTAGCTTTGAATGGGGGAACAAAGCAGAGACAAAATAAATCTCTTTAGGAATAACTTTTTTTTTCTCCCTTCCCCAATGGTCTCTGTTCCTCTCTTCCCTGCTTTGGTTCATTTTGCCAATTATTAGCAAGGAGAAATCTAGTTGTTATGTCGCTGCCAGCCACCCCTGAGCCCTCAATGCTCAGAGGGTTAAAAGATATTATAATTTGAACAGAAGTCGTCTCAAGGCCTACAGCTGGCTAATAACAGAGTTGTATTGAGCTTGAGCAAACCCCACAGCTGTGACTTTTCGCCACAAGGCGCAGGCTAGACAGGGCCCTAATCAGATGGGCCAGCCGGGCAGTGGGGCCAGTGTCTTTATCGGCCAGATGGTGTGAATTTAGACACTTTTGTTATGCAATCGCAGGGAGGAGTTGGGGAGAAGAAAACAAAACAAAAGCCACCATGCTGTGCGCTTATTTGAGTTTGAAATTAGAGACAGATTTTTGAAAGTTGAAGGTTGAATTTTAAAAACTATTTTGGAGGGGAAAGGGACACACTCGCTTGTCGTGAGCTGGAGTTTGGCTGACGGGACACTCTCTGTCCAAGGCTGGGGCTTTTTCCCCTTCCCCAGCCATCTTTTATTCCTCTTTTTCCCTTTCTAAAAAATGCAGGTATGATTCAGGATTGTGATAAGAGTTCTCATATTTCCCCACCTCCCACTTCCAACTTGTTTTATTTTTTCTCTCTCCTTCAAAGACTCCGGGTGGAGATGGGGAGAATAAATTGAGAGTGTTTCAAGTAAAAGATTCTCCAAATAAGTACTAGAATAAAATAAACCAAACCAAGCCAGAGAGAAACAGTGGAACAGCTTTCATTTTCATTCATTAGGAAAAAAGAGCACCTCTGAGTCTCTCTGGGGTTGTTACGAACACAGTCTTAACCTATTGCCAAGCTCAGTTTCCTCTTCTCTTTGTTTTATTTATTTTTTTATTACTTTTTTTTTTAATCTTAGAGTCATTTTTAGTTTTAGAAAACACTTATCAGGAACTTCAGACTTGCTTGTTGGAGAATAATCCTAAAAGCCTTTTAACTAAAGTAGCTGAACCTGAAGTTGGTCACTCAGGCTTTGTTTACACAGCAAAGGGAAGGCAGAATTGAGTTTATCATCTGAGTAATTCAGGGACCTGGTTTCTTAGCTGTTCCACACTGTTTGGGGAGTGTAGGTTCACAAACATCTCAGGTTCTCCACTTCCCATTGCTTGTGCTAATATTGCTGGCAGGAGGACTGAATGCCGTTAAAAACAAAGAACGACTAGAACATATTAGTGAGAACTTTTCTAAAAAAAAAAATAATAATTTGCTTTGGCCAACTTAACAGACCCAGAAAAAAATTTAAGATGGGCTCAAATGGGGCTAATTCAACCAAGTTCTATTATTTTTATACCTTTACTATTATAGTTCAATGGCCAAGTGAGTGTGTTCTATGTATGTTTTGTGCTGAATATCAGCATTAGAGATGATATTTAAATATGTTACTGTTGGAAAATGGAGGATTGGATCCTAAAGTTTATCTGCATTTTTCTTTGAATATCATTTCCTCCCAAGTTCTTTCCCTACATTATACTACACTGGCACCAGGCTTACATTTTTATCTGTTTTCTTTTCCTCCAGAGGAAATCCCCACGGAAGGCAGCTGAATTCAGCTGAACAATTTTGAAAACTTACTCAGCCCCCTCAGAATCATTCCTACCCAAACTAAACAGATTGGCACGTTCTGACAGTGTGTGCTCTTGTAATTAAATTGTACCCGGCATTGCACACATATTTGGGGTTAGGTTGACATGCTGGTGATGTCAAAAGGGAGAGTCTTGCTTGAAGGTCTGTAGGTAGCTGGCATGTATGGGTCTTTTGAAACTGTGTTGCTAAGAAAAATGGTTTGCCTGAGCTGCAAAGGTATTACGTTGACATAAGCAATATTCTAGAAACAGGAAAGGTGGGAGAAATGGGTGGGGGGTAGGGATTTGGGAAGAGAGACAAGGGCTTTAGGAGGTGGGAGAGCAGCTGGCCTGCATTTTTATTGGTGTTAATCTTGGGATGGATTGAAATTTTAAAAGTTAAGACCTAATATAATTTCAAAGGCCAAATATTATTTCAGAAAGTCCCAGTGGCAAACTCTGGTATTTAAGAAAGTTGAGACCATTTTTCTTTTCCTTCCTACTAATTTGATTAAATTTCTTAAAACCTCATTGTGCCCATTTGCTGCAAATGTTTAAGCATCTCTCAAGTATATTTTACTTTCTGAGGATGGTAGACTTACTCACTTGCGAATCCACACACCCATGAAAGAGGTGGGTTTAAAAAGTTTTAAGATATTTATTTGTTTGTGTTTAATTCTGTGGAGAACCAGAGAGGGCAAATGAGCTGCAGAGAGCCACAGAGCTAGGACTGGGGCTTGGCATGGTGGCATACACCTGTAATCCTAGCACTTTGGGAGGCCGATGTGGGCAGATGGCTTGAGCCTAGGAGTTCGAGATCAGCCTGGGCAACACAGCAAGACCCTATCTCTACCAAAATGAAAAATAAAAAATTAGCCAAGTGTGGTGGTGTGCACCTGTTGTCTCAGCTACATATGGGAGTCTGAGAAAGGAGGATCATTTAAACCTGGAAGGTTGAGACTGCAGTGAGTCATGATCATGTCACTGCATTCCAGCCTGAGCAACAAAGGGAGACCCTGTCTCAAAAAAAAAAAAAAAAATTCTAAGACTGGGTTGGTGCTAGGCCATTGGGTTCCTGCTGTCACATGACTTCCCTTTTTCCTTATGTTATCACCACTTTCAAAGGGTGCTCATGGAATCCCCTAGCCTCATGGACTTAGACCTAGAAGACACTCTAGAGAGAATCAAATCCAACACTTTCACTTTATTCATAAGAAAGAAAAAGCCCAGAGGGGTTAAAGACATTTGACTAAATTTGTGAAGCTGGTTGGTGACAGCTTGGACACCAGAACGCTGATTCCCAGTTCAGCAATCTTCCTAAGGTATCATGTCAAACTTATGCTACAGAAAAACTACCATGGGCAGGGCAGTGTTCACATAGAGTTTGGTTATTGTTAGTGTGCTTACTCCTTAGGCATATTCTCCAACCAGTATGGATGATAAAGATTTTTTAAAAAGCCATGTCAAGGCTACATCCTTAGCCAACTATAGTTGATAGTGGACCATGTACCTGAGATGAGCTGAGAGGTATTCAGAAGTCTGTAGCCCTGATAGGCAGCAGATGGGCTCCCTGGTGGTAAGGGAGTGAATTCCCAGTGCTTCTTACCAGCAAGCTTCCTTTGCCCTTCTCACATTTGTCTAGGTATTTTCGAACAGATACCTTTGGACTGGAGTGTTTTGCACCCCTCTCAGGTCCTAGGGAGTACTTTCTGTTTGTTGTAATTGCCCCAGGGGATCTTCTTTATCTCCCTCTCAGCTAATCCTATCAGCATTTATTGAGGTCTTTCTATCAGGTACCCAGCACAAGAGGGACGTCTTGGAAAGTGGAGTTTTCAGAGCTGGGACTTACAAACAGTGGGATACCATTTCTGTTTCAGACTTGGTAAAAATTATTGGAGCTACCATCCAACAGCTCCTTGCTTCATTTTCCTCGTATTTTAAAATGTATACCATAGTTCTGGTCTTCCTACATCATCTGAAAAATGATGGAAATAAGTGAATGAATAAATGTTTATAAAGTATAGCAAGATCTCTGGAGAAAGATGTTATGTAAATAAGGTTTATAGTAATCCTGGCAGCCACTTGCAGTCTATTTTACATATTTTCCTTCCTCTCGTTTCTTTAATTATTTACTGAGCCACAAATATCTAAAATATCATAAAATCATTGAATATCAATCTGGAAGTGACCTTATCCATCTTAATATCCAACCTTCCGTGGTTCCGATTACAAATATGACTCATGGGAAAGTTGTGATTTGCTGAGAATTAGCCAGCTTCTAAGTCACAGAGTGAGAATTTGAGTATATTTTGGCTTCAGGTTCAGTGTTTTTTATTTTTTATTTTATAAAACATGGTCATAAATCCTGCCCTCAAGTAGCTTATAGTTGGGAAGCTACCTTAGACAGATTCATTTTTTTTTCTTCAACTTTTATTTTAAGTTCAGGGGACCATGTGCAGGACGTATAGGTTTGTTACACAGGTAAACATGTGCCACGGTGGTTTGCTGCACAGATCAACCCATCATCTAGGTATTAAGCCCAGCATCCATTAGCTATTCTTCCTGAGGCTCTCCCTCCCTGCACCACCCCTCGGACAGGCCCCAGTGTGTGTTGTTTCCCTCCAAGACAGATTCACGAAGGTGAATGTTCTTGTGGCCAGGCACTACAGCTCATGCCAGTAATCCCAGCACTTTGGGAGGCCGAGGTGGGCAGATCACCTGAGGTCAGGAGTTCAAGACCAGCCTGGCCAACATGGTAACAACCCATCTTTAGTAAAAATACAGAAATTAGCTGGGCGCGGTGGCACACACCTGTAGTCCCAGTTAGTCAGGAGGCTGAGGCAGGAGAATTGCTTGAACCCAGGAGGCAGAGGTTGTGGTGAGCCAAGAAGGAGGCATCAAGCCATTGTACTACAGCCTGGTGACAGAGCCAGACTCTGTCTGGGGGGAAAAAATGTTCTTGTCATGTGCTCATTGCATTTTCTTGATTTAATAAATTTCTTTCACTCTTGGTTCCTTCCCAATCTACAGTCGATGCTGCGAAAAGAAAAGCTGTGGAAACCGAAATGAGACTCCATCGGACCCAGTCATAATTGACAGGTAGGGGGAAAAAGTGATTTTTCAATCATTTTTGGTTCCTTTTCTTCATGAACCTCAACTCTGAGTACTGATCCATGGAGCTTTGCTGTCAAGTTGGTTTCATGTTATTTCAAGTCACTAAGCTCATCCAACAAAGGCCTCCTCATGCTGGCCTTTCTTGGAAGAAGCCAGAATCTTCCTTTGGAACACGTGTCTCTAAATCTGTGGTGGAGTCTTTTCCAGGTGCACCAGCTTCAGCCTAATAAGTAGTATGTGTGGTGCAGGATATAAGCGATGGCACCTCTCCTTTCGGGCAGGGTATGGTCTCAATCAGTTTTCTAGAAGAAGCAATGTGCCCCAAGTTAAGTGGCACCCACTTTATTATTCTCGGTGATTGCTGCTTGGCTGGAAGATTATCAATTCAGATTACGGTTTAGGGGATTATGGCAAGCTCTCTGCTGTGTTCAGGGAGATTCCTTTCTACCATGGAGGATTGCATTCTGTGTTCTATGTTATATTCAGAATGGGAAAGATTCTTTGGGACAAGACACTAATTCACTGAAATGTGATTTAGGCATCCTCAGCTGTCTGTTTTTTGTGATTGGAAACAGAACTTACAAACCAATGAAGAAATACCAAATTAACTTCCAGAAATCATGTAATTTTTAAGAAACCCCATATTCCCATCCCTAATTTTTTTCTCTTTCGTTAAAAAACGGAATAATTCCCTATTGCTTCTTTCTTTGGGTTTTCACATTTCTAGCCAGGTCCTGAAATGGATTGGAGAGACCACAGTCTCCAAAGTTGTTATTCCAATATTCCAACGAATTCTCAGTTGGGAGAATGGAACCTCTGGCATTCTTCCCAGAAAGCCAGCTTGGTTTCTTCGTGGAAAGTATAGCATAGCCTAGGAACTGAGGAGGCTGGAATTCTGATCTTGTCCTAGCTTCTGACCTTGGACAAAGCACTCAGCATCTTTGTTCTTCAATAATATAATGATGGGTTAGGAGGTGCAGTCACTTCTGTAGGCTTCAAGAGGCTACTGAAATATCAATGGCAGCTTTGCAGTGTTCTCTGAGATGCTTGAAGAGGATGATGGGCAAATATAAAATGTTTGTTGGATGTGTATAGTGTCTTTGCCATTTTAGAAGGTTCCAGTGAGCTGCGTTTTAGGGAGCTATTGGGGTTGCTCTGGTCTTTTTTGAAAGTACAGAGAAGCTTAAATATATAGAGTTGCAAGGACTCTTTGGAGTCAGTCATTTTCCTCATCTAGCTGAAAAATCTGAACGCTGAGCGGTGGCATGACTTGCCCGTGGTTGTGCAGCTGGTTGGGCAGAGCTGGCATTAGAACACAGCTGTCCTTACTTCCAGGCTGGGTGCCGTAACTCACGCCTGTAATCCCAGCACTTAGGAAGACCGAGGTGGGCAGATCACTTGAGGTCGGGGGTTTGCGACCAGCCTGGTCAACATAGTGGACCCCAGACTTTACTAAAAATACAAAAATTAGTCAGGCATGGTGGCACATGCCTGTAATCCCAGCTACTTGGGAGGCTGAGGCAGGAAAATCGCTTGAACCCAGGAGGCACAGATTGCAGTGAGCCAAGATCACGCCACTGCACTCCAGCCTGGGTGACAGAGACAGTGAGACTCTGTCTCAAAAAAAAAAAAAAAAAAAAAAAGAAAAAGAAAAAAAGGAATACAGCAGAACTGTCCTTACTTCCAGACTGTGCTTCTCTCCATGGCCACAACCTCATTCTCCCAGCACTTTTTCTGTCCTAACTGATGAGTTGGATCTGTTCATTTCTGTGTTTCCCAGGGATTCTCTGGGAGACTGGATGCATATGAGAGCAGCCTAGACCCTGTCCTTTCCGGCCTGTGGATTGAGCTCACTAATCTTGATCTAGTCTTTTCCACTATCTTTAGCTTCTCTTTTAAGAAGGTACTCTAACCTCATGACTGTTACATCCTTTTTCGTAATAAACACCCTGTAAACCGGCTTTAGAAATGTTTGCAAATCTGTAAATACTCACCTGCACCTTGCTTCTCATAAGTACACACCTTAATGGCTCTGCACTAAGCAGGAGCTCTTACTTTAAAGAACTACATCTCACTGCATTCACCGATAAAGTTGAATATGCTCATGTTTTCTTCCTATGTAACACACATATTACATGTACAAAAGAAAGTATCTTTGTGTCTATAGAAAGAAAAGATTTTCATATTAGGCGCCTTCATAGTTTGTGCTAGCATGCTTTAAATTCTTCTGAGAAAGTGGAAATCGTATCTTGGCTGCAGATTATGAGTTTTATGTGACTGTGGCATTTATTTTTACTATCCTATGTGCAATAAAATAGCCCAGTGATGTCTCTGCCTCACTTGAAATGTGCGTTACTTCCGAAATGTTGCATGTCTACACATGGAAACATACATACCAAAGGGTACTGTAAATAGTCCAGTATCAGGTTTTAAGTGAGCCCACCTTACTATAAACAGATCCATTTGTTTGGCTTGCTTATTGTAGGGCTTTTTTTTTTTAATTGAAATTTTAGGGTACATGTGCACAACGTGCAGGTTTGTTACATATGTATACATGTGCCATGTTGGTGTGCTGCACCCATTAATTCATCATTTAACATTAGGTATATCTCCTAATGCTCTCCCTCCCCCCTTCCCCCACCCCACAACAGTCCCCGGTGTGTGATGTTCTCCTTCCTGTATGATGAGTTCATGTCCTTTGTAGGGACATGGATGAAGCTGGAAACCATCATTCTCAGCAAACTTTCGCAAGGACAAAAAACGAAACACTGCATGTTCTCCCTCATAGGTGGGAATTGAACAATGAGAACACATGGACACAAGAAGGGCTTTTGTTTTAAGATAAGAGTTCTCTCACTGAAACCTTGTCTCATCGCTCCTGAATGTCTTTCGGGTTTACCTTAGCCTTCTTGCCTTCATTTTCAGAAGTAAAATGGCATGAAGCAACCTGAGCACCATAGTGGGATCCCATCTCTACAAAAACTAAAAAAGCTAGCCAGGTGTGGTGGTGCACACCTGTGGCCCTAGATACTCAGGAGGCTGAGGTAGGAGGATCACTTGGGCCCAGGAGGTGGAGGCTGCAGAGAACTGTGATCGTGCCACCATATTCCAGCCTGGATGACAGAGGGAGACCTGTCTCAGAAAAGAAAAGAAAAAAAAGGGCATAAAGTCAGGTTTCCATTTGTTGAAGGTGGGAATGGTGCTTACGGTATCCAGGGGTTTGGATCAGCCTTGCGTCTGGTCTCTGCGTCCATCTGCCAACTCCGTGAGTTCCCTTACAAGCCCCAAATGGGTGCAATGTAGTCTATTTTGGATTTCCTCTGTGTAAATATAGAACTCTGTTCCTTGTCCTTGTTCCTATAATGCCAACTAATTATCTCCTCCCCCTTCTCACCTAACCTTACCAGATGCAGTTAATTTACACTGTCTGTCTTTGCGTTTTCTCACACAACAGGCACACTCCACTCTGGCTCAGAAGAAGTCTGTTTATTCCCTTGAAATGTGCATGTTCCAGGGAGAGGGAGAGGATGGTTCCCCAACTTTTCACCACCAAGGACCCCTTAAGCTTCTTCCTTGGTGAACACAGGGTTTTGCAGGACTTTGCCTTCCAAACTGCTATGGACAAATAATAATGCAGCTATAATTCCATTTTTATTAATCAAAAACGTATAACAAAATGGGAAGGTAAAACATCTCCTCTCAGAAATGCCCTTGATACCATCAATGGCCAATTAAGAGTTTTTGATTGGGATGAGATAATCAGTGTTACCACACTGACTTGGGAGACTTCCAGCTCAAACACAAAACAACTTGGCTTTCTGGTGAGTCCATGTGACCATATCCCAGCAGATCTTCTGTTTCTAATAGGCTGCTTGAAATACGAAAAATCGCTTTCACTACTTTGTGGCCCTTTAATTGAAAACCATTGGAGTTTACAATAGGGGATCCTCCATTAAGGACTTAGTTCTCCACTTCTCAAGACTTAGCCCCAGAGTTGGAGTTTTTTCCCCCAATACTAAATTACTCCCTGCCTTAATCTCTCTAGAAACATAAATTTATTTTCTATTTTCATTTTTCTGTTCAGTATGCTTTTGTGAATTCTTGGGCAACTATGCCCCTCTCCAAAAGCCTAGACCAAAACACAGCCTAGCAGGACTTGCTGCTGAATCAAGGGTCTCCTGATTAATTTTTAGTGTAGAAATCCAAAGTCCCCATCAGGGGAAAAAACCACAAAACAGAACAGAACAAAACAGAAACACTAATGAAACATCATTCTTACTGTGGCCTTCAGCTGAGCTCTTGTCTATAAAGGCCTGTGTGGTAAATAAAAATAAAAGGCTCAAATGGATTTGCATTTGTGTTTTAGAGGGAAGCTCTAATTCAAACTTGGTTGTTATGGGCTGTGTTCTTTTCAAACTCTCTTCTCTATCTGGCAGGTTCTCTGACGATCCAGTGAGCCTCTGGGGGGCTCAGGATAATCTGGTGATCTGTGAGAAGAGGACTTTAGGGACAGTCTGACTAATGTGGGAGAAGGAAGATGAGTCCCTATTGTTCCTGTCCTTGTCAGCCCCATAAAAAGTCAGATGGATAGAGAGGGCAATAATTTATTTTGAATCTTCGTAGGCTACCCATGTGCGTACTGGTAGGGTATTTTCTAGTAAATAAATAAAGAGGAGGTCCAACCTATTTCTCACACGCTAAATATCCCAGTCTTTTGTCCCTGGACATTGGTCTCATATATTTCTGAGCTCTGTTCCCAGGAGGACCATTTTAAGTGTTGATGTGTTTTTGTTTATTTTCTTTCTTGAGAAACCAAACAAACAACACAATGACCTTCATTCAAAAGGTTTATTCAAAAAGATCTGAATAAACTGAAGTTTATTTGCCCATGAAGGGTTCTCCTGACACCATTTTCTTTTTTAAAAAATTAATTGTGGTAAAATACATATAAAATTTACCATCTTAGCCATTTTAAGTGTGTAGTTTGGTGGCATGAAATACATCCACATTGTTGTGCAACTATCACCACCATTCATTTATATAACTCTTTTCATCTTGCAAAACTAAAACTCTGTACCCACTGAACAATTCCCCACTACCCGTCTCCTACCCCCGCAAGCACATGGAAACCACCATTGTATTTAATGTCTCTATGAAGTTGACTACTCTAGACACCTCACGTAAATGGAACCAGGTAGTGCTTATCTTTTTGTTTCTGGCTTATTTCACTTAGCATCACCTCAAGGACTCTCCATGTTGTAGCATGTGTCAGAATATCCTTTCTTTTAAAGGCCAAATGATATTCCGTTGTATGGATGAACCACATTTTGTTTGTATATTCGTCTGGCAATGGGTTGCTTTGACCTTTTGGCTACTGGAAATAATGTTGCTGTGGACATGAGTATATGAGTACCTGTTTGAGTCTCTGCTTTCAATTCTTTGGGGAACATACCCAGAAGTGGAATTGCTGGACTAGATGGTAATTACATTTTCATTTTTAAAAGGAACTTCCATATTGTGCATAAGCACAAGCAAGGCTTCCAACTTCTCCACATCCTTACCAATCCTTGTTTATATTTTATTTTATTTTATTTTTTTGATAGTAGTCATCCTGATGGGTGTGACTCTTGTTTTCTTCTTCCACCATCTTGGTGTGGGTATTGTCATCTGCTGGTTTCACCTTTGGTCCAGGCTTGTCATTGGCCCTTCTCCTGCTGTCTAACACAGTCTCTTCCTGCCTTTCTCTGCCTCATGAAGTAACTTGTTCTACTGAAGCATATGTTTGGATCTACTTTCCCCTGGGCCGTACTTGTTCTTCCTGTCTCTCAAGTGTGTTTCTTAACTCCAGTGAAGTGCGATTTGTGGGACGGAAACTTTTAGAGAATCATGGTAGAGATAGAATTTGGGTAGTAGTTGGAGTTGAGCTGCAGGTGAGATTTATATCTACAAGGTGACGTATGTCTGCAAGGTGACCATTACCTCCCATTCCTCGGAAATGGGTAAACCAGATATATCAGTAGTGTTATCTCCTGAGTGAAGATTTCTGGCTCTGAGAAGGATAGATAAAACCAATAATAACATTTATCTAACAATTAATTGGCACTTATTGTATGTTGGGCATTGTGCTATGACATTTGTGCTAGTAAAATCATCTTAATTCTCAATGGTTGATAAAAGTCTCAAGTTTGAAGGAGTTATGTAACTCAGCCAAGGTCACATAGCCAGTTTGCTTGTGAAACTGGAATTTAGTCAATAGGTAGAAATTACAGAGAGAAAGATTTTGGTGTAATAGGAAGAAAAACTGCAGAGTTAAGAGCTGTGAAGATGGAAGGGCCTGGTGGGTGTGATCTGGAAGAACTGATAGGAACACTGGAGGGGGAATCTGTTATTGTGGAAGGAGTGGGTGCTGTTGGCCCCTGAAGTAGCATTTAACTTGAGATTGTGTGAGTCACATTCAACTGTGTGACAGATTTGACAGAATGTCCATCCTCGGCGTGACTGAGGAGTGGATAGTGCAGTGCAGCAAAAGGGCCTCGGATTAGGACCAGAAGACCTGTGTTGGGCCCAAGAACATTTCACTAGTTAGCTATCTAATGTTACAGAGGTCAAGAGCCTCCTCTCTGTGACTCAGTTCCCCTATTTGTCAAATGAAGTGCTTTGGGTTCATGGGTGACTAATACACTACCTTCCAATTCTACTTTCTCTGATTCTTGCTGAGGCCTCAAGTTTGGGGGTCAGGTATGCTAATTCATCCCTGCTCCTCAATAATTTACCGGAGTTATTAATATATATGTCTTCTCTGTCCAGACTCTTCATCTCCAGTATGGGAGAACCCAGTACTGTGAAGAGCCCACAGAAACCTGGCCCCAGGCTATTAAAAAAAATTTCTTTTTGAGACAGGCTCTTGCTCTGTTGCCCAGGTTGGAATGCAGTGGTGCAATCATAGCCCACTGCAATCTCAAACTCCTGGGCTTAAGTGATCCTCCCTCCTCATCCTCCCAAGTATCTAGGACTACAGTTGTGCCACTATGCCGGGCTATCTTTTAAATTTTATTTTTTTGTAGAGACAGGGTCTCACTCTGGGCCCAGTTTGGTCTCAGGAATTCCTGGCCTCAAACTATCCTACTACCTCAGGCTTCCACAGTGTTGTGATTACTGGTGTGGGCTGCTGCACTCAATGTATTTTTTTTTTTAAGTGAAAATTTCATTCTCTCAGGGAGGGTTTAGATTTTCTCAATAAAAACCACAGATTATCTATCCAATGTGAATGCATCATTCTTTCATGATCTCATTCCGTTGTTTCCTAGCAAAACCTTTGTTAGTTTCTTGGCCATTTCAGGGAATTACAGGTAAGATAAAGGACTCTGTAGCTGGGAAAAAGTGTCCCTATGGATTGAAGCTCTTCATTGGAGGACACTGGAGCCAAGTGGTAAAAAAGAAACAAAATTTTGTTCGAGAAAATGACTCTCCTCCTCATGATTGCAGAGGTGGTGCTGGAAAGTTCACTCATGTAATTGGGTTAGTATTTAAGAATTACACTTATTCTGCTTGCCTGGCCAGCTTCCTGACACTGGAGTTTTAGGATTTGATGCAAATCAAATCCTTAGTCGTGTATAAATGGGCTCGTTCCATCATTCATTCACTTGCTAAGTCCTTATGTTATTCAGTCATCAAGCAAAAAATATTTGTGAATGGCAGTGAGAGATCAGCAGCGAATACAATAGGCATGGTTCCCGCTCTCATGGAGCATACAGCGTAAATAAGCACACAAAAAATACGTATTCACAAAATACAAAAAGCTCTCCGAAGACTAGGTCAATGGATGGTACCTAGGTCCCAACATTCGAATCCCATCCTTTCTTTCTCTGTGAATCCCCCTGTCCGGAACACAGATCTTGAATTTTTCCTCTTTTCTCCCTTTGTATACACTATTTCCACCTGGAATACCCACCACAAGCACTCTGCCAATATAAATCCTATCCCTTTTTCAAGACCTAGTTCAGATTCTACTTCCTCAAAGATATTAGTTCTTGTAGTGAAAATCTTTTCCCTTGACATTTATCACAAATTCTTACTCTTGTTCAGGGGTATGGGCATTATTTATTTATTTTACCTATTTCGTGCTTGCTTTACATTTCCAATTATATTATAATTCTTAGATATCAGACATCACATGGCATTTAAATCTTGATGCCAATATTTATTAGCTGTGTGATGGTGTTAATAATACCTCTCCCCTTAAGTTGTTGTGCTAAATACATTCATGTAAGGTGCCCACATAGTGCATGATACAACAGATGCTTTAAAAAAAGTCAGGGCAATTATCCTGTATCTCACATTGCATCTTTGTAGTGGCTTGGATGCTACAGACACTCCATAGATATTAATTCACAGATTAATCTCTGACTGCCAAGCATTGAAGAGTTTGGGTGATTGAGTCTACTGCCAGTTCATATAGGACAATTCCTGTGACTTCCTGCATTCTACAACCTCTTAGCGATCTTATGTCCAGTGGCAGATAGGTACAGAACAGGCCCAAGAACAGATATCTAGGGTTGTAAAGCAGAATAAAATTCTTACTTATATTTAGTAAGTATTTATCAAGGGCCTATTATGCCATGGACCTTGCAGTGGGGTCTTAGGGATAATAAGATTGAGTAAACAGAAAGCTTTCCCATTAAGAGCTTGGAGTTTATATGGAAAAACAAAGGATGTGTAGATATCCTTTGCATAGACTAGGATGCTATGCAAAATGCAAAAAGTACCATAAAAGAGATAAAAGGATAAGCACTCTGGAAGATCTGAAGTGCGGAGATAATTTCCATCATGGCAGAGATAGGTGGGGTGATGGCTATACCTCGAATATTTACAAATTGGGGCAGAATGGCCTTCTAGGAAGAAAGTGTGTTGGAAAAGGCACCTGGAAAGGAAAGAATTTCCTAAACCTGCACATAGTTTTAGAGGTACTTGGGTACATGTGACGAGAGACAGTAAGAGAAGTTGGAGAGATTATTTGGGCCCAGATTTTGGAGGACTTTATATGCCCATACAAAAGTATTTTGACATTACTTTGTTAGCGATGGAAGATGTAGAAGGATTTTGAGTTGTGCCATTTCATGATCAGGCTGGTATTTTGGAGACAGAACTTTGAGGATGGATTGGAACATGGAGAATGGAAGTAGGGGAACCTGCTAGAAAGTTTTTTCCCTGCCAGATACTCTGGTATCAGCCACTGGAGGGAAAGGTCTTTTTTCTCACCTCTTCACACCCTGCTTCCCCTCCCCCAGCACACTCACCACTCCAAAGCTTTTGTTGATGTTGCCGCTTGTCCCCATGAGTACGTGTCTTCTTTGTTCACTGGGAAGCTCAGATTCATTGCGGGGAACTGCTGTTATACCATCTGGCAATCTGTGAATTTTTTAGTAGCCTGGATGTTTGTGAGAAAGCAGAAACTCAGGCCAGAATCCAAACCATTTATAAGTAATTCTTTAGAAAAGAGGGAGAAAGACGAAAACCAACTCACCATGACTAGCATTCTCTCATTCAAAGTGCTTGCCCAAGACCTCTGGATCAATTCCCAGTGAAAATCAGAGGACCAACTGGATGGACGTGGTTATTAGAACAGATGATGCCATGCTTCAACTTCCAGCTTCTTCCTTATGAAATTGTGTGATGTGATTAAATAGCAGATTTGCTAGGAAGTGGATGGGTCAAGGAGCAGAAGAACAGTACTCTAAAATTGTGCTGTGCTGGAAATAAGAAGTAGGTATTTGTTTTTAGAAAAGACATCTCTTTGCAAACTTATCCAGCTGGCTTTAGGAGGAACAAAGGTCGTGGAGCCTGGGAAAGATTAGGATAAGACTATATATTTATCCAAAGAGGACCTCCCAAAACTGCCAGTTATTATCTTCTTCTATTGGAGTGAACAGGGCTGGATAAGTTCTTTGGGCCCATTTTTGACCCAGCTAAGAGAGTGGCATGCCAAATGGTTGGGAAATGAGACCTATATACCAAGGAGAGAAGGAAGTTATCCACAGATGATTCGCAGATTTAGGATTCTACCCACTAGGGATTGACTAGATGATTTGTTTGCGAATTAGAATCTTGTAAGAATTGTTCTTTGTTGCTGTCTTCTACACATTGACCTAGAGTTGCAGCTGGAGGGGACATTTGATCAGAAAGAGAAGTAGCTGAGTGATGAGAGGCTCCAAGCTTGTCAGCCAGCCTAGACCAAAGCCTATAAGGAGTCAGCATTTCATCAGTCTAGACTGGCTCATTGATGAAATGGTTGTCCTCCAAGAAGTTTTGTTGTAACCTCAAAATTTCCAGTGAAGGCAAACTTTCCTGGTCCCCTCGAGACCACCAAGGAGCTGGAGCTGGTGAGAAATGCAGCAGCTGCCCCCATTTAACAAGAGCTTTTGAGAGGGAAATAAGGGGAGAAATTCCTAACTCCACGGATGTGATGACAGAAATGGAGGAATTTGCAGAGATGGAACAAACACTTTGGGACTAGTACCTTAAAAAGCCCCTAAGTAGCCAGGACTTTTAAAACAGAGGACTCACAAGATGGCAGTGAGATGAGGGCTGGGGCTATTGTGTCTCTGAATGCTTCTATTTCCATGTAGCCCCTCCAAAAAAGCCCCAAGGTGTGGGTCTCTCTGGAGATAAATGGTGAGCTGTTTTGGTGCTTTATGCACAATTGTACAGGACATTTTTCTAATTAATTGAAAACGACGTGCACAACTCATTTTAGCTACAGACTGGAAATGTTATCCCACATTACAGAGCAGAAACCCAATTGAAGATCAACAATTTTGGGAGCTGTGTAGCTGGCCAAAGACTCAGTTGGGATAAGAGACAAGGTATCCAGCTCCCAGAACAAAATCGAGGTGGTCTCTGCAAGGAAAGGGACAAGAGAAACAGTGGGATTCACATAGAATAGATTGTGGCTGAATTACAAGGCTTCTAACTGTACTGAAGGCTTGGAGGATTTCCTGAAGGTCTGAGGATTCATTACCTTTCAAGCACATGGCTTGGGGCAAACTGATGGCATTTCACTTTACTATAATCAGTGATTTTGTGTGGAGCCTGTTTCTTACATGCAAAAAGTATTCTCTCACTTCAGAAGATACACATAGGAAATAGATTTCTGACACATGAGCTGAGGACTCAAAGTGGCTGCTGTTCTTGTAGTATGATAATAACCACAGTAAAATTTGGCATCAGCACGGGTTTGCTTACTCCTCTGTCATTCATTCATTCATCCATTCATTCAATTCTTCCCTCTCATTGAATCTAGAGTTGCCATATTTAGCAAGTAAAAACTAGGATGCTACTTAAATATAAATACCAGATAAACATGAATGATTTTTTTAGTATGTATATCCAAGTTAAATTTGCATTTCAGATAAACAATCATTTTTCAGCATAAGTTTGTCCCATGCAATATTTGGGATATACCTCCACAGAAAAATAATTCATTGTTATTTGAAATTTAAAATTAACTGAGCATCTTGTATTTTATCTGGCAAACCTATCTGAATCCTGGTTTCTTATGTGAGGAGTTGGAAAGCAGTGGCCCTTTCTCAGCCTGTGGAGGGGGAAGAGAGATGTTGTGTGGCCATAACTGACTTCAGACCCAATCAGCATATGCTATGGCTCCTTTATTTTAGTGATTTTTAAATCTTTACCTGGGGCTCATAACCTTTGCCTTCTGATCTATACAGAAGCTGATTCACACGTAGGAGATTCACTTAAAAGGCAGACAGGTGAGCAGAAAGCATTATTGGGATCCATCAGCATTTTCCCCTCTTCTTTGTCAGTTTCTCCTCACAGACTCCCTCCTCATGTTCAGTCTCTTCCCTCCTTTTTTGTCACCTCTCAATGCCTTGGTCTCATGGTCTGTCTAGACCCTGCTTTATGGACTTGTCACCTCCCCTGGATTGTTTTTGCTTAGTGTCCACTGTCCAGCCCCTGTGCACTTTAATTCTGACTTCCCTAAAACCCTTTGTTTAGCATTCTCCAAGTCTCCTTCTCCAGCACTTTAAACATGTGGGATTGTTTAGGCTCGAGTGATAAATTGCACAGAGTTAAAGGTGAAGGAGAAGCTCCACTCTCTCTTCTTGGTTGTGGCTGACGCTTGAACAAGAGCCAGACTTTACTTCGATTTAACGCTAACAGTCCGCTCGATACTTACCCAAGCAAATGTAGAGTGGCTAATGCATTTTATCCTCCAGCTGGCAAGGCACAGGATGAAGAGTAACCACCCTTTAGACCTGTATCTGGATAATGTAGAGAACTGGAGAAAAAAAAATCTGACTTTGAAAATGTGATGTCGTGTAGATTCAACCTACATAGCAAAAGGGACAGCAAAGTTAACCCCACCCCTGCTTCCTCTACTTGTCTTTAATCCACCACCATTGTCTCCATCCCCTTCTTTTTCCTTTGTTTACCTTTCCTCTTCCTGCCTTCAGTTTTTGGGCCTCCCTTGCTTTCTATCCATTGCCCTGCATTTCTAGTGGGTGTCTAACCTTGATTCCTACTCAGGCAATGAGAAACATTTCCCTTAGCGACTTGCACCCTGGTGCCTTTCTCCTAAAGACCTCCCTTTCTTCTTTTCATTCCCCGATGAAGAATAAAATGCTGGTTTCACTGTAGGTGTCCCATTTATAACTCTGGGCTGGCGGTTTTCACTTCAAGTGGCGTCCATTGAGCTTGTAAATTGTATTGGATCAGTGAGCCCATAATGAGACCTCCAAACCCAAACACTGGAAGTCTGCTGGGATTTTATTGTTCATAAAGCTCCTTCCCCGGGGAGGGATAGAGTCATTAGGTGTGCACTGTGTTTAATATTTGGTCATGACAGGAAGCAGTAATTTTCTATTTTTATGGTGGCTTCTGAGTTTTTAAAGCATTTGTCTAATTCCCATCACTGAGACTGGAAGCAAATTAACTAGACAGTGAGGAAAGCCTGAGTAAGGGTGGTTTGGGTTGGGGCACATCTTTCTTATCTTTCTCCATCCTGTGCCTGACCTGCTCCACCTTTGATGGTTGGCACCTGCCTACACATGGGCACACCTTATCCTTTGAGCCCCCTGAACTCTTCCTGTCAGGTAGAAACATTCCTTCTCTGCAGAGAAGGTGGAGCTGTGCCTCCCCACTTCTCAACCCCTGGGAAAGCAGGCAGTTTTGAGCATGATGTCCATTCTGAAGATTTTCAACTTAATCCAGCTTAAAGGTAGCTCCAAGTTGCAGTGTAAGTTCTCCCTGCCTCTTGGGGTGGGAGATGGCTTTGGCTTAGAAACTTCTGAAACAGAGACAGACAAGTTGCTCTCAGAAACCAAGCACCCAGAGACCAGGAGAGAAAGAGCTGTTGGTGAGTTTGCATGGTCACCATCAGTTGACCAGGCTGACCTGTGATGTCAGAACAAGAGGTGGGAATTTCTGAGTACATGGGCTCAGCTGCTGTCTAGTCACATCTGTACAGGGCCATAACCAGCAGATGATCCTATAGGTCCTGGGGCCAATGATCTGTTGGATTCTGGCTGCTGGCCTACCCTGACTGTGGGATTTGCAGTGCCATGGAACCAATATTCTATTATGTAATTCCAAGGACAAGGAGGAAGAAGCAGAAGTCCAATTGCTTGGATTGAGATCTATTCTGTCTGTGGAATATCTTGGTCTCTTCAGAGCGTTTTCCCTGGTAGAAAACTAACATTGAGGCTTCAGAGACCTGCTTCTTGGGGATGCCAAAGCCAACCTTTTTTTTTTTTTGAGTTTTACAGGCCCAGTGGGAACCAGCTGAGCAAAATTATCATGCTGGATCTGGCCCTTAAAGCTGTGGAACTAACTCTTAGCTGTTAATCAAATGGGATGACCTTGAGAAATACTTCCTAAAAGCTTCTTGGCATTTGATGCCTGAACTTGTTGCACATTGGATAATTCCAGGGAAAGTTAAGAAACCTTGGCCTGAAGGCAGAAAGCCTGACCCAGGGAGTAAATAAAAGCCTCTCCTTTCCAAAGTGAAAATCATGCATACCTATCCTCTGAAATAGTATGTTGCCTGCAAAGTGAGAGGATGCCTAATACCTTCCCAGTGTTTGGGGGTTCTTTGCCTTTTTTTTTTTTTTTTTTTTTTTATTGCCATGGATCCCACTGATGGTCCAGTGAATACAATGGACCCATAATACTAATGTGGCTTGTTTACATTTAAAATGGAAGGAAATGGTAAATGTTGGTTGGGGGTCAGTGAAAATAAGATGTAATGTTTATCCAAGCTCAGGGACCTCTTCACACTCCAAATGCATGAGAAGTGCTACCAACTACACATCAGCACACGGTGCTCTTTTTCTTCCTATTCCATCAGCAGCCCTTTGTTTCTCTCTCACTTCTTTTTTTTTGAGATGGAGTCTTGCTCAGTCACCCAGGCTGGAGTGCAGTGGCACAATCTCGGCTCACTGCAACCTCCGCCTCCCGGGTTCATGCCATTCTTCTGCCTCAGCCTCCTGAGTAGCTGGGACTATAGACGCCTGACACCACGCCCGGCTAATTTTTTTTTTTTTTTTTTTTTTTTTGTATTTTTAGTAGAGATGGGGTTTCACCATGTTAGCCAGGATGGTCTCGATCTCCTGACCTCGTGATCCACCTGCCTCGGCCTCCCAAAGTGCTGGGATTACAGACATGAGCCACCGCGTCCGGCCGTTTCTCTCTTACTTCTTTACAGTCTCTCTGCTCCCTTCTACTTGCAGCCTTTTCTCTTCTTCCTTTCCTCTCATTTTATGTCTGTCTTTTTTTTCTGTCTCTCCTCCCTCTGGCTCCCATCTTCCACTCCCTAAGTTATCCAGAGCTTCTAGGGAAGCCAACTGACAGCGTGCTTGTCAGTAACTTAGCCTTGGCTGTTCTGTGGCTCTCAATGGGCCATTTGTTTGCTCCTGCGAAGGGAGAGAAAAAAAAAAAAACTTTTCCAACCTATGAGGTCCGTTGTCTCCCTAGGGATCCTTGTTTGAATCTTTGCTGTAAGATTTTTTTTTTCCTTCTATGAAGTACCAAAGAAATAATTGCCTTATCGTTAACAAACAGAACCTGGCTCTTATCACCCCATACCCCAGAGCCTTGGTGCGAAAGTTGGGCTGCGCCAAGTGCATGCATTAACCTGATACGCGAAACCCCCTTTCAAAGCCAGTCCTTGGAGGATGCTCATTGAGGGCGTTTTTGTCGAGAGGTGGCACAGTGAAACCCCTTCTTATAGCTCTAGGTGCCAAAAGAGATTGGCTGGCGTTTACACCCCTGTTACAACAAAAAAGAGTGTATTTTTCTGGGAGGAACATTTTCAGATTGTTCTAATTGTCACTGGCAATGAGCAATACTTGGAACTTGAGTCTTGCAGTGGCCTTGCTGGAGTTTCCAAGCATCCTTTGGCACAGGAGATTTTTTGGTTGTATGGGTATGCTGTGGCCGGTAAAAGCAAGCGGACTATAAAAAGGATGAGGGCTGGCTGCCCACATGGCCCTGTGAGAGGACAGAACATGCCCTAGAACTCAGACCCAACTGTCAGCATGGTTCTGCGTTTGTTTTGGGACCCCAGAGACCTCCTGTGAGGGCTCATTTGCATCTAGGAACAGCCCCTTTGCTCTGACTTGTTCATGGTCTATTTTATCAAAAACAGAGATCTTCCTCTGGAAACTGGGTAGATTGTGGCATCTCACTTAAATCAATGGTATCATTTTCAGGCAAACCGACTGTAAGGCTGCTCTCTTTCTCTTACCATCTAGTCACAGAGCAACACAACTTCTGGGGTCTTTTGGGTATTTAGACAGGGTGGGCACATGAGGGACCTGGAAAATCTTCACTTTGAGGTCAACATGAATTGTGATCCTTTAAAAAATGTTTTCCCTTTGAGTCTTTTTTTTTTTTTTTAAATAAGGGGACTGCATGGCAAAACACACACGTAAAAGATATACAGTGTACAGGCATTAGATACTGACAATGAGTCTGGAAAGGTCCTTGGGGAAGGTTGTGTTTGGGGTGGGGGGAGAAATCCTTCTCTTCAGCGTTTCCCAGCATTCCTTCTAGACATCTGGTTCTCTCATTTTCTCTCTGACTTCTGCCTTTTAAAAAATATAACTCCACTATTGTCATTATTTTTTATTATTTTTAACCATTTAACTAAATGTGCTGAATGGTGATCCCACATGACATCTTGTCTAAAACTCATTTGACCTTCAAAAGTGATGACCTTAACCAATTTTTACTGGCAAGTGTCTTGACTTTATTACTCAGGAGACAGTTTATTTTTATTCCTTAAAGAGAGAGTGAGCAAGAGAAAGCGAGGTTTTCTTGAGATCAAAAGAAGGGAGGGAAAGAGTGAGGAGGTTCTACCCACCCATCTCTCTACTGGAGCAACATTTTTCTCTTTCCCATCCTGTTTTATTATTATTCTCAGTGTCCTTATAAAAGCATAAATAAATAAGGTGAAATCTCACCCATGCCTCCTGTAGCCACATTTCCCTCTTAAAGCATTCAGGCCCTCCTCTGCACTTTGAAATTGGATTGCTGAGTTGGAGTATTGTCTAATGTAACCATTGTATTATTTTCTTTGGCCCACTAAGTAGAGGCCAAGTTGGTTAAATTTTAAAAGACGAATGAATGTGTGAATAAATGAATGAATGAATGCAACTGGGTTGAGTAGTTCTGCAATCCAATTTTAGTAGACATAGGTCTGAGTTAGAAGAATTAACTTTGCTGATATCTGCCTCCTGCTGGTCTGTATCACTAAAATCAAATATGATGAGGCACAGTGGTGTGCAGTTGGTAGACTCTGGGTAGAGGCCCCAAGTGGAATGAGCACAATGAATGAATCGCTGCTCTATGCTCAGATGAAGTGGAGTGAGAAAAATCAGTAGAATAGAGTAAGACTGTGTTACCTCCTTCTCCCTGCACTAAAGAGCTGGTTTAGGTTTCTGGCATCATAAATCTCAAAGACCTCTGAACTACTGGTAGACAAGAACACTTAAACTTTAGCATCCTACCTGGGAATGAAATAATTTTAACCTTTCTAGGTTATTTGAGGTGATGTGTTGGGAAAAACATTAGGGCCTTGATCTAGAGCATTTTTCTTTTTTGGAGTGGAGCTTCTTTAGATGGCAGCAGGGGTGAGGGCATTGTGGTGCTGGGGAGGCACCACATCAGGTCAGGGCTAAGGAGCTGCTATCTGCTTAAAGCTGCTGCCCTCAGGGTCTCTTCTGTCTTGAGAATGTAGGCTTCATTGGCCTAGGCTTTGCCACATGTCAGGAAATGCAGTGATGGTTGGACAAAGGCTTGACCAAGTCACCAGGAGTTTGTGAAGAAGCAACCTTCATTATAGACCAGGCTAAAAAGAAAATCTCCTTTGTGTATGTAGATTAAAGTCTGGATTGCTGGAGCATTAATAAATATCATTTATACCATTTGCAACAAGAGTGACTGGCTTATAGCAGTTGGAGTCTCAGAGTTAATCTCCATGTCGCCCTATCCGAATGTTCTTACTCTCATACCATCCCAAGTTATTGAAGGCAAACAAGGCTGTTGATTCAGTTAATCAACTACTTGGTCAACCCACAAATGCATAGCGAGCACCTAGTTGCACTCAGCACTGTGGTAGTAATGTGGGGGTGGTGAGAGGATGTGAAAACTGCTGGTTAAAGATGAAAGGGCATGCCCTTGTGGCAGGGAAGAGGAGGATTTATGCATTCTTGATTCTATCCAGGCTTATTTGTGTGTCTATGAACTCGTAAGACACACTGCATGTCTCTGGGGCTCAAACTTAGCAGTGACTTCTGGAAGTCATGTTGATATTGTTGCTGGATTGTTTTTTCTTCTGTGGTCACTATTATTTTCTTGGCCTACCCATCACAAAACAGAGGTCACAGCACCATGACCTTTTCCTGGTGGAATGGACTGCTTAAGAAGTCACATGGCCAAGTTTCTATCGGGGGTCCACATTTGTTTCCTCCACTCTTTTAATCAGAATGCTCATTTAATTCTATTCCAGCACCTGTTCAGCAATTAACACCCTACGATTTGCATCTTACCCTGACATTTGCTATCTTTCCAATTAGTTTTTATATCAGTATAATTAGGTAGGGTTATTACAGTGCATCAAGCAGGGTCATGGTTATTCCCAAGCCTTTAAGCGCTTTCCCAGATTTGTTTAGGGAAGCCACTAAGGGCAAATGGTTGATTAGGATCACTGTTTTTCTTCTTCATTCAGATCAGGAGAAAACTGTTTCCCCATGTGGCTCATGAAAGATCAGGGAAATATGTCAACCTATAAGAATTAGTATTATGTAGTTCACGACTTTTGGGCAAATTTACAGAGGATTATAAATAAGGTGTACAAGGTGAATGTACTGCAGGCATTTTCTATGCTGGGATCATGACAAGGTCCTCTCCTTGCTTGCTTTGGGTGATCAGTGGCAAGGACAAAGAGAAAATGTTAAGCAAAATCGAAACCCTCAAAGTCAACTTTTCAGTATTCTTGTGTTTCTGAAAGAGAAATAAATGCTTTCTTCCTAATAGTGCAAAGGAGGAAAGAAAAGGCAAATTCACATTCAGCCAGTATTTGTATTTAAACTTAACTTTGATTTTGTAATTTTTACCCACCTTGGGAGTACCTGAAGAAACAAAACCAAAAAGTCTCCACCAAAATAATACTAATACTAATACTACTACTAATAATAAAAGTCAGAGGGCAGAAGCTTTGTGAGATCCATTGGCGTATCTCTTTATCATATCCTGGATACTTGGAACAATGCCTATATTTATAATATAAGCAGGAGGGAATTGTTGCCTGTTATTAAGTGGAGTGTCCAGAGTGAATCTTTGATAAGTTAAGATTTAAAATATATGCCATTCATTAATATTATATATTATAATGTGTATATATTATTTCTCCATATATGCCTTATCAAATTCATAGAGTTTTCTCATGTAGGTATAGGTTATTCATAAATGTAGAAGTCAAATTTCATTTCACCTAATACAAAAGTCCTGGAATTTTGAGAGTTGATAATTGTTGGAAACAGACGAGGGCTTTGGACTCTTTTGGAAGAGCTTGGGTTTTGGTGGGCCCAGTATTGTCTGTAGTGGTGTCTGACTTCCATGGTTTGAAGGAAAGAGCCTGATGGTTTGGGAAGGTGTTATAGCAATATCCGGATGCTGCCTCTGATACAGTTGTTGGAGAAACAATGCCATGATTGGTGGGGGATGTAATAATGCCAGATTCCTCAGGGAGAGAATTTTACACTGTCTGATTTCATATCGACAAGGTTTTCTTTTACCTGTGATACAAGATAGCATGGAGTCATCTTGTTGTGTCTTGCCTTGATTTTTTTTTTTTAATAGTGGGTGGAAATGTGATTTGAGAGTAGTGTGGATCAGAAAGCCAGGAAATCCACATTGTTATAACTGGAGCACCTCAATTTGCTATTTGGGGGTACCTGAAATGAAAAATTCCAAGTACTGAGTTGGGATGCTCTGAATGTTTCTGCCTTAATTAAGGAGAGAAGAGAGTTTTGCAGGATGGAGGGAAAAGACAGATGATTAGAACCGCCTGATATAGCAGAAGTGCTTCCACACTGCCTTGATATTCCTTCTTCAATGCACTCCACTTAGAGCAGGCACCCAGCAAGTATTAGTTAAAGGGATGATGGAGCCACTGGGAAGACCACAGGAACTCACGAGGGCAGTGTCAGTGGGAGAAGCAGGAGGAAAGAGTGTGGCAAGGTGTGATCTAGTCTCTTAAAGGAATATGGGAAGAAATAGAGCTGTTTTGCCCCTGGCTGTGATGGAAGTGATAAAAACTAATGGGGACGTCATCGTCATCAGTTAATTCACATCTATTAACTGGAACTGTATATTTCAGTGTGAAGTTTGGGGTCAGACGTCCTTTGGATTTTAATGTCCCTTTAGTGAGATACTCCTCCCAAAACCAGCACTTCTTAACCCCCTTCCAGACTTAATTTTCTTCCTAACACTCTTCATCAACTAGGATGCCATATATTTGACTCATTTACTTGTTGATTGTCTATATTTCCAATCCCCCACCAACTCCCACTACTCTGCTACAGGTGGGCAGGGATTTTTATCTTTGTTTATCCTTGGCATCTAGAATAATGCCTAACACCTAGTAGGTATCGATGAGTATTTGTTTAATGAATGGATAACAGAAGGCCTGCACCATGGAAGACTTTGTTTGATGCTTCACAGAAAAGGTCAACGGTATGGGGCTGCTGAGTGTACATGGCACATGCTGTGAGCAAGGAGACAGGGACAGCATTTTCTTCGTCTGTGTGCCTTGCTAGGATCACCTGTTTGAAATCTGGCAAACACCGCAAATATGGAAAATGTCTTAGAGGCAGAGAATGCATACATGCATAAAATGGTAACTCTGTCCATTAGTGGAAAAGCTAAGAACCTTATCTGCCCATCTCTGCACACACTTCATCTTTGTCTTAATAGATTTCATTTTCGAATGCAAATGCTCTTGGTATAAATGAAAGGGCCTGTTTTATATAGGAGATACCCACTCTAAGAAGAAGGCAAGAATGAGAATAGAGAAATAAATTTAGTATGTATCAGGAATTACTGAAATGATTTTCAATTTAGGGTTAAGGCATATTTCTCCAGCTATTTCAAGTTAGTTATTTTTGATTGCATTTTTCCTTGTGTAATATTCCTAAAAATCCCTATTTTCATATAAAGGACATTTATTTCGATGTTCCCTATGCTAGTATGATATGAACCTTAATATGTATATTTATATATACTAAGCAAAGGCAACCTTCCACAGAAAATCTCTCTCGTATGTTCTACCTGTGGCTTTTTCTCCCCCAACCCACCTTTGGACTTTAAGGACAAAAACAAAATCTCATTCCTTTAACAAAAATCTGTGACACAGGAACTCTAGGGAAATGATACACTTGCAAAGAAGTGAAAAAATAAACAGGGCATGATTCTTTCTTTCTGTCTTAGAATAGGAACAAATGGATTGGCTTCCTAAGGTGAAGAAGTTTCTCTCCCTGCTTCAGTTTTCTCAGACTTCGGGTCTTTCAAGGCTCCCTTTGTTAAGTTACCACAGTGAGGTGGGAAAAGGTTAACCCACTCAGGAGGAGGCATTCCAGGAGGGGACGCTTGCCCGGGCATCCATTTATGATTGATGTCACCATGCTCCTGGCTGTGCATGTGTCCTGGAAATATGATAACACATTGCTTTTTTTTTTTAAAAAAAAGTTCAAGTAAATTCTATTCTCCGTTAAGACTGCTGACAGTTGGAGAATCATAGCAGGGAGGGGCACCACAGAGCGGTAGCAGTGAATGAGGACTTGATTTTGCAAAGACACATTTCCAGGTCTTGCTCAGGGTCCTTTTAGTCAATGGTACCATCCCATGTTTACTTATGTGTCAGTTTACTAAAGACCTTCTGGGAAGCAGATCCGCATTTTAGCTGATGTCTCTCTGGCTTTGACATTGTGGCATGGTCCTGGTTGCAGCATCAGACCGAAGGAATACCTGGTCATTAGTATTTATTATTGGCAAACTTGAAAGTTGAGGCAGGGAGAAAAAAAAAAAAGCCACCTGAAGAGAAATGTTTATTGGGAATCCAATAGGTGAGGACAGCATTTAAAGCTATTTAAAATGAAATTTAAAGCCAGGCAACTAGAGGCATATTCCCCACACAGAAAATATGAAAGGAAAATGATTGGTCGCTGCTATCGCTTTCTTTTACTAGAACAGGTTAGTTGTTTCACAAACGCAACCTAAAAATAAGAAATCGTATCATGTATGAGTGAGAGCAAGATTAGCAACGTAATCAATATAAACAATATTTCCAACTCTATGCAATTTCCTTGGGAACAACCCCAAGTTACTGGGATGCAATTTCAATTGCTTTGATAAATGTGGTTTGCCTTTATCCATAAAGTGCTAAGCTGATCAACTGCTGAGCTATTGCTTAGAGTCCGAAGCAGTGGAGTTATTAACTTTTGCTGCAAAGATGTAGGTAAGACTACCTTAGAGATGTGTGTGTGTGTGTGTGTGTGTGTGTATGCACACATATGCAAGCATATAAAACAAAAGTTTATGCACTTTAAATAATAATGTTTATGGACTTTTTCTAGTGCAGGCAGGTAAATAGCTACACATCGGTGCCCATATTTGTCAATATCTTTCAAGTATCCATTCATGGAACGCTCGGTGATGAAGGACAGAAAGAGCCGCTCTTTGGGTCTGATGTATCTGCAGGCATCAGGGAATGTTCCCCTCAGCGCGGTGCCCTCGTATCGAGGGAAGAAGGCATTCCAAGATGTCATAAATAAATAAATAACATTTGCCGTTGTTTATAAATCAATTAATTTGTAAGTTGAAAGGTCATGCAAAATATTTAGAGCTTTCCGAGGCAGCTCTCAAGCTGCAGCACGGCGGCCCAGAAGCAGCTGTCACGATTGTGCTCCTCTCGGTGCTCAGCTGCGCGTCGCTGGGTATTTTCTGCCGGGAACGGGTGACCGCTTGATTAGCCGCTACTGGGTTTTGTTCAACGGAGAGCTCTGCATGGTTGCATTTTAACACCTTCTCCACTAAGCAGGAGGCCAGCACAGGGTGCTAAATTCCTGTCTGTGGCTGTCTGTGAAATAAATCTGTGTGTTGTGCCGTTCCAAGCTGTCAGCAGTGGTTCGCCCTGATGGGCCCCTGAAAGGAGTTTCCTTTCGGTCTGTGGAGCAGTGAGCAGCCACTAGGGAGCTGTCTTTAGCTCAGATTTCAGAGTTAGTTCATTAGACCAATAACAGCAGACACTCTCTTAAACATATTCACAAAGTTATATTATGAGAAGGGGGAAAAAATGCCACGGCCAGACAATGCTAATATTGGGTTTCCCCTTCCCTTTTGTACCAGCCCAGATAGGAGACAGGAGGACTCCATGACCTCAGGCTCCTTTTCTTTCTGTTCCCCCCGACTTTCCGTTCTGATGTGTGGCCTATCTCCATGACAGGTTTATTTATAAAAGCAAAGTTTCTTCCCTTCCTGGGTAGGCAGTATCTCTCATCCATTTTCTCTGTTCCTTCTTAATAGGAGTTCGAGCCAATGGTATCTGAAGTGGAGGGCGTCCAGTGAAATGATTATTCCATGTCCTGGCTTCTCTCCTTGTTCTTTAAATGCATGTTTTTCTTCTTGGCTTAGGATGTCAGCAGTCTCCTCAGATATTTATGTGAGATTCATGAAATGAAGCCAGTCACTGAATTTCTAACTGGGGTGTTTCCCTGCAAAACAGTTTTTTCTTCTACCCTCTATTTAACTTGTTCAGCTCTTCTGCTTTAAACATTCCAGAACTTCTCTGCCCAGCTGTTATTGGCATGCGATCGCTATAATGTAGTAGATACCACACGGATGCCGTTTGCCAAGAATCTCGGATACTTTTAATTTGCGGGCGGTATTTCTTAGAGAATCGTGGCTGGAAGAAGCAAAATAGAGTCAATACCCAAGTTGCCCACGTTTTGCAGCGTTTGCATTTCAGTAAAGGCTATCTACCTTTTGCATAATTATTCAAAATAATTTTATACATCAAATTCTTTTTGGCTGATGAGTACTAAGCACATGCTTGCTTTCTGATTCTTGCAGTTATTTGTCATTATGATGTGTGATCTGACTTGTGTCTGGTAATGCTAGTTTTACGGTTACACATAGATCTGCTTTAAGAATTCCCTGGTGCTCACTTGTATAGAACATGCTGAATACGTTTATACTTGGCTTTAGCACAAAGGTGATTCTCTTCTTTCTGGGGGAAAAAAAGAGAAAACTCAGGCAAAGTATGTTCAGCCATTGTGAAGTAATTCAAGGAAAAGGAAAGAAAGAGCAAAATAACTTTTTTCCTCTTTTATGACAAACTCAAACACCCACTCCCATGGTGGTTTTTTTTTTTTTTTTTTTTTTTCGCTTTTACTCATGGATAACTTAAAAATGGCTCAACTTGAAATTTTCCATGTGTCCACAAAAGCTCCTGGGACTTCTGAGGATATGTAGGCAGGAAACACTTCAGAATATATAAGCAATCAAAATTTTGTTTTCAGTTTGTGAGCATGCTGTATAAAATATCACAAACTTTTTGGCTTAACGACTTTTCCTACAATTTTACACACACATAGCATGTGTTGTTGTTTTTATTTCTGCTTTACTTTCGTGTTTTTTTTTTTTTTTTTTTGAGAGGTTGATAAATAGGGGTAAGAGTAGTTTGGTTATTCTAGGCATGGACAGTTAACTATGTATTTCTATGCAGAGTAACTTTTTTCCTCTTTTCTGTTTGGTTTCTAAGGAAACAAAGGCCTGGGATATAAAAAGCAAAGATGATAAAACGCTGCTAATTTAATATTGGCAGTAAAATTTCAGGCAAAAGGAAAAAATCAAATGGGAAGCCTTAATTCTTCTAACTGCACTTAGCACTTTGCAATCGAGAATTTTTCCCTATTAATTACAGTGATCTCAGTGAGTACTTTAGTGGTTAACGTAGTAGGTTGATGGGCTGAATACATCTTGGAGTCCTTGGGTTCCAACCACTGTGTGTCTCTGTGGCACCACTACACTAGGCTGACTTTTTGCTCTTAAACAGCCACTTAAACATTTATTTAATGGGCACGGAACATGACCTTACCAGGTCCTTCCCAGCTGAGGCTTCTCACAGTGATCAAGGCAGGACGTGTTTTGCAGTATTATTGGTCAAATGCAGAATAGAATAAATGTGAAGGGAACTGCAGGAAAAGGAGAAAATATGGGAATGCAGACATAATGCATATTATGATTTTTCCATAGACTTCCTGAGGACTAGCCTTGTACTTATAGCCGAGGAGAGGTTGTGTGCTGTAAATACTGCTTGGGAAACATAGACCCATACCCGTGTATCACTGAAGTCCATCTTGTATGCAGTTGGTGAAAACTATTATTGACCTGGAAGATCTCCCAGGCCCTGCTGGTCATGATGATTGCATTGGAACTGGGGACAGAGTCTCCCAAGTGGATTCAAATATTAGCCTCTGTGAACGGCCCAAATGTAGGACATTTAAAACTATTTCACTTGGAAACTATGCAGTGATGTCTTCTTTTTTCCGGGAAAAATGCTGAGATAAAATTATTATTTTTTTTTTTTTAGGGAAACCTGCTATACTTTTCAAGTTATATCAGGCTAGTTTATATCTGTAATTGGGAGCTGCTTTCTCTGTAGTGTGTGTGTGTGTATGTGTGTGTGTGTGTGCACATGTGCAAAAGTTGCAAGTGTACGGGAAAGTGATGGTTCTTTAGGGGTGAAAATCTGTGTCTGATCCGGGAATCCAGGGTGATCCCACTATTGCAGCCTGGCTCCAGCTCTGTGGTTTGAAGGCTTGGCGTGAGCCTAGGAGCTTCATGCAGGGGTGATGAGTGTTATTGTCTTTTAGACTTCTCCATATTCTCAGTGAAACCCTTCCCCAGCAACCTTGACTCGTGCTTTTGTTTTCTAAATGAGACTGTTTTAGTTTCCATCCATTTCTTTATCTAGCTGTTTGTTTGTTTTACATATGGACCCTGGATTAGATGATTAAAAAAAAACTCAAATGAAATAGAGGAGAACAAGCAGTAAATGACAATATTGGCAGGAGAACATGATGAAACAAATTGCATCTCTAGTTTCCCAGTGGGACCCGATACCAAAGTGATTCACGTTTCATGAATGGAGAATGTCAGAGGCCACAGGGGGTGTTCAGGGGCCCCCTCAAGGCTGTGGAGTGAGTCAGTGCCCAAGGCAGGACACACAGCCTGGCGTCCTGTCCACTCACCAAGAGGCCAGGCTCTCTCCCTGTTGATCCAATAATTTAAAACATCAGGGATGGAAATGATCAGATCGCAGAAGAAAACTTCACTGAAGCAACATGGCTCCAAAGAGCCAGGAGAAGCAACAGTTCTCTTTAAGTCATACTTCATCTCTCAGTGAGAATATTTCTTAAGGATTATGTGCATTACCTCCATCAATTCCTTTGCTTCTGTGGCTGTCTAGAAGGGCCTGCTCCTTCAGTAACCGAATAACTTATTTATCCCTTCTGTTGAGGTAGACTATGCTGTCATCTGACAAAAAGGTGAAAATGTAAATATGGTCAGAGGAGTGTTTTTGATAGTAGCTATATTGGATTATTGACCAAAAAGTATGAATCAAGTGGGTCCTGCTGTGTTCAAATTACTCAGTCCCACGGCCTTTAAAGGGAAAAGAAATTGCAGTGGTTCTGAAGAGGAATAACACAGAAGTTAAAATCCTATTTCCAGTCTCTTAAAAAGGAGGGATGGGGACTTGGCCGTGTGCCCTGTCTCACTATAGCCAACATCAGCCTAGCTAGTGGGCTTCTGATTTTTGCTTTGAAAAAATCCCTGCTGGGCACTGGCAAGGAGACAGTGTCATGGAAATGTAATTAATTGGACGACATAGTTTTCTCATCAGGAAGAATATAGAAGGTTGTTTATTTAAATATAGAGTCATAAGGAATAATGCCACAGAAAATTACAACCCTACATCCATGAAGATGTTCATTCCATTGCTTATTATCTAGAATAGCAAAGACCTGAGCAATCTATTTCGTAAGAGAAGAATGACTAAGCAAATGATGGCACAGAGATTTGATGCACTATTGCACAGTCATTGAAAAGAATTATAGAGGTTGTCTAGCAATGTGGAAAAATAAATGTTTGGTGAAAAAATAGAACACATGTTGATCTCTGTTGTAGATACTACTCTGTAAAATGTGCCTACATATGTGCATGCAGGAAGCAGAGAAAATGAAAGAGTCAATGGTGAGGGTGGTGTGATGATGTCCCTGGATCTGTTTGTTACTTTCTGTTTTTATTTTCTATCCCTAATGTAATTATAGGCAGTGTTTCAAAGGAAGATCACCTGGATCAGCTTTCTGAGGACCTGCCTTAGAGTATGTTTTAACTTTTTATTCCCACTCTGCATTTGTCTCTGTCCAAGGATGTTTGGCTCCTTGTGAAAATGGATGTTTGTTCTGCAGAAAGGGCATTTTTTTCTTGCGCTGGGGAGGGAGCAGAGTTCCAATGGAGACATGCTGCATGGAGGCCCTGACCATTTTAAAACCACAAATTAAACTGCGGCTACTTTGGGAAGGATTTGTGCTTTGAAGTCAGTGCTTCAAAGCATGAGTCTTTCTATCATTTTAAAATCTTTTTTTTTTTTTTTTGAGACTTGGTCTTGCTCTGTTGCTCATGCTGGAGTGCAGTGGTGCGATCTTGGCTCACTGCAGCCGCCACCTCCCAGGCTCAAGTGATCTTCCTACCTCAGCCTCCCAAACAGCTGGGACTGCATGCACACACCACCATGCCCAGCTTATTTTTAATTTTTTTTGTAGAGACAGAGTCTCACTATGTTGCCCAGGCTGGTCTTGAACTTCAGGGGGCTCAACCGAGCCTCCTGCCTTAGTTCCCAAAATACCTCTCTCTCTCTCTCTCTATATATATATATATATATAAAATATATATAATATATAATATATTTTATAATATATATTATATTTTATAATATATATTTTATAAATAATATTATATTTTATAATATATAATATATTTTATAATATAATATATATAATATATATTATAATATATATTATATTTTATAAAATATATTTATAATATATAATATATAATTATATATAATATATAATATATATTATATATAATATATAATTATATATAATATATAATATATAATTATATATAATTATATAATTATATAATTATATATATTATATATTATATATAATAAAATGTATATATATCACATATAGATATATTCTATATATATATATCTCCATCTCCCAGCTCTTCTTTTATATCTAACTAACTTCTTAGCAGTGTTCCATAGGTTTTCCCATGACCGGTAGGAAGCACAATAGACAAGAGAAAATTCTGCACTTTAATTTGATTTTTTTGCCATTGTACTTGTGTTTCTGGGCAAGTGGTTCTTCCCTTTGTACCTCAATGATCTTCTTTCTATTTCTTGTCTACCTCAAAAGAAGACTAGCCACTATGCGACTGTTGTATATGGATCCCACTGTTCTAGATAAATGAAGAAATTAAAGATAATTCTGTTCTATTCTTTAGGAATAGACTCTATTTTATGGAATGAGGTGGGGCTCAGTTTGAGCTATGGCACCCATCTCTCAGCCCTGGTTACGAAGTCACCATTTGGAAGTTGAAGGGTTTAGGTGCCTTTTAGTGGACTGTTATTTTTTTTAAATGATATGATTAATTTTGGTCACGGAATTGTTTTTATAGACAGCATTATGAAAGGGACCACTTTGTTTTAAACCTACTTTTTTTTTTTTTTTTTTTTTTTTTTGGAGACAGTCTTGCTATGTCACCCAGGCTGGAGTGCAGTGGGGTGATCTTGGCTCACTGCAACCTCTGCCTCCCTGGTTCCAACAATTCGTGTGCCTCAGCCTCTCAAGAAACTGGGACTACAGGCGTATGCCACCACGCCCAGCTAGTTTTTGTATTTTTAGTAGAGACGGGGTTTCACCATATTGGCCAGGCTGGTCTCGAACTCCTGACCTCATGTAATCCACCTGCCTTGGCCTCCCAAAATGTTGGAATTACAGGTGTGAGCCACTGTGCCAGACTTATTTAGTCCTATCTTAATAGTCAAAGTAAATTACACTTTGAGTACAATTTGGAAGTTGGGCATCAATGTAAATCATGATACATTCTACTCTGCTCATCTTTCTTGCAACTATTTTACCAAAATTTAGCCAGTTTAGAGACAGATCATTCACTGGGCTTGAAATTATGGTCCAAGAAAAGCCATTGTTTAAAAGATTTATAATATTGGAACCAATGGTGACAACAAACTCCACATGTAGATTTTATTTTGAGTAGTTTTAATCCTTTTTTTTTTTCTTTTTTTAACATGTCAGTCTTGTCCTAAGGTCTTTGGACATGGGGAAAATACCAATTCAATAATTAAACGACACCTAGAAGTGAAAGTCCTCCACAGAGTGGAAGGACAACGCCTCTCCTAATGAGACAGAAAACAAAGATGAGAGAGTTCCAGAGACAAAGAGCTTTGCTACAAACTACCCCTGGTCCCCCAGGAGCGCAAACTCTTGCTGGCAGGAGCGAGCACTTTGGTTAATCCCTAATTGTCCTCCTGGTGCTTCGCCAGAGAGGTGATTTTTCAGGAGAAGGATATAATGGTCCGGCTCAGAGGATGTGTGAATTTGGTGGGGTGGGTCAGTAACGATTGCCCCTTCTCAGTTCTCAATAATCCTGGCTGTCACCTCTTCCCCAGGGATCATGGCCAGGGTGGAGGATTGATGGCCCAATGTTCTAAGCATAATGACCTTGCAGCTCCTCAGTCAGTTTACCTGAACACCTTCCAGGTGGAGGTTGCCTCTTAGGGCATCAGATTTCAATCTGAGCTTGTCTCAAGTCAGGGAGAGGAGCCCCCACCCCACCAGTGCTCCCATAGGAACCATGGTACAAGCTCCATTGTCCTGAAGCCGGATCTGATTCCAGAAGTTCCAATACAGGAGACTACTTACCTGCTGCCTTACCTACATAAAAGTCATCGTAAACAACTTTCATCTCCTTCTTTTGGGGAGAGGGTTGGGAGTAACAAGAAAAGTTGAAGCTGTAAGAAACATTTCGAAAACTCTGGCTCACAGAAAATAATCTAGTAGCAATGATGGAATAGGGATGGGGAAGAAGCAGCAGCTCTCAGGGGGCATTCAGCTCCTTTCTAAAAGGGCCTAGAAGTTTTGGGCACTTTTTGCAAGTTTTTCCAGAGGCTCAGTTCCCAATACATAATTAGTTATCCATGGAACCCTCCCAGTCCAATGTTACCCAAAGCTCCCAGAGACTCCCAGAGTGGAAGCGGAGGAGCAACTCTGGATAGCCTCTTGGAGGACAAGTGACCCATTCTGGTTTCCACATGACCAGTCAGGAACTTCCTGTGTTCCTTGGGATCCTTGTCTGCAAAATGAGGCTGAGAACAGGGATGAGACCTTCCCCAGATGAGAGCTGTCTGGGAGCTGTCCAGGGCCACCTGCCTGCCTGCCTGCCTGCCCGCCCGCCTGCCTGCCTGCCTGCCCGCCTGCCCGCCTGCCCGCCTGCCCGCCTGCCTGCCCGCCTGCCCGCCTGCCCGCCTGCCCGCCTGCCCGCCTGCCTGCCTGCCTGCCTGCCTGCCTGTCCCGTTGGCTTTAACATCAAATCTGCAACCACAAGCAGCCACATTCTGACTTTAGAAGAGGCTTCACACCCAGGGGGAGAGACGCAGCCGGGAAGAATCGGGCCATTACTACCCTCATTATTTATTTCTCACCCAGCACTCCAAAGCCTGCAAGGAAAAGAAGTCTAATTCCCTCCGCATTTCCATCCTGCAGTATTTACTCCAAGCCCGAGCCTCTGCCTGTTAATGTTCTCTCTGAGGAACTCTACTTGCTTTGAGGAAGGGCCGTAGGGAGATAGAACACAAAGGGAAAAGGAGGCAGAGAAGTGCTCAGCCCCGGGCCCTTGCCGAAGAACTGGCGCTGTCATAATTTACACACCTTGTCTAATGCACAGCACATGTCTGGGCTACAAAAGGCGTTGGGTAGGCTCGGCGCTGGCTGCCTCGCAGTGAGCCTGCTGGGAATGTGTCAGCAATACTCTTAACGATGACAAAGTAGTTCATCAATAATTTTTTCCCTTACACCCTTATCCAAGAACGGAGCAACAAAATAAAATTCGTCTCCCATCTAGCCCTCCCCTCTGCATGGTCCTCACAGTCATCCCTCACCCCACCAGCAGACTTCATGTTGCCTTAGGCAAGATGACCACAAGCTCAGCCCCAGAAGTGGGATCCTGGCCCTGGGCTGGCACCTTTGATTCCACTTTCAGGCAAGCAAGTGGCCTGGGATCCTTATGTTCCTTTGCCTGAACTCCCGGTTCCCTTTGTCTGTGCTAAAGTCGGGTGATACTGAGGCCTTTCTGGCTATTGTGCCTCAGAAAAGGAAGCTCTCTTAGTTTTCATCACAATCCTAGTGAGTTTAATGCATTTCAGTTCCTTTTTATCTGTCATCCCCATTCTGGAGTTCCTATGTGAGCAGCATCATTAGGATCCAGAGGCTGTGTAGGAGTGGGCATGGGGGAGGAAACTTAGGTAGAGCAGTTCTTTTAAAAATGCAGGGCTGGGTGTGGTGGCTCACACCTGTAATCCTAGCACTTTGGGAGGCCGAGGCGGGCAGATCACTTGAGGTCAGGAGTTCGAGACCAGCCTGGCCAAAATGGTGAAACCCTGTCTCTACTAAAAATACCAAAATTAGCTGGGCATGGTGGCGCGTCCCTGTAATCCCAGCTACTCAGGAGGCTGAGGCAGGAGAATCGCTTGAACTCGGAGGTGGAGGTTGCAGTGAGCCAAGATCGCACAATTGCACTCCAGCCTGGGGACAAGAGCAGAACTCCATCTCAAAAACAAAAAAAAAAGCAAATAAACTTATTTTCCTTTATATGTATGCCATGTTTAATGGAGAGATTATTTAGAATTATAGATACTGTAAGAGAAAAGAAAGCACATCTGCTAAGACTAACTGCAAATAATATTTGGCAAATATGTAGATATCTGTTCAGCTAGATGTTGATAGATGTCTTCATAGATCTCTTCCAAGTATCCATTTAGTTAAATCTCTTTCCATCAACCTCTCTTTCTTCCTCTGTCTCATCCTTCCTCCTTTCTTCACTTTTTCACTTCCTCCTCTCTTAACTTTTTTTTGAAGGCAGGAGCTGGTCTTATAAGACACAGACTGTATGTCCCTTCCCTTCCCCTTCCAGTGCTGGATGAATGTCTTGTCAGAATGGTGCTCTTTGAGGGCCCAGTGAGCCATTGCCAAGCACAGTGCCTGCCACTTAGCATGCACTTGGTGCTCATTGGGTTACATTTTAGCACATCTTTTTAGGTACCCCAAAGACCATAAGATTGCTTCCCATGCTAGGAGTCATTTGCTAAAGACTGCATTGTATCTCAAGCTTATGTTAACATTTATGGCCCCTCGTTGAGGTAGGTTTGATTTTTGCGCCAACCTCCACTCTCTAATTTCAATTCCTTGCTCACTTCCTGCAGCATGACCATTGGCAGTCTATCCATAATACAACGATTTTCCTTTATTTATTGGGTTAGCTCTTCGGCTGGCATTTTTACGGTTATGTTGTGCCTGTTGATTGTTGTTGGCTAAAGAACAAACGCCTGGCTAATGTCCACAGGGAAGAACAATTTGCAAATTTATTTTATCCTTTTGTTGATATTTCAGTTCCAAAGGCTCAAGATTAGTTTGCTTAACTAATGCGTTATCCCTTGATCCCAGGTGTTTCCATATGACAGTGTCATCTGGGCTTGGCTCCCTCGTGTGACATTCAGGACTTGCGAGGATGCACACATCCTTATGAAATACTAACAATTCCATTTATTAGGGGTTACAGAACCAAGATATAGCCAGTTGATTAAAGGAACAAATGAATAGTGAGTTTATTTATGTGTCAACAGGGGCCAGTTATTGAATTTGTCTTATTTTTCTCATACAATATGGCCTCAGTACTGGTGATCATGGTTGCTGCTAGTTTCCAGGCTGTAAGTGCAGAGACAACAGGGACCATGTCTTCTCCATCTTCCCCAAGACTTACCACTGGACCCAAAATATGTTTGAGCTTCATAAAGGCCACTTAGCGATATTGATGATGATGGTGTAGCTAGCATTTGCACTGCTTTGTAATGGAGCAAGCCAAACTGTGGTGCCCAGTGACAAATATATACATCACCCTTTGTACCTGGACAACATAAAGCCAAACAGAAGGCTGGGTCTCTCCCAATTCCCCTGTGTGAGGAGGATTTGGGAGTAAGGACTCAAATGCCAGATTCTCATTCGACTGTAACTTAGGAAGTTCTAGGACTCCAGAAATATCCTGGGACAATAAAATTGTGATGTCTACAATTTTCATGGCCCGCTGTTATGAGTTTCTGGCTGCTCAGGAGTTTTCTGCCAGGGTAGTCAGGTCCCTTGTTTTTGAGTTGCTAGTGCTACTGCCTTGAGTTCTGAGGTCCCATGGACTGGGGCTAGATACATTTCAGAGACTTTTGATGTCTTGGTCCAAGTGGAGATGGGTTTTGAGCCACACGGCTGGTACTAGAGAAATTTAGTGGGAGGCAGGCAGCAAAGAAAACGATGAGGAAATAGAGAACTGCAGAAATGTGATGGTAGAAAGACTAAACAGAGAAGAGCTGAGTGGACAGACTGAACACGACGATAGAAAGAGAAAATGGAAGGGAGGAACTTTCACAGGAGAGGGCGTGTGTGGATATGGGGGACGGTTTGGGAAGATGGGAGGCAAAGACAAAAAAAAAAAAAGAGGAAAGACAAGATCCAGAGTAAAAACATGAAAGAAAGCAGAAGACATGTAGGGAAATGCAGAAGGAAATTAAAAACCCAGATGTAGAGAGACCAAGATTGCGGAGGGAAGAAAAGAAAAGGAATGGAAAATGAGTATAGGAAAAAAAATTGCAAGTTCTCTTTGAGGGAGGTAAACAGGGCATTCGTCAGATGAGAGTTTTCATGAGACATGCTACATTAGCAAATAACTCCAGAAAGAGAGGGCTGGAAAATTCAAATACATCTTCATCTGATGAGTTTTTAAAAATAATATTTATTTATATCTTCATTGGCCCCCAAATCCACAGAATGCGAACCAAATCATCATGAATGTGTGTCTTGAGGAGAAGAAAATAGACAAAAATGATGGTGGCAATAGATTGTTTTTCATTTTCCATTTCAGAGACAATTTAATAACAGTTTGGCTCTGATGGTTTTATTTATTTTGCTTTCTCTTCTCAAGGGCCTATTGGGTACATGTCTGTTTTTCTCTAAGCTTGTTTATAACTAAGAGGGAACCTAATCTTTCACTTCAGTAACATCAACCTGATTTTCTCTAGGATCCTGAGTTTCTCTCTTTCTTCTCCAGCTCTTCTACAAGAAATTGGCCACATGTCAATCTTTTCCTTTTCTTGAAAAGTTTTTTCTTTCCCTATACTAGTTACTCAGTGGCGCTGGCAAGTGGGACCCGAAATTTGTTTATTCAAAGAGAGACGGTGGTGACGAGTGTATTTCCTGTATTGTGAAATCTGAACTCATCTGTGCTCTTGTAACGAGATATCAATCTTTTGTGTAATGCCAGGTAGTGTGCTTAATTGCCCTCTTGTAATGTGTTATCCCTGAGATGATAATTTGAGTTATTTCTTTGTTAACCTTTACACAGCCAATAACAAATTAAACATCATTATCTGAGTTTAAAATAGGCTGTAAATCTCTAAGCCCTGGTAATACTCAGACACTTACAACCAGGGAGTCATAAAATGACATTAAATGACACTCTGAAACACAACCCAGAAAGTACTACAAATAAATGGGAAGAAAGCAGAACGTCACCACTGGAGTTTACATGGAAGGATCCATCTGAATCACCATGTGGAGATTATTCAAATTACAGCAGTTTTGCCCTAACAAAACCACCGAAAATGCACTTGCTTCATCTTTCTTCCTACGGCTGGTGTCCCTTTCAGAGTTGGACATTCCTTCTTCTTCTATGGCTTGAAATAGTGCGAGAAAGATTGAGTTTGCTTCTTTTGTGCCACCAGTTTCTCTCTTCTCCTGACACTGATATCCTTGTCTGTTTCCTTCACACCTATTGCTTGAACCACCCATCTGGTGACTTCTCTTGTTTTCCCTCCCACTGCCTGACATTGTAAGTCATCTCTCCTTCATGACACTGTGAGCTTGCTTGTAGAATTATGTCTTGCCCTTATTTTGTAGAGTAAGTGTGCCACGACCCAGGGATGGTGATGGCAGCTAGGAGGGATGGGGAAGAAGGCCTAAGAAGACCTAAAAAACAATTTCATTAATGTTATTCACATCTTCTCCAACTTTATTTTTTAGTCTATTTTGTTTGCCAAAGAGCAAGAGGGATAAGTTAAAAGTCTCTAGTTATAATTTTTTTTCTGCCAATTTATCCTTGGAATTCTAATACTTTTAAGATGTATATATTTTGATGTATATTTTTATTTATGATTACTGTGTATTATTATTAATGTTAGCTCTTTTTATTATTATAAAATTAGCTTTTTTACCCAGTTTCATGCAGAGGAAACTGCTATTTGAACCAACATTGCTGTTCTTTTTCTCAGATTTGTTTGAAAACTGGTTCTATGGGATTGCCCCATAGTCTAACTGAGCCTTGTATATCCACTAAGGGCCAGAGAGAGAAACTGCCTTCTCAAGATAGCACTGAAACTATAGTTAATGATAGAACAGGTCTAGAACTCTAGCTTCCAGCTCCCAATTTGAATGTTCTTTCTGTTATACTCCATGTCAGATGGAGATGGTTAGAATGGGTCTGTTTGATTACTTTTTTTTTTTTTTTTTGAGATAGGATCTGGTTCTGTTGCCCAGAGCCAGAGTGCAGTGGTACAATCTTGGCTCACTGCAGTCTCAACCTCCTGGGCTCAAGTGATCCTCCCACCTCAGCCTCCTGAATATCTGGGACTACAGGTGCACACCATCATGCTTGGTTAATTTTTGTATTGTTTATAGAGATGGGGTCTCGCTATGTTGCCCAGGCTTGTCTCAAATTCCCGAGCTCAAACCGTCTGCCTGCCTTGGCCTCCCAAAGTGCTAGGATTACAAGTGTGAGCCACAATGCCTGGCCTAATTTTTTCTTTTTCTTAACTATTGCATGAACAATGGTGATAATCTGAGAGAATGTGTCTTTGGGGCTTACCAACCTCAGTGGAATGAAACCATAGCATGAAATAGAGTGGATTTTAGCACAGAGTGGGCGGTAGGGAGTGGGTCACACCACACCACACCACCTGCAAGTTCTGCTCCAGCTGTGCTGTCTCCAGGATTGCATGGTGACCCATCTCCATGACCTCCTGTGCTTTTTGTTTTTTTGCTCATAGGCTGCTTAATAAAACTCTTTTAGTTTTATGAAAATTGTTGCAAGATCTTGAAAAAGTTTTATTCTGAAATTTAGTATTTCCCTAAAAATAGTGGATTTAGTCAACATTTTTATACTTATTAGCACATGATTATACGTAGTATTCTTCACAATTTAAAAAAATCTCCACTTTAACTGTAAATTCTGAATGTTTTTCATTACTAATGAGGTACTTGCCTTTGTGTTCTCTTTTTCTCTCATTCTCTTACCATCTTTCCTCTTATCCTTGGCAGAAGTTTTTCCAGTTTATATTTAAATTATTTAATTTTATTGTCAATTCTGCTTAATTATGGTCTACTTTAATCTTTGTTAATTCCATTATTCTGCTTTCTGTGGGTTTATTTCACTTTTAAGTTTCTTTGATTTAATTCTTAGTTTATTTTTTAGTTTTTCTTTTCTTATTTTTTTAAAACAAAGCACTTTGGGCTATGCATTTTCCTCTGTGTGCAGTTTTGGCCATGATTTTTCATGAGTTTCAGTAATTTTTTTTCTGATAATCATTTTTTGTAAGTACTCAATTTGCAGTTCTGATTTTTAAGTGACTGATTTGTTAATTTGTTAAAATTTAAGAGATTACCTTAAATTATTCAGTTTGGTTAGAAAAAGTGATTTGAACAATTTTTGCCTTTTGGGATGCTGGAAAAAATTTCATTAATGTTTTTCACATCTTCTTCAACCTTCTTCATTTTTTTTTTTTTTTTTGAGACAGGGTCTCACTCTGTTGCCCAGGCTTAGAGTACAGTGGCATGATCTTGGCTCACTGCAACCTTCACCTCCTGGGCTCAAGCCATCCTCCCACTGCAGCCTTCCCAGTAGATGACAGGCGTGGGACCATGCCTGGCCAATTGTTTTACTTTTTGGTAGAGATGGGGTTTTGCCATGTTGCCCAAACTGGTCTCGAACTCCTCAGCTCAAGTGATCTGCCAGTCTCAGGCTTTGGCTTCCCAAAGTGTTGGGATCACAGGCATGATCCATTGTACCTGGCCCTACCTTGTTTATTTTTTAGTCTATTTTATTTGCCAAACAGCAAGGAGGATACGTTAAAATCTCTAGCTATAATTATTTTTCTGCCAATTTTTCTTTGGAATTCTAATACTTTAAAATTTATATATTTTGATGTAATTTATTTATATTTATGATTACTATGTATTATTAATATAAATGTTAGCTCTTTTTATTATTATAAAATTAGCTTTTTTACACAGTTAATGCATTTTTTTACTTTTAACTTTATATCGCCTACTATTAGTTTTGTGACCTCTGCTTAATTTTGGTTTATGTTTTTCTCATAATCCCTTATACATCTTTTTACATATAATTTTTTATTTGGGTGTTTTTTAAAAACAGTTTATTGAGGTGTAGTTTACATACCATAAAATTCATTCATTTTCAGTGTGCACTTCAGTGATTTTTCATAAATTCATGGAGTTATGGAACATCTGAGTGTTCTTTTAAATAGCATACATATTTTCGATCTAACATGAATATTTTATTCAATTCCTTTTTAATGCGAGAGCTTAACTTATTTACGTTTATTATTATAGCAGATATTTTTGCTCATGGATCTGTCTTCCATTTTTTATTGTTTTTATTTCTTTCATCTGTTGTATTTTTGTATAAATATGTTTGCTTTAAATCTTTTAACATATGTTGGAATGTATATATCATTTTTATTTTTATTTCTATTTTTTGAGGCAGAGTTTCACTCTTGTTGCCCAGGCTCAAGTGCTGTGGTGCGATCTCAGCTCACTGCAACCTCCGTCTTCCAAATTCAAGCGATTCTCCTGCCTCAGCCTCCCAAGTAGCTGGGATTACAGGCATGCACCACCACGCCTGGCTAATGTTTGTATTTTTAGTAGAGATGGGGTTTCTCCATGTTGGTCAGGCTGGTCTCGAACTCCTGACCTCACGTGATCTGCCCACCTCAACCTCCCAAAGTGCTGGGATTACAGGTGTGAGCCACCACGCCTACTGTATATATCTTCTTTAAAAAAAATTTTTTTTTCATTACAAGGAATTGAAATTTTATTCCAGGTATTTATTTATTTAATTTTTTTCCTTCTAACTTTTATTTTAAGTTCAGAGGGTGCATGTGCACATTTGTTACATGGGTAAATTGCATATTGCTGGGGTTTGGTGTATAAATTATTCTGTCATCCAGGTAGTGAACATAGCACACATAGGTAGTTTTTTTTGCCTACCCTCCACCCTCAAGTAGTCCCAATGTCTGTTGTTCCCTTATTTGTGTCCATGTGTACTCAGTGTTTAGCTCCCACTTATAAGTGAGAACATGCAGCATTTGGTTTTCTGCTCCTGTGTTAATTCACTTAGAATAATGGCCTCCAGCTGTATCCACATTGTTGCAAAAGACATGATTTTGTTCTTTTTTCATGGCTGCATAGTATTCCATAGTGTATATGTACCACCTTTTCCTTATCCAGTTCACCATTTTGGGGCATCTAAGTTGATCTGATGTCTTTGCTATTGTGAATAGTGTTGCGGTGAACATACATGTCCAAGTGTCTTTACAGTAGAATAGAATGTATATCTTCTTTAATATTACTATTAAATTGTTTTCAAGAAGTTTTTTTAGCCTATATTTCTATTAGTGTCAGTCATAAGTGGAAGTCCTATTTCTGTTTGGCACAATAGTTTTATAAAATTTTGCCTTACATCATTCCTATTCTTTTCTTCTGTTGCCATTTCTTGGTCTTTTTAAATAATAAATTTGGCTACTATATCCAGACTAATATAATTGTATCAAGTTTTCGTGTATCTTCTATTTTGATCATTATTTTTAATATGTAAGTTTTATAGTCATATTTATGTTGATTATTAGGCTTACCTCTATTTTGATTGGTTTTAGTGTTCCTCACTAGTCCCCTTCATATTATGATATCTGCATTTTAAGCTTTTAATTTTTCTTTATTTTTCTAATGTTGGATTGCATCTTTAATAATCTTGTCAAGCAGGGTATATAGGTCCTATGTTTTCTGACACTTTGAATACCTTAGAGTCTTTCTCTGAGGTCTTCCTTTTCAAAATAGTGGCTGTAAAACTCTTAGGCCATATCCTTTTCTAACTATTTAGACATTGCCCAGTATATTCTAGCATTTAATGTTGAGATAGGAAAGTTTGGGTACACCTAGATTTTCATCGATTATTCCTGGAACATAATAAGCTTCCCCCACCCCCCCAAAAGACATAATGGACATTTAAAATTTGCATACATTTCTTCAGCTCAGAAAAATATTACTGTATTACATTTTTTAATGCTTCTTCTATTACATTCCTTTGTCTCACCCCTCTGTGTTCTAGGGAGCATCTCAAGCTTGCATTCCACACAGTGGTTGCAGTTTCCCCCGGTTGCTGCGTGAAGAATGAACTGGAAAGTAGCTTGAGACAGAGTGTAGCAGAAATGCAACTGGGAGAGCAGTCAAGGTGGCTCTTACAAAGACATAAAAAGGAAATGGGCATGGCTCAGACCAGGAGGGTGGCAGTATAGATGGAAAGCAGTGAATGAAATTGAGATGCATTTCAGAAGTAATTTTCAGTGTTGCTATGAACATCTTTCCTTTATGTTGCCTCTCTAGGTCTTGTAGTAAGAGGCAGGGGAAACTGCATAGGGGCTGTTAGCAGAAGGTCATTTTGAACTGGAAGTCTGCTAACAGATGTGGCCAATTTATAGGGAAGAGGAGTCCTAATAGCTGGGCATTTGCAAAGTGCTTAAAAATTTATTCAGTGATGTCTCATTTGCACCTCTTATCCAAAGGTGGTTGACAGTGCAGACAGAGCTAAGAAAACTAAGGTTCTGGGCACTTCATTGACTTGCTTGAGGCCACCACTTAGTGGAAGAATAATGACCTCATCTTCTGTTTTTCAGGGGAGTGGATTTTCCACTTTCCCAGTGTATTGAGAGCCTTTGGTGTCCGTAGGGACTTTGGAATTATTATGTCACTGAAGGAGGTGGGGGCAGGGAAAGGTGGTGGATCAACTCAGCACACAAAGCTGGGTCCCTTTCCACACATTGACCAGCACAGCTCCCCTTTTGCCTGTGATATTCTTTTAATTTCCAAATATGATTTTTTTTTTTTTTGAGACAAGGCCTCATTCTTGTCGCCTAGGCTGGAGTGCAGTGGGGTGATAGCTCACTGCAACCTCTGCTCCGTGGGCTCAAGCTATCCTCCCACCTCAGCCTCCTAAGTAGCTGGGACCACAGGCATGTGCCACCAAGCCCTGCTAATTTTTGTATTTTTTTGTAGCGATGAAGTCTCACCATGTTGCCCAGGCTGGTCTCGAACTCCTGAGCTCAAGCAATTTGCCTGCCTTGGCCTCCGAAAGTGCTGGGATTACAGGAGTGAGCCACCCACCATGCCTGGCCTTAAATATGAAATTTTTGATTTAAAGAAGTTCTGTTGCCTTTGGGCCTGATGGGTCTGTGGCTTTAATACAAACGACACTTGAATCCTCTCCACTCTCTTAATCTAGGTTCTGACCAAGCGCACCACCAAATGGAGGTGGCATGACAACCATGAGACACGTTGTGCAGTTCCTAGTTCAGCTCCACTGAGCTGGTGTTTGGAAAAGACTTTCTCCACTCCTGGCTTGCATCTGGTCTTGGCCTATACACTGCCTTTTGCTTTTTTTTTTTTTTTTTTTTTTTTGAGACAGAGTCTCACGCTGTTGCCCAGGCTGGAGTGCAATGGCGCGATCGTGGCTCATTGTAACCTCTGCCTCCCAGATTCAAGCAATTCTTCTGCCTCAGCTTCAGCTGGCATTACAGGCGCCTGCCACCATGCCCAGCTAATTTTCTGTATTTTTAGCAGAGACAGGGTTTCACCTGTCAGGCCAAGGTAGGAGAATCACTTGAACTCGGGAGGTGGAGGTTGCAGTGAGCCTAAATTGCACCACTGCACTCTAGCCTGAGTGACAGAGTGAGACTCTGTCTAAAAACAAAAAACAAACAAAAAAAGATTCATCATATTGATACCTGTATCCACAGTTGTTCCTTTTTCATTGCCAAGTGGTATTCTGTTGAATGACTCTGCCACAATTTGCTTAGCTAGTCTATTGCTGCTCAGTGTTTGTCATCATGAATGAAGTGGTTGTGAACTCTCCCTTTTGTTTTTGCTGTCCCTTACTTATTTTTTTGAGACAGAGTCTCACTCTTGTTGCTCAGGCTGGAGTGCAGTTGTGCGATCTCGGCTCACTACAACCTCTGCCTCCTGGGTACAAGCGATTCTCCTTCCTCAGCCTCCCAAGTAGCTGAGATTACAGGTGCCCGCCACCATGCGTGGCTAATTTTTCTATTTTTAGTAGAGATGGAGTTTCACCATGTTGGCCAGGCTGGTCTCAAACTCCTGACCTCAAGTGATCTGCCCGCCTCGACCTCCCAAAGTGCTGAGGTTACAGGCATGAGCCACTGCACCCGGCAGTCCTCTATTTTCTGCCCCCATTTCCAGACCCCTCCAGTCTTTGTTCCCAGAACACCTTCAGAATGCATGAGTAAAATGGAGGTGATAATTTCCAACTCACAGGATTGTGGTGGGAAGAAAGTGAGACCATCTATAAAAGTCTTCCAGTTCAGTTCCTGGCATACAATGGGCCTCAATAGGTGGTGGTTCTGATTAGACAGAATAGGCACAAAGGCTTCTCTCTGTGAGGCTTATTGTGATTGGATTTCTGTGATATATTCTTGCTCCTTGGCTTTTGCCAAATGAACCCCCACCTACGTGCCTTCATTTATTCCCCTAAAATCTCTCCCTCTCCCCATGAATTAAATAAGGATAAAAATACAAACTTTCCCAGTATTATTGGAAGAGAATGCTGAGGAAAAATGATGGCAGAAGAGTTTGCAAAAGAAACAGCATCTCCTTTTTTTTTATTTTTTTCACACTACTCGAGTTTTGCAAGAAATTGCTTCGAGATCCTTGGATGAGAAAACTGTATTCAAAAGCCAAGAGCTACAGTTTGAGGGATATCCTTTTCCCAGACCCATTAGCTGCCATTCAGCTAGGACTTAGCAGTTTCCACTGGAGCATAAAGAAGTTTATTTTACCATTTTAATTTGGTGCTGCTTTATTTACCCTGTTTGTGCTAACCCAAATTTGGCATCCACTCTGTACTCCAAGTGCTAATTTAAGTGACATATTTCCGTTCTGCCTGGGAAGAATACACAGAAGAGCTGAAAGACGTGTGTTTATAATTATAAGGTACTGAGTTGGCTCAAACAACATCGCGTAGCATATGGGAACTATGTGGGCTAGTTAGCAAAAGTTTATGCTGAAGCCTGATGCCATTTGGCTGAGTTTTGTAAACTCAGAGTTGTTAAGTTGTATCTAAGAAGACATGGGCTGAGTCAATTTAATATTTCCAGGCTGGTCCATTGTGGTGGTAAGGACTGCCCCTTTTCTTGGCTTGAAAGGACAGAGGACTTGGATTCTGTGCTGGAGCTAGTAGATTTTGTTGGGATAAGAGAGACAGGCTGTTTTCTTACAGCACAGTTGTAGAATCTGAACATGAGTGCTTGGCCCCAAGCTGGCTAAATCTGGCTTTTAATTTTTCATCCCAGATTGACATTGAGGAGGGTTCTTGGATTATACTGAACATTGCTCATTTTAAGCTTTCTGTTTAAAACAACGTTACATATGATCTTGTAAAGTTTTGACTTAACAGACCTTTCTTATTATTATGTAATATAACAATCCACATATAAATAGGGTATTTTAAACTCAGAGGAAGGATGTGCTGGTGTAGAAATGTGTCTATTGATTTTATGTGTGTGTGTGTGTGTGTGTGTGTGTGTGTGTATAACCCATAGCTCTGTATTATATACATGCAGATGTATAAGGACATTTTTTTATGTAACATGACTGGCTGTGTAAAACTGGAGTTTCAGTAAGATGTCTTTGTATACCTACTGCGTGCAGGCAAATTAGATCTTGCTTCCTGATCTCAGGTTTCCTTTTCTACTGCAACCTTCAAGGCTGGGAAGAGGAGATGACAGGAGAGAGCCACTAGGGACTGAATCCCCAAGCCAATCCTAATGCAGCTTTAGGCTCTAGAAGTTGACCCCTAGGCCAAGTGAACTGGTAGAGAGGAAAGCCATTAGCTCTCAGTGTAAGGCTTCCTGGTGAGGCTGCCTTGCTGCTGCTGTTGCTTCTGATGTTTACTCACTGGTGAGTATAGGAGCAAGGCCACCCATGGCTCTCTTATCCAGAAAGCCAAATCCACTTAGCTTACGGAACGGGAGACTCATGTGCCCATCTTCCTGTTATTTACATGGAATACACAATGTCTTTCAATTGCAGGCATACTGGAAAGAGACAGGGTCAGAAATTTAAACTACTTGTAAATGTGGGAGAGTTGTCTGCAAGCCATTTGCGTTGTCATGTATCTGAATCATGTTGATTCCCAAGCGCCTCCGGCATATGAGGACAAATGTAAAATGTCTATAGTCTCTGAAACCCCTTGTTTACATGGATATTTATTTAAAGAATCAGAGCTTCCTATGCCAAATAACATACTTTATAAATCATGTCTTTTTTCATCTTTAGAGGGGATTAGATGAGGTCTTGCCCTTTTACAAGTTTACTACGACACAGATCTTTATAATCCAGATTTGAATGTATTGCAAGCCAAAACCTTGCCTTAATGTCACATGGGAGATGGTGAAAGCTGCTGTGATGTGGCATTGGCCCATCCTATGAGTTTGTTATCTGTCAACACCCAGCAGAGAAGGGCCTCTTCCTACTATTTCACCACTCATTCCTGAAGAGTCACATTTAATTCATCCTTTTCTGTTTCTAAAGCATTCTCACATGCATTTATGCCTGTAATAACCTTCTAGGGAAGCTATCAGACTCATTTTATGGAACACTGAGGCCCAAAGAGGCTAAGGCATTTGTGCAAAGCCAAATATTTTGTCAGTAAGTGACAGAGCCTAGGTTGCCTGACTCTAAGACCAGTGTTCTTTCCTCTACACCGCAACTGTCCCTTGTGTTTGGATATCACATAATTAATTAAATATGATAGGATGATACAATGTTGCTAGTTTAGTTTTTGTGTATTAGTCTTGTTTTGCAGAACGAACATAGTTTTTTGGAAAGAGCTGTGGATTTGGAGTCTAAAGAACTGAGTAGAAGTTCTTGCTTTTCCACTATTTAGTTATGCGACTTGGGGCAAATCAATTCTGAGCCTTGGTTTTCCTTATCTGCAAAATGGTCCTAGTAGCAAATGTCTTGTGAATGCTGGAGGATGGTATCTGATAAAGCATTTCGTAAAATAGAAAATATTATGCAAAATGTAAAATGTTACCCTTATAATTCTCTCTTCAACTAGATTGTAGATTCCTGGCTGGATTAGATCACATTACTTTTCTATTTCTATAACTTAGCATAATGCCAGCTACATGGAAGTTATTCAATAAATATGAGCAGATGATTTATTCATTGACTGAAGCTGAGATCATATGAGCCTCCTAGTTCCCTTGTTTCTCATCCCCAGTGCATAATGTGGTAACACCCCAGAGATAAGTTTTGGCAGATTAAAATATGCTCCTTAATGCATGTATCAACATTCATATTTGCGTATATGGACTTATAAAACTCATTTAAATGTGTGCATGTGTGATCACCTAGAATATTTCTGCATGTGCATGGGGAATTCTCCATTAGTAGGGGCTCACTAATGGCTGGGACATAGGGACTAATGGAGCCTTGGGAAGATCAAAGCTTGTCTGCTTGTCTCTGGCTCAGTGTGGCTCTGTGGGCAGCTCTTTGATGAGCCCAGGGCTCTCAGAACTGTGTGAAGAGCCCCAGGGTGGGAGTATGTGCTCTACCCTCTTTATTTCTCTTCTATCTACACTCCCCAACCTGCTATCCAGTGAGTGGCCAAATGGATCCATGGACAAGAAGTGCTAGGCTGGGAGGAACCAGCAATCCTGAGGAATTAGGTCTTTTGAAAAACCCCTGGACACCACTAAGCTGTCCTTGGAATGCACCTATGTTATGAAAAAATTCAGTGAATTATGAGAGTCTCTATAAAAAACCTAGCAAATTGGTAGATCTCCTCAAGACATGACAATGAAGATGATTATGAGTTTTGTATATTACTGTAGTATATACCTGTGTGGTTGTGTGTCTGCAGACACACAGCTACTACCTGGAGCCCACATGAATGCTTGAAGCCCCTGAGGGCAGGGGCTTCTAGGGAGCACAATGAACACCTTTTGGAGGGCATTGGAATGGGGGTGGGTTCTTATGCAGTTTGTGTTCAAGAAGAGTAGCACGATACAGAAGCATTCAACCTGGAAGTTAGGAGACCTGGGTTCTGGTTTGATTGTATTATTCTTGATAAAACTTAATCTTTGTGTGCTTCAGTTTCCTCAGCTGAAAAGCCAAGGCAGTAATCCTCACTCATGATTGTTGAAGGGCATGGATATGATGCCACTCATAGAAGTTCTTAGAAATCTGTAAAGTGTCGAGCACATAAAAGGTGATACGATGGTTGTGTTTTGAAGGTGTAAATGACTTGGAGAGCCAGCCATAGAGTGATGAAGAGAAGGACTCTGGAGACTGCCTGGGGTCAGCTCCCATACTGCTTACCAACTGTGTGAACTTGAGCAAGCTACTGAGCCTCTCTGTGCCTCAGTTTCCTTATCTGCAAAATGGCGGGAAATAATAGTACCAACCAGTGTTTGAGCACACAGTTAAGGTCTCAATACATGTTTTATTTTATTTAATATAAAAACATTCCTATATCTGTGATGTTCATATATGTATCATATTATCCAAGTCATATAAAACTAATATCCAATAAATATGACTCTTTGCTAAGTCAGATTCCAATATTCTTGCTCTTTCTGTCCTTACCCTCACCTCTGCTTCTTTAGCCTTATCTTCCTCTTCTGCTTTTATGAGAAAGATGCAAATTATCAGTTTTTTTTTTTAATTCCAGGGTAAAATCTAGACCAGTGGCTTTGGGGTTGTGCTCAGCAGAGCCTCATGGGTTACAGAAAAGTGTCACAGAGCTGATGGGGGTGAGGGTGTCATGGCCAGGTGGAGGCCTGGGCTCCCCATGTTGCCTTTGGCAGAGCCTTTGTCCACACTGGGCTTCTTTATATGATTTTATTTAACAAGAGAGTTCAGTTGCTTACAAATCTTGGAACATGCTGGCTTACAATCAACTCTATTCTTATCCATTCAGCTTTTATCTTAGGAACCGTCTCCACCTATGTCTGTTACAACTGACAGAGTATTGTTAGTGACATTGATGAATCACAGAGTATTGTGCCATCCCCCTAAAAAGTCAGTTTTTTTTTAAAGTTGTTGTTATTGGTGTATCATATGAGGAAAGTAGAATAATCCAATTGAAAAAGATTTACAAAATAAAGGTTGACATAAAAATGAACTCTCAAATGACCAGTAAACAAGCCCACTGAGTTTAACCAAGATTTTCACACAGTCAAGCATCGAACAAGGTGTATATATTGAGAAACTGGTGAGTTTGGTGCCGTGGTGGACATGACAGAACTGCCCCTGTCTTTGGGAGTTTATAATCTAGGGAGGGTGACAGTTTGGGGGCACTTAACAGCAATTCGAAAGTCATGTGATTCCACATTCAACAATGCTTCTGTAAATACTACAGCCCAGTGAGAGAGAAGTTAGAGTAGACTGCATTAATAGTACAGGAAAGCTTCATGAAGGAGCTGGGAGTTGAATATGGTAGAATTTAAGCAGGTGGAGGGCATTCTAGGTGGGGGCTATTGCGTGAACAAAGGCAAGGAAAGTGGACCCAGCAGTCAGAGACAACTGTTATCTGAACCATAAGCTTCAAGAAGGCAAGAACCATGGTGTATACCCAGCATATAATAGTTGCTCAACAAATATGTGTTGTACAAATAAATGCATATCTTAAGTCTATGTCACATGTAATCATTAAGCTCATGAAACCTTCCCAACCCCTCATGTACTTTTTTTTTTTTTTTTTTTTTTTTGAGACAGAGTTTCACTCTGTCACCCGGGCTGGTGTGCAGTGGTGTGATCACAACTTACTGCGGCCTCAACTTTCTAGGATCAGGTGATCCTCCCACATCAGCCTCCCCAGTAGCTGGGACTACAGACGCATGCTACCATGCCCAGCTAATTTTTGTATTTTTTGTAGAGATGGGGGGTCTCTCTGTGTTGTCAAGGCTGGTCTTAAACTCCTGGGCTCAAGCGGTCGGCCTGCCTCAGCCTCCCAAAGTGTTGGGATTACAGGCATAAGCGACCGTGTCTGGCCTCACTTCCTTGCTTAAATAGCAAGATTCCCGTAATTCCTGTCCACCTCAATTTCTCCTCTCCTGGCTGGACCATGAATAATCTTTCAGTGAATGTCAGGGATTTGAGAATGACCTTTGTTATATATCTGGTCCAACACTTTGTTTTACAGAGGAGGAAACTGAAACCCAGAGAGGTTAAGTGACTTACCGAAGGCCACACAGCCATTTAGTGGCAGCACTATAGGGTTTTTTTCTGTTCAGAAAGTATGTTCTCAAGTATGTGCCTGGCATCGTCATTAGAGCGAGGCTGACTCTGGAAACCTCTCTACTTCCCCAGACCGTTGGTTCTGCCTTGCTGTCTGGAGGCCTCCCACCTGGGTTTACTGATGGGGAAATTTTATGTGGATATCATGTACAAGGAAATCTGCTGTGGCACTGTATATTTTATATGTAGCCACTGGGTATTTCAGAGAAGGCAGCAGCTAAATTCCCAGCCAATTCTAAAGGGCACTCTTACACTTGGTGTTGGCAGAGAAGTGAGGGGAGGTCTAGCTGCATGGAGCCCTGGAGGGCTTTGAGACGTTGGAGGCTTGAGTTATCCTGGTTAATTTCCAGTTTGGTAGGGTTCTTCCTGGTTGCAGCCCATGCCTTGCTCAGTTCTGTTTTATCACTTTTCAAATATAAAACAATCCCCCTGTCTCCCTTAAGAGCAGAGTTTACGGTCCCTAAGATCTTCTGGAGACAGAAGAAAGATACCTTTTCCTTTGCTTATTGTAGAGCCATAATTTTTTTTTTTTTTTTCAGAAGCTGAGTTTTTAAAGAAGTTTCTCAGTTTCAGGAGGTGGGTGGATAAAAATCTTTGAGAACACCCAGGAAGGGTGGCTGTGGATCTGAGCTGTGCAGATCTCACTCTGTAAAAATCTCAAGGCCTCCACTGGAAGCAAAAACCTTGGGCTGTTCCCAAAATGTAGATATCAAAGAATACTGGGCAAATTTCATTACCTAGAAGCAGGGGTTTCTGAGGTGCAATCAGGCAAATGGGTCTTTTTTTTTTTTGAGATGGAGTCTTGCTCTGTCGCCCAGGCTGGAGTGCAGTGGCACCCTGTCGGCTCATTGCAACCTCCGCCTCCCGGTTTCAAGCAATTCTCCTGTCTCAGCCTCCCGAGTCGCTGGAACTGCAGGCGTGCGCCACCAGGCCTGGCTAATTTTTAAATTTTTGGTAGAGACGGGGTTTCTCCACATTGACCAGCTGTTCTCGAACTCCTGACCTCAGGTCATCCACCCACCTCGGCTTCCCAAAGTGCTGGGGATTACAGGCGTGAGCCACCGCGCCCAGCCGCGAATGGGTCTTATGGATTTTTTTTCAGGCTCTGTGCCTTGTAAATGTTGGAAAACCTGGGTTTTGGGGGTATATTTACATATGCTCTTAATTATATAGTTGATGCAACTGTGTGCTAATCTGACACTCACATTAAGTCAGCCAATATTGTTTCAGTAAAACAGTGGTTCACAGTGCTCTGTGAAATGCCTGAGTTGTTACAATCTTCCCAAATTTGGGAGACCCAGCTCCTTCTCGGTTTCGCATTCCGGAAATAATTTATTTGGATTCTAGTTTACACACAAGTACACATGGAATCACACAAAGGTACACACCTTTTGGTTTACTCTTTCCTGTCTTTGACGTTGGTACCCGCAGCTATGTGCTGTTAAAGGAGAAAGCCCCGCACATGGCAGGGTGGCCAATGTTGAGGGAATGCTGCTATCCACTGCTAAAGAAATGCTTAGTTGTAATTTTTTGGGAAGCAGTCATTGAACAGTTATTTTGGGGTATCTTTTAAATAGCGCCCCACTGACGTGGAAGGATAAAGTTCGCAAAGCAAAGCTTTTGATTTTTAAATCGACATTGATACCAAGCGGTGAAGTCCTTTGTTATGTCTTCAGCACTCGGGTGTCAGCTGATCCATATGCACCGGTGGGCACACCCAGCGAGTTTTCATAATTCATAAGCAGCGAGGCCCCTGATGAGCAGAGGCTATACACAGCTAGAGCCCGGGGTTGTGCTGAGGAAGCTGGGGCCGGCTGGGGTGAATGCTGGGGATTGGAACTAGGGAGTCCTGGCTTTTCCTGTCATTCCAGCTTCCTGGGTAGTGTTAGGAACCCACAACCCAGTCCCAAATTAGTTCCCAGTAGACAGCTGGGGATGAGGGCAGGAGAGTGAATGACACTTTCTCATTGGAGGCAGCGCTGAGCCTGGAGTCAGAGAACTTCTGTTTAAGGTTTTCTTTTAAATTATAAAACGAAATAACAAAACAAAAAAGTCTGGAACATAGAAGAAGAAAAAAGTCGCTGTAACTTTCAGCCCTTTTGCATCATTACTTTCGCTTTTGTGTGTCCCCTTCCGTCTTTTTCACAGGCGCATTTTTACACGTTTGAGTCCACATGATTTTGTGGTGTTATTTTAACTTTCACACTCAATGATGCACATTTTCCATGCTTTCATAGATTCTTCATCTTTCTTAAATGGGAAATACTATTCCATTGGGTGGGTAGATATGACATAATGTATGCGACCATTTCTACACTATTTTTGATATATGGGAGTTCCGTCTTTAACTTGTAAAAATGCTGTGATTTGAACGTGCTCGTGCATGCGGAGGGGATGCGTTTGTGATTCCTGGTTCCACTGGAGGTTAGCTAAGTGATTTGTAGAAAGTCATTGGACCGCTTTGAATCTTATTTTTTACCAGAGAATTGAGATTATTGTACCTATTTTACTGACAAATATAAGCCTTATACATAGAAATTTATAAATTTAACATAATATATAAAGATATATTGATATGTAATTACACATTTGTATATACTATGTTTACATATGTTACAAAATAATAGAGCACAGATTTTTGCATAGGTCACTCTTTTGTGTTTCTGTTTAATTACATGGTGGGTTCTATAGTGTGAAAACCAAAATAATTTAAATCACCCTGAACTTTCCCCCAGCACCTCTCAGAGGTGGAGGGGAGACAAGGTGCTGGGAAAATCAGGCAGCACTGGTGTGTTACTATTCTTAAAAGGTTAGGGGCCACAGAGTAGCTTCAATGGCCTTGGAAGGTGGTATAAATGCAGATCAATGAAATCTGCATACAGTTCTCCAACCTCCTTTTAGATAGAAGTTTCTTTCAGTGTCCTGCCCATGGAGTCTTACATTAAAACTCTTCCCCTGGGAATGATCTGAGTTTCACCTTTCACTCCCCATGACCACTTACTTTTTGGTGGAGGTTCAAGGGGCAAGGAGTGAGGAGGAGGGTGAAGGGATGAGGGAGCGGGGCCACAGCTCCCTGGCTGGGGCCTGTGCTGTGGACTCCAGCTGACATAGTGTTCAGGCTCAGTCCCACCCAGCCAGCATTCTGGGAACTGGGAGAATCAGCAGTTCAGTGTGGGTGTTCTAGGCAGTTTTCTCACCACTTCCCATTTAGCAAATGTCTGAAGGAATAGCTCACAGAATTGGCAGTGGAGTTCAGAACATTGGTGTATGGGAAAAGAAGAACTTCAACTGTTTTTGAAGCATAAATGGGAACTGAAGCCCAGGTGTCTGAGAGCAGAGAACTAAAAATGCCCATCCCAATCCAAACTCTAATTGGGTCAACTTTATATATAATACGAGGGGCTGAAATCACAGGAAACCTCCCTCCGTGACAAATGCAGCTAGGTACCTTTTGTAAAACTTAGTCCACGAGCTATGTTAGACTCTACCAGATAGCCTTTGGTTTGCAAAAAATTTTATTCTATTATCCAATTGTGAAACCCTTAATTTGCATTTAACTGTCAGATTATTTTGAAAATTTACATCTAGATCTTTCCATTTAAGGAAAGGAGAACTGGGCATCTATTCCATATACTGTTTTGCTGGATGAATAACTACACAGATTTTTTTTTTTTTTTTTAAGATGGAGTCTCAATCTCACCCAGGCTGGAGTGCAGTGGTGCCATCTTAGCTCACTGCAACCTCTGCCTCCCAGGTTCAAGTGATTCTCCTGCCTCAGCCTCCCTAGTAGCTGGGATTACAGGTGCCTGCTACCACTCCTGGCTAATTTTTGAATTTTTAGTAGAGACGGGATTTTGCCACGTTGGCCAGGCTGGTCTCAAACTCCTGACCTCAGGTGATCCACCTCGGTTTCCCAAAGTACTGATAGGCGTGAGCCACCACATCGGGCCTTCCACAGGTTTTTACACTGGGAAATGCAGGTGCATGTTGTCTGACTGCATTGGTTCATGCTTTTCCTTCCCACTTCCATTGCCCTATCCATTTCATTTTGGAACCCAGATACTCCAGTTCCAAAATGAAATGGATAGGGCAATGGAAGTTTGCCTTGCAACAATTGACAGGAATCACAGAGCATCGACTTCGTACTCTTGATACAGTGCTAGGTGAGGGAAGATGGGATGGGGGCAGGAATCTGGCCAAGGTCTAGGCCACTCCTGTTGCTTAGAAGTTAGAAGCAAGGAGATGAAAAAAATGCATGTGTAAAGGGAGTGATGCAAGGCAGCAGAGCATTGAGACCTCACTGCGTGGTTGGCACAGGTGGTGGCAGCCAAATCAGGGGTCATCAGGGAGGGTGAAGAAGGAGGCTTCGGGGGCAGAGCAGGGAGGAGCAAGGCTTAGAGAGGAACAAACGAGATGTTCTTCAAGTTTCAGGCAGAAGCAAAGCCATTCCTGGAGCTGGGAACCAAAACTGTGTGGTAGTTGAAGTTCTCTGTTCATGGACTTTCTACCACTGAGCTGGTTACACCTTCCCCAGGACAGGTCACAGTTACTCCAGGGGTGAAGGGGGTCACCCCCCACCACAGTGCTGGGGTTGCAGTTTTCTCATGGGTTCCCAATGACACCCCTCCCCCACTGCTTTCCTCCAAGGCATTTGGCATCTTTTTTTTTTTTTTTTTTTTTTTTTTGTGGTGGCCTCCCAGTGTCATTAGGCAAGTCAAAGGTCATCGGTCTAGAAATTGACACACTTGACCCATTTCCTTTCTGCACTGGACCTGGAGTCTGGAGCAGCTCCCCCTGGGACCATGTGAAGGGCTTGAAGCTGAGTCTTCAGTGCTTTCTTCCCATGAGGTGTATAATTCGATATTTATTGCCTCTCTCCCCAGCAAGGTCTATGGTGCCACTGGGATCCATTCGGTAAAGAATGCTGATCCCCCTTATGAATTTTTGATGGTGGAGGAGGAGCATTGGAGGCCACTGGGGGACCTTGTGAAATGGAAATGTTTTTTCTTTTTGATCTTTCTTTTTTCTTTTCTTTCCTTCCTTCCTTTACAGCACGCTTACCATTGTTGCAATGTCTGGACTTCTCTGAATGTCAGTGTGTACTCTCTTTAAAAGAAGGAAGAATCATAGTTCTTTAAAGCAGCAGCCTCAACAGCTCCTTACACGTTTAACTGTGTTTACAACAGTGGAAACGTGTTGTATCTCTTCAGGAAGAGAGATATTCAGGTCAAGAAACAAAAATTCAAAATAAAACAGAGCAACAAATAAGGTTCACTCTGGAATGGGAGAGGGTAAAGGATGCCCCTCCCACCCCCGCTTTTCCGTTTTTTGGTGGTCTGAGGGGGTAGCACCCAAGGGAATGAGAGAGTCAGGATCTGTATTTCATTGCTGAGAATTTGACAGCTACAGTGCAAAGCAATACAGTCCTGCTTTTTATTAGCCTGTGTGAGTCCAGCACAGAATGAAGCTTTTTTTTTCCTTTTCATTTTTCAGAGGTAGAAGTTTTTGCCAAACTATGAGATGATTTAACCACAATTTCCTTCCTGAATTTTTTTTGCTAAAAGGGGGAGGGGATGGTTGGGTGGGTGTTATTGTTTAATAAGATTTAAACAGGGTCTCTATTTTGTGGCCGGAACAGCCTTTCATGCCCTTTATCTGTACTGGGATTTCAGCTGGGTTTTTATTTTGGTGACATATGGCCCATCGTATAATAAAAAGAGACGAACCATTCAGATTTAATTTGAGTGGCTAAGGACGTCAGAAGGGCTGCAAGGGGAGGCTGTACCTGAGCTTTCATTTGTTTAAAAAAAAAATTGTACAGAGAAGTTGAGAAGGTGACTTTTGGAATTAGTTTGGTTTGGAGGCATTAAGTCCCAGATCAAGAGAGAAGGTCAATTTGTAAGTTTGGGAGATATGCCAGCCCTGCTCTCTCTTTTATTGGAGAATTGCCTGTGGGGCCTTTCAGAGTATCTGCCCTTCAGGGGTCCTGTGTTCCACCTGCTTCCCCCTTAAACAGGGAAATGGGCTTTTAAAAATATTACGCAGCACGCCACAGCCATCTCCTGATCCGAATGCCGTGTGGCATGACACAATGTGACTCGAGGGCCGGGGGCAGGGCGAGGGTTTGCAGCTGCCACATGGTGCTCGTCCCGTGCAGGGACCGTTTCTTAGCCCAGCGTGCAGTTCCCTTGGAGGACACGGCCCACCTGGCCTCCACATACCCCTGGCAGCCTGCCCAAATCATTTTCTCTCCTTTCACCCTCAAACACTGTCGTGGAAGAAATGCTTTTTGCATCTGCGGGACACACAGCAACTTGGGATGGTTTTGTGGGCTTTGGGTGTGACAGTGACAGAGCCAGCAGAGAGATTCGTGCAGCCACACAGGAATCTCACCATCATTTTCTATGTGGATCCTTCACAAGGGTGTGTGTTCAGATGAGCTACGGTATTCGGAGAACCCTCCGTGTCACAAGATTAAGGGTGCTGCGTGGTTTGAGCAGCCCGTTTTCCAGCCTGAAGCCACTGCAAGCTGCAGAGTGAACCAACCCGCACCACTCCGCCCCCCGCCCAGCGTCAGACCCTTTATTTACCTTCCATGTCATAATGCACGTCTTTGGCATCGTCTTTTACAAGCTTTCATTACCGCATGGATTGTGTCCACTGTGCACCGAAGGGCCCCTTTGTGTTGCTTCTGATTAACTGCAATGACAGCATTTGATACTACTCCATGTGCCGGAGGAAGGCGCCTTGGTTATGTTTCCTTGGGCAAAGCACATGCCATGGCGGGGTTGAGTGTTGTGGGGGTCCCATTTCCTAGGTGTGCTCAGGTTCTGAACCTGCAGCCAGAGGGCGAAGCGCACCTTTCCGCTTTCATTCATGTGGGGCTCAGGAGGGCTGCACCTTGTTTTCTTTAGCTCCCAGAAACAGCTTGGTTTGGACCATTGCTGCGATGCCCCTCATCGCCATCATGGGATAACCAGGATGACCATCTCGGTCGCTCTCCCAGCCAGCTGCCAATAGCATTCCTGATTTATTTGCAGCAACTTGGAGATCCGCAGCTAACAGCCATCTTGATGGGAAACAGCACTATAATTGCTTGGGGAGAAAGGCAGGCATTTAGCAGTCGTAAAAGAAAATCTGCCCACCACCAAACCAAATGCCGCTGCTCTCCTTCCATGTGGCGCGGCCACGTTACCCCCAACCCGAGGCCCCTCAAGGTGGGCCTGGGGCTTCCCTGGCTTTTTAATCCTCTCCATTTTGAATCTGGGGTTTGCGTGATTCTTTCTTCTTCCTTTTGGGGTAGACGGAGCACATGGGGAGGGGGCTGCAGTATTCAATGCATAGTTTCTGGGGCTTCCAGTGTGACGAGGGTTCGGTGACAGGAGCTACTGATGGCCTCTGGGGCTGTCCAGCAGCCTGTGACCACAGTTGATCAGCTGGGGGTTTGTGGTGCTATCTCCCTCTTCAAAGTGACAACGGGATAGGGTCAAGAAAAAAAAATTGCAGTAAAGCTCAAGTCAAACCAAAAGTCAGGCTAGAGGGGAAAATAATGAAATAATAATGATCCCTAACTTATCCCCCTTCTGTGGGCATCACAGACGTTGCTTTCTTCCCTCAGGTACTCATGTTATCTTAGTCTCTGTCTGCAGTCCCCAACTCACCTTATATTTCTGTAGCCAGGAAAATGTGTCTTTGACACGTGTCATAGAAGAAACTGTCAGCCAATAGCATTTGTACATGTGCACTTCGGGCAAGGAAGTCAAAGCTGACTTGGAATGAACCCTGTTCATGCTAGGGGTGAGATCAGAGAGGACCACCACTTCCTTGTCCGGGAACAAAGGCATAACTAGCTTGTTTGAAGAAGGTGCTTTCTTCATGCTCCTGACTTCCTTTCTTTCTCTTCTTCTTCCTCTTCTTGCTCTTCTACTTACCTTCTTCTATCGTGGTCAGAACATAGCTGGGGGCGAGAGAGAAGATTGAGGGTTTTGTGGCTTGGAAAATCAATTATCACTCCTCATGCCTTTATCAAGCACCCCTCTGCATGTGGGGTGCTGTGTAGAAAATGTGCAAAATCACAGGCCCTACCCCCTTTAACTGGGGGAAGGAAGCTCGTGTTTGATAGAGGAATTGGGTTCAGCTGGGCTCAAGTGTCTACTGCTCTGTCCAGGATTAAATGAGATAAACTGTGGGGAAGTACCTGACCCGCTGGGAGCATGCGATGTGCACGTATTAAGGGGACAGCTCTGAAACCCCGCCCTGCCCTTCACTGTACCCCGAGCCACTTCTCCCTTGCACAGAGCTGCCTGATAGTCAGAGATCCGTGCCAGGGAATGAGGGCAGGCTCTGGGTTTGGAAATGCCTCTGCTGTATTCCCTAATCAGATCTCAGTCAGATAACAGCTCAGACCTGGGAACATGAGATTTTAATGTGAAATGAATAAGTACCCTGAGACTGAAGCTTGTCACTGCTGCACATCTGGAATCACTTACAGCTGGGTAAATTCACTGGGAGCTGCAACTCAAGAGAACATGGAGTTTAAAAGGAGGTGCACAGAGCGTTCCTTTTAATGTCTAAACAGTCTGATGTTGACAAGCCTTTCACATTAACCCCAAAGTGGCAAAGTTTAAACCCTTTATTATCCGATTCTGTTTGGCAAATCATTTAGAGGCTTAAGAGTCCATGTTTACCGGGAAAAGGCCAATCTTTATTTTTGTCTTCTTCCAACACAAGCAACCCTAATGTATACACATTTATGTTTACTTAGAAGGTTTAAAAGACCTTCAGCATTAAGTGAGAATCAGGCTAGAGAAAGAAGATTTTTGTTTTGTTTTGTTTTTAAGAAAGCCCCTCATCTCTTTAGAATACAAAAGGCATGAGCATTGCAAACTCTGGAAACTATATCAGATTAACAAATAAGTAAAGAAGAAATACAGGAAATCATTTCCAAATATTATTAGTCCTCAGTCGAAATATACTGTGTCTTGGCAGCTCAGCCCAACTCTGTGTCATTTTCCTAAGGATTTGCCCAGAATGTTATGAGTGACTCTAAAGACGGTGAATGGTAGTTTGGGTTCTATAGGGGACTACAAAATATTATGGAAGTTAGAAAGCTTAATAGTCGAGCAGTGCTTAATAACCATCTATTGGACCTGTTTCCAAATTGGCAAAATTTTACGGATCTCCATTACAGCATGTGAAAGAACATGGAAAAAGACTGCAAGTGGTTTCAAGACCTTGATTCAATAATAATTTAATAATTTCAACCACATCTATGAAAAGCGATGAAGACATTTTAATTCATCTTCATAAAAAGCATGATGCAAGAGAGTTGAATTTTTAATTTTCATTGGAGGAGGGTTTTCATAGTAATTGAATTTATTATTATTTTATTTTAAAGAAGACCCCAAACTAAGAACATGAGTAAATCTGACTCTACAGAAGGGATCTCTGTGGACGTTTCTGGCTTTGGTTTGAATCCTATCGAAGAAGTTCATAAAGATTAAGATTGCAGCATAGTTTGGACCACAGCTGTTCATCCTTTAGATGTAATTTTTAACTTTTCTTTGGCAGCTGCTCAAATTCAAATCTGAAATCACCAGTTATCAGCTTTGCTGAAACAGAATTTTCAGATTCTGGGATAATTTTCTGCCTATTAACCCTCCCCAGTAATCGTGTGCACTGTGTCAATTTTTACCTCTCAGGATACTGTAGAGTTACTGTAGAAATGAAAATAAAACTTTTTAAAATGTTGCTTGGGAACATAAATACTCATTTAACATAATCCTGCAGGTTTGGGTTAGGCAAGCAAAAGATGAAAGACTCTTAGAATCTTGTTTATACAAAAATATTTCCTATAGCACAGTTTTTAAAACTGAAAATGAAATCAGGCTCTGTACATTTCAAATATTTCATTTAATAAAGCCAGCGTATATGATCAGCATATTAATAACCTGCAAAGCATATTATTCAACTTATAAAGGCTTAGCTGTCTACTTAATCCTGTCGCACTATTTAACCGGGAAAAATGTACATCTGAATTTTATCCTGAAGAAGTGATAAGAAAGGAATCTGATATTGCTTTCAGTGTCTGTCTACATTACATTATGTGCCTGTGGTGTGTTTTACTGAGACAGTTGATTCTGTACCAACTAAACTTCATCGAGAATGAAACCTCCAAGGCCTTTTCAGTTTTGCATGATGTTAAACTGCTGTAAAATTTGAAACATGTATCGTTTCTTTCATTTTCCCCTGTAGTCCCTGCTCACCCGGGCTGAGCAGAGGATGTGATTTTCAGCGCAGTAGTTCCTGGGTTAACAGGCGCTTCTGAGGCCAGGATGTGAAGTTTCATTTTATTTTTTCTGACTTGGGTGTATGGTGTTTTAGGAGTGGGATTTCGAGCCGAGGTTGCAACTGCTTTAACTTTGTGGTCTCTGATTAATCTCTTTGCTTTGTTTCTCTGGTAGAAACACCACCACCACTGAAGGTAATGCTTATTTGAGAAATTGATGTCAGCTTAGTAACAAGAGGGGCGGGGCAGCCGGTAGCTTGATTGTTCTGGATGAGCTATCAGGGATCTGCTGGGAATACTGGTGCTTCGACCCTGATGGCCCTCAAAGTGCTGAGTGTGGAAAATGGGAAGTCTCCCCGGATCTCAAAATGCACAGGATGTCAGAAAAATGCAGTTCTTGGAAAACTGTATTTTTTTGGCTACAGTAGGATGGGGGGGCAGGGGGAGTTTGGCAGGAAGGAAAGCAGGGACTCATAATTATTTTGCCGTCCAAGTTCCAGTGTCTTTATTGTTACTATATTTGTATATTGTCAGAAATAGTTTTTAAAATACTAACTAAAATATATTTTAAATCACTTAATTGAAGAGCAAAATTCTAACTCAGTTTTTTGTTTAGTCCACACCACATTAAAAGTTCAAACTAAGATTTTATCAAGTTTTCTGGCTCTAGGCACTAATTGATAGCTAAATCAGCTTTTCCCAATCAGGTAAAAGGATAGAAGTTTTCACTTTGATAACTGGGATACTTCTCCAGCAATTGTTTCAGCTATAGTCAGCACAAGGAGATACAGTGTACTTGGATCAAATCTTTCATTTACTCTTACTTTCTGGAGATGGTCAGGCCAGCAGGATGAACTCACTCGTTGCTCAAATCAGCAGTGGGATGACAGGAAGTCAGTGGGAGATGCTGGCAAGAGCACCAGGTGAGGAGTCTTGGGTCCTGGAGCCTGGTCTGGTTTTGCCCACTCCATCTGTGACCTGTGCCACTTCCCCTTGGTGCTTAGTGAGCTCATCCGTAAAATCAGAGTCAGACAACATGATCTCACCTGCCTCTTCCTACTCTAAAATTTGCGTGTTTGGTAAGAACTGTAAAATCTTTTGCATTGTTTCCATTTGGAATTCTCATAGAGATGTGGTGCTCAGACCTCACATTTTCTGGAAATGAGCAGAAAGCCCTATAGGTTTTCTAATAGAAATGAAAAGCTTAGGCTGGGTGTGGTGGCTCACACCTGTAATCCCAGCACTTCGGGAGGCTGAGGTGGGTGAATTGCTTGCTCCCAGGAGTTTGTGAGATCAGCCTGGGCAACATAGTGAGACCCTGTCTTTATAAATAATACAAAAATTAGCCCTTTGTGGTGGTGCATACCTGTTGTCCCAGCTACTAGGGAGGCTGAGGTGGGAAGATCGTTTGAGCCCAGGAGGTGGAGGCTGCAGTGGGCCATGATCCTGTCACTGCATTCCACTTGGGCAACAGAGTGTGACCCTGTCTCAAAAAACTAAAAAGAAAAACAAAAGAAAAACAGACTAGCTTCAAGGGGGAAAAACAATCTAACAAAGCAGACAGATTTGAGGATGGAAATGTGATTTGAGAGTTGTTTGTTTTCTTTTAAGTTAACTTTTATTAAAATGTAGTTTGCATTTTTAAAAAGTTAAGTTTGCTTCATCGCTGGTTTTGCACACCTTTGGAAATATCACCTCCTCCTAAATTTTCAAAGGGAAGTCAAAAATATTGCTTAACTGTGCATTCAAGCCAGTCCAGTGTGGTAGGAAACAGAAGATCTGCCCTGTAAATATGATCCAGATTAGAACAGGATCAAAGGCACTGAAATGGCTTCAGTAATATTCTGTTTAGGGGAATGAGGCTGGGCAGGGGAAAGAAAGGTATCTAGCTAAAAGGATGGAATCAGAGTTTAAAAATCCCTCAATACATATCTTAATGTTAGCTTTTTATTTTTATTTTTTTAAGTCTGCCCAAGTTCATATTTACCTGAGAGACCAGTTGGCACCTAAGGACAGCCTGGTTCTCTCAGGTAAATAAAAAACACTTTGCAGGTCACCTAATTGTGTTCCATACCCTGGAAACTGCAGGCCTCCTGGGTAAATACTGTGCTTTGGAAACTCAATGAAAAAGGAATACAAAAATGTGCAGTCCAGCTAGAGCCCAGGGTAGAACCTGCAGAGGAAACCAAAGCTCCCGCTCTTGGAGTGGGACAAGGGTGGGTGGGAGTTGGGGAGAGAGGGACTTATTTTGAAATGTAAGGCAAGTTCAAATGTGCTTTATGAAAAAGGTGATTTTCAAAAAAAAAAAAAAAAAGCCAAACTGCATTGTATTGCATATTGTACCTGCTAGTTTTCATATGAAATATCGTCTCCCCTAGTCTTTGAAATACGGCTTATATTGCCTGTGATTTTACACATCGTGGCCCACTCGGCCACCATCGCCCTCATGTATACTTTGAGCTTGGGGCACAGTGCCCGGGAACATTGGGCGTGGGTCCCGGCTTCCTCATCTTCCTGTGTGACCCTCAGCAAATCACTTTTCCTCTCTGGACTCCCTTTTGTTGGTCTGTAAAATGAGGCAGGGGTTTCCATAGTCTCTTAAATCCTTTTTTTGCTCTGACAGTCTATGAAATAATCCAAGGATTTTGTGTCAGGCTTAAAAGCTGTTATGTGCCCATTAGAAGTAATCCTACGCTGCCCATCCAGATTCTAAACTTTGCTTCCACTGATGACAGGGGAGGGTCATTTGATCCTCCCAAGCCACACCCCATCCCCCTCCAAAATATACCACCCCAAAGCCACCCCCAAAGGAAGGTGCTGTTTGCTGAAGGAAGTCTGAGGCAGCTCTTCCCATCTCAGACCCAAGGTGAGGGATGGTGCCTCCCTCAATCCCTAGTCATGGGTGGACCAAGATTGTAATTGTTGGCTCCCTCGGGGTCTACGAAGGAGGGGACCTTGTGATCCGTGATTGCTGTTGTCAGGGAGAGCCTGTCTGACGTGAGGCCTGGAAAGCCCCGCTCCAGGTCAGCATGCTCCTCTCTGTTGATTTCTGCACCCTAGCTCTCTTCCCTTTGCATTCCGGGGAACAGCCACGTAGTCCCCACTCTCTGTCCAGGATGCTTGTCTCTTGTCAGCTGGAGCCAGCTCTGCCACCCCCTTGCAGAGCACTAACCTTTTGATTTAACTTTATTTGCCGCAGCAGGACTACCACCGAAAGGGGAACAATGCGCCCTGGCCATCTGGCCCTGGCCGCCTGAGGCGCCCAGCCTTGCAGCCCAGGGTTCTTGGAGGGGCCGCTCGAGCTGTAGAGCAGACTCCCACCAGCCTCCCTAGACGGGTGCCCTATTTTTGTTTTTTTGCAAATCAACCTTTTAAAATCCAGATGCAGGCTATAGCCAGTGACTCAGAAAACCATAAATAATACAGCAGGCTTAGCTCGAGGAAAAAAAAACACAAAAAGGTGTATCTATCATTATACTTAGCCAGTAACAAGCCAAAGATAAAGTTTTGTGTTTTTTTTTCTTCCCTGTGACCCTTAAGCAAGTGTGACAAGCATTAACCTATCAATATTAGTGAGTGATTTAAAATACCAACCAACATTTGCCTGCAATAATTTCTGTTGTAAACGACTCCTTCTGGGCCCTCCTACCAATAATTTAGCGCTCATAAATCAGAACCCAGAGCGCGGTGCTTGGCTCTTGCCCTGGGCAATTCTTGAGGTCTTTTTTTCGGGGGCGGGGTCTGGAATCCAGTCACACTGTAGTGTTTCCCTCTTGTTCCCGCTGCCACCTTCATACGGGGCATTAAAGAGAACACGGATCTGCAAAATGAGACTGAACTCTGTTGCCCACGATGTCTCTGAACTTTATTTTGGTGACAGGAGGTATTGGCTTATTTTTTCATCACTCTTTCTGGACACGCTGCCAAGGAGTTAAGCTGGCTTTTGGTGGGAGGAATTCCATCTAGATTTTTCCACATTAGCCAGGTGTGTTGGAAGGTCCACTCCAAGAAGGGAATTTTTGTTGAGGTGAAACTGCTAAGAGTGGTGGTTGCTGGGTGCAGTGGCTCATGCCTGTAATCCCAGCACTTTGGGAGGCTGAGGCAGGAGGATCTCTTGAGCCCAGGAGTTCAAGGCTAGCCTGGGCAACATAGTTAGACCCTTCTCTACAGAAAACATAAAAAATATTAGCCAGGCATGGTGGCATGTGCCTGTAGTCTCAGTTACTCAGGAGGCTGAAGTGGGAGGGTTGCTTGAGCCCAGGAGTTTAAAGCTGCAGTGAGCTGTGATCGCGCCACTGCACTCCAGCCTGGGTGACAGAGCAAAATCCTGTCTCTAAATAAATAAATGAAATAAATAAATAAAGTGGAGGTTGCAGATACCAGAACATAAAGGGAGAAGAACAGCAGCAGTGAGTGACCCAGCATGAGGGGAGCAGGCACAGGGAAGTAAGGGGTGATAGAAAGTTATGGACAAGCAATAATGCAAGCACCAACCTGGCCAGAACCAGCAGGCCTCATTTCTGCAGGCTGCATCCTTCTGACCCACATTCTGGCCCGCAGAGGCAGCTTGGGTACAGTCATGCAACCGAATAACATACCCACTTCAAGGAAGGTAATTTCTTTAGAGTTAAGAGATTTATTAGGGGAGCCTGAAGAGTGGGGAGGGGGTGTTGGGGAGGGACTGAGACCCATCTGGTTTGTTGTGGGTCTTTTTTTATTAGAAGAGGAAAAAAAATTGCTCTGTGGGTTCATATGTCTAAGGAGAGCTCAATTAAAGTTATTTGCTGGAGCTTAAAATATGCCCGCACCTGCTTCAGCGCCAGGCTCCGAGACCGACACATGCTCCCAGAAGGTGGAGCAGATGAAGGCTCCTGTCGAAGCGAATGGAAGAGCAGGGGACAGACTTTCACTTACGCTTTGGTACCAGCCTAGGATGGGGATGTCAGCAAGCAATCTGGAGCAGCATCCTGGTTCATCTGGAAACCAGAGCCTGTGGTCAGCCCTGCCTGGCTGCAGCCCTCTGCAACTGCCTCTCTGGGTCAGAAGGATGCTTCTCTTTCTAAGCAGACTAGAAAGAATAGATCCAGCAGAGGGAACGACATAGAGAGACTGCATTACCCTAACCAAGTCACTTGCTTCTCTGGGTGGCCCTTTCCTCTTGATAATATGAAGGTCATAAAATCTGTTCCAAAACTCTGTGGTGAGGATAGTAAATAATATTGGCTAACATTTGCCATGCATCAGGCACTGTGCTAAGCCTGCCTTACACATCGCCCCTTTGACTTTTCACCACAACCCCAAGAAACAGATATTGCTGTCAGGCACGGTGGCATGTGCCTGTAGTCTCAGTTACTCAGGAGGCTGAAGTGGGAGGGTTGCTTGAGCCCAGGAGTTCAAAGCTGCAGTGAGCTGTGATCGCGCCACTGCCCTCCAGCCTGGGTGATAAGGAAACTGGTGCCTGGATCCATCTGTCCCCAAACCTGAGCCTTGAACAACCCTGCCTCAAAGGAGACTCATGAGTGAGAAGGAAATTCCAAATAATACAACGATAAATTTACTATGCCCTAAGATGGGCTCTAGTGAAGTAAACACGCTCTCATTGAACACACTCTTTGCCCTGTTACCATCTCAGTTTAGAAAGTGTCCTCCCGGGATAGGTGCTCCATGGATGTGGGTACTGCACTTCCTGTCTCCCAGGAGGGAGTCCAGACCTGGAGGAACTCAGAAGCGTCAGCAGGCCTTTACTCCTGTTCTCAAAAGCACAGGAGAAACCTGGAGACAAGAGTCTCGATTATCTTCTATTTTCTGAAACAGGTGATTGATCTCAGCTTCCCTTTCTAGCTCTCAGGGCTTGATGAATTCTTTATTCCTGATTCCTAGGCTTTGCGCAAGAAATGGAGCCAGTTTTAGACACCAAGGAAGGAATTCATGAATGGGACAGAGAGGAATTTGTTAACTCTCATTGATGGAGTTTGTCATTACACAGAACTGAACCTAAATCTTCTTAGACAATTCCTCCTTCGGGGTTTCACTTTGAGATGTCTTAAGAAAAGGTGTCTCCAATATGGGGGAGAGAATCCAGAGATCAATTACCATTAATCTCCATTTGAAGGGGACTTTCTGATTGTGTGATTCACTGAGATTCTTTTTTTTTTCAATCAAAATTTTTTTTTACCATTTTAAGTTTTTTAAAAAAATTATTTGTGGTAAAATACACTTACCACCTTAACCATCTTTAAGTGTGCAGTTCAGTAGTGCTAAGTACATTATTGTGCAGCCATCACCATCATCCAGCCTCAGAACTTTCATCTTAGAAAACTGACACTCTGCGGGGCACGGTGGCTCGTGCCTGTCATCCCAACACTTGGGGAGGCCTAGGCGGGCATATCACTTGAGGTCAGGACTTCAAGACCAGCCTGGCCAACACAGTGAAACCCCGTCTCTACTAAAAATACAAAAATTAGGTGTGGTGGTGTATGCCTGTAATCCCAGCTGCTGGGAGGCTGAGGCAAGAAAATCACTTGAACCCAGGGGGGTGGAGGTTGCAGTGAGCTGAGATCATGCCACAGCACTCCATCCTGGGCAACAAAGTGAGAATCCATCTGAAGCAAACAAACAATCTGTACCCATTAAACAACAACTCCCATTTTCCCCTCCCCCCAGCTACTGGCAACCACCATTCTGCTTTCTGTGTCTATGAATTTGACTGCTCTATGAACCTCATGTGAGTGGGATTATACAATATTCGTTCATAACTGGTTTATTTCACTCAGCATAATGTCCTCAAGGCTTATCCATGTTGTAGCGTATGTCAGAATTTCCTTCATTTTTAAGGCTGAATACTATTCCAGTATATGGTTATACCATATTTTTCTATCCTTTCATCTGTTGATGGACACTTCAGGTTGCTTCTACCATTTGGCAATGGTGAATCGCACTGCTTTGAACATTGTACAAATTACTCTTCAAACCCTGCTTCCAGTTCTTCTGGGGAGATAGATATCCACAAATGGAATTGCTCGATCATGATTCACCGAGATTAAGTAGCTGTGAAGTGTCCTGTCCTTCATTAAATAGCCCACCTATGTGCAGAAAAAAATACTGACTACAGCCTATACTTTGGGGACATTTAAAAAGTTTTTCTGCTGATTCTTTCAGGTAAGCTGCATACTGTAAGTGCATATTGTATGCATCTACAAACTCTTGAGTACATATTGTGTGTATATATTCTGTAAGTATACATACTATAGTAAGTGCTTTACCTGGCTACTGGAAACCTCATTTAATCTTCTCAATGACACTCCTATTTGGCAGGTTCTATTCTTACCCTTGTTTTACGTGTGAGTGTCCTGAGGCTGAGAGATTAAGAAATTTGCCCCAGTTTTAAGTGGAGGAACATAAACTCAAACCTAGGCATCACAACTCCAGAGCTGCAGTCTGAATTGCTACTCTTTGCTGCATTCATGGAGACAGAGTAAGGAAACTAGTCCTTCAATGCATCCTCACCCTTGCCCCCAACACACATAGATTTATGATCTTTTGATTTGACAATGGTGTGAAAGTGATATGCATTCAATAGAAACTATACAAGTTCCCATACAACTTTGCTGTTTTTCACTTTCAGTACAGTATTCAATAAATGACATGAGCTTTTCAACACTTTATTATAACATAGGCTTTGTGTTAGATGATTTAGCCCAACTATAGGCTAATGTAAGTGTTCTGTACACATTCAAGGTAGTTTAGAGTAATAAGCTATGATGCTCACTAGGTTGGATGTATTAAATGCATTTTTGATTTGTGATATTTTCAATTTATATTGAATTTATTGGGATATAACCCCATTGTATGTTGAGGAGCATCTGTACATGGATCCAATTCTCTACCCAAAAAAGAGCTCCGTTTTTCTTTGTATCTTCTAAAACTTAGCTACAGATTTTCAAGCTCTTGCCTTAGCCTCTGTTCTTAGCAATGGTTTAATAAACACATTTCATCTTTTCCTTTCCTGCCTCTCCCGATGTTAGTTCCCCTGTAGCAACATGCTGTGTGCACCATTAGTTGGAGTTTTGATTTCCCAAATACATAGACCCATCTGCATTTCATTCCATCATCTCTGATGATGAATTTATTCATTAGCTTCCTTCTCTCCGTTTATTGTAGCAGCATCCATGGCAGCTTTTCCAGGGTTACTTCTATGCATTGTTGACATTGGCTCTAGGATTTATATATGTTCAGGGATGGTGTCTGGGCAGGCCCTCTAGTGACAGTCTATAGAAAAGAATCTCTGGCCAACCATGTGGCAGGAAGGGCACCACAGCTTGTTGTGGCTGTAGCTTTGTTACCTTAGTCTGGAGAATTTCTCCTTGCCTTCTCATACACCCCAGCATGCTGGCTATCTGGATTTGGAGAGAAAGGTATGCAGGCTGCCTGGCTTTACTGGCTCTCTTATCACCCAGATGGCAAGAAGGTTTGCAACAGAAGGCAGGAAGATCAGGCTCAGTCTTTTCTGAGGAACTCAAAGAGGAGATGGGCCAAGGCATTGTCTCATTAGGATTTTGAGAAAGAACTCGGGCTTGTTCATAAAGACAGTTCAGAAACCTCTGTCCTATACTTTATGTAATAGAATAAAGCCCCTTTGGAGTTAACAGCAAATCTCTCAGATTGCATTTACCTTCTTGCATCTACAGTTCCGTTTCTTTCTGCCTAAGTAGATATGCTATTGCTGTTTGCAAGGGTGTGGATGAGGGTAGAGTCCGGAAAGTGATTTCCTCTGAGTCCCAGGAGCTTCTAGGAACAGGCTTGGGATGGTGTGGGAAAAGAAGGGAAGAAAAGCAGTGCCCTGCAATACATTGCAACTGCACCCCTCCTTCCTTCAGGAGCAGGGTTGAGCGACTTATGCCAAATACACCTGTTCTTAAATTGCCAGGTGAATGAATCAAAATCTCCAAAAGCCTAGGCAGCCTCATCCCTGACTTGGAAAACCATGGATCATCTCTAAGCCTTTAGATGCTTTGTCTCTAAAGCCTCAGGCCTTGAGCAAAAGCCCTCTTGCCCTTTGAGAAGGAGCCAGCCTGGCCTGCAGTTGGGTCAAATGCATACCTCTGGCTGGATGGCTGAACGTTACCTGTCCTTTTTTTTCTTCAACTTCTCCCACCTTGCACTGTTGCAACCTATGCCCCAAATGATCAGTTGGGTGAGAGATTCCTTGTTCATAGAGTGCAGGGGCCAACTGCAGTCAGGATAACCGAGGGCAGGACGCACTTTGCTGATGCCCTGGCAGAGGAAATTGCAGCTTTGCTGCCCTCGGCCAGGTACACATTGTTGGGGTTCACTCTGCTCTACTTAATCTGCTGTTTACTGTTCTAGTAAATGCCCTCCCCATCTTTCACTGTGGGAGAGCTGTGGTGACTGCCTCAAGAGGTGACTCTAGGGCCCTACAGTGAGTTCATGGGTGAGGCATGTCTCCTTCAGCAAGGGACCCTAATGTCTTCTGGTGGCCTTCATAGCAGTTGTCCACCCTTTTGTCTTTAGTTGGAATGGCAGGGATCAGACTACCCACAGTCAGTCTGAGTTGGTACCATCTCTGCTGTCTGTCATCTCCTGCTGAAAGTTGACAGATAGGATTTCTCCCTGAGTGCATGCTTACGTTTGCTACATTCACTTTTCACTTCATATATTATTTTTGGCAACTGAGAAAATATAGAGGACTCTCAATCTCCAAAGTCGTTAGCATTTCCATGCACAGTGGATTTAGACTCAGCCTTGCCCTTGTTGGTGAGCTAGATGAGATCAAAAGCACCCCAAATCTGCATATAAGCAAAGCAGTCTAACCAAGATCTGTGAGTGAGCGCTTTTAATGTTGCTTAACAAAATATGTTACACAAAATCGTTATAGACTGAATAGGTACTTTGAGTTCCAACAAAGTAAAGCAAAGTAAACATTGCTCTTTTGGGAAATAAAGTTCTATGTGGTTAGGGGCAGGGCTGTGATTAATTCAGTGGCAATGAAAAGTCCATGAAAATATAGTAAGGTTACTGACTCTGCTTGAGAAACAATTTAATATCTGCTATGTATTAAATATATATGTGTATATATATGTTTTAATACCAAATAATGGGTGGTGGGAGAAGAACTGATATTTCTCATCTTTAATTATAAATTAATGTGCTGATGCTCTAGATATCATAGCTCCATCAATTATTGATATTGACCTCACTACAGAAATCAGTAAGGAAAACAGAGTGATGAAAGGCAGCATTGAAGAGATGAGGACTAAGCTTCTATGACAGTCCCTCTGTGTGTGCATGCATGCGCCTGTGTGCAAACATCCGCATGTGTAGGTACATATAGATAACTCAGTTTACCTTTACAACAATTATCTACTGAACTGGAGATTTCTCAGAGCTCTTGGACTGTAGCCTTGTCCAAAGTGCATGCCTTCATAATGTGCATTTTAATGTTAAATGATTTTTAATATTCTACATATGGTTTCATGGTTTTAACTCTCCTCTCTGGGAATGAACAGGGCTGTGGTATTATGATGAATAGTGGACCGTGTCCAGGACACCCACTTACTTCCCTACATATCAAACATGTGGCGCTCCCATTAAACATGGAACTGTCTCTAGAGATTACAGTTGTCCTATCTAATCCAGTCCTGTTTTGTTCCCTCGACCCAGATTGAGAAGGATACATTGTTCTCATACATTCTTTTTTTAATTAAATGTGGTGGATATGTCACGTCCATGAAATATTCCAGGTCTGTTTTCACATCTGTGGTCATTTTCTCCTCCTCTCCTTCCATTTGGCTTTTTGGAAAGAAAACCAATCCTAAACGTATACTTGGATTAATTGATTGGTTGTGTGCAATTTGCCAGGACAGTTTAGATATGATCTTAATTTTTTGTTTCTAATCCCAACAGAATGTTCTCTGTTGCTGCTCTTTGCAGACACTCACCGAAGCTCTCGTCATTCCTATCCAATGATTGTTTGAGTATGATATTCTTATTCAAATTGGTTCATCCAAATTCACTTCTCCCTCCCCTTGTACTGGGGTGTGCAAGAGAACCTTTAGGTGCGGGGTATGCCTGTGTGTGTTTTAAGTTTTAATTGCTAGGATCATTTGCTAATTGATCCTATTGATACAAAGTACTGTTAGGAGCCTTCTATATAGACAGTGCTTCATCAGCAGCAAGGAAACCTGATATCCCATAAAATTCTCCATTCAATTATAATTTTAAAATACTGGAGTAAACTCCTAGCAATTCACAAGAGGCTAAACTAGAGCCCCATTAGAAGGGTACTACAAGTAAACATTATTAATTATAAAAAATTGCCTAAATTAGATTTTTTTCACACCTGCTTCTTGCTTAATTAGCTAGCAATCCACATATTCCATTCAATTGAACTCTTACTATTTATTCAAGCATACTTGACATTAACATACTGTTTGATGTTTGATATCCTCAGTTTTAATTTAACCACATGACAACAAATGGTGTTTATGAAGTACCAGTGAGCTGGAAAAATATCCTGCATTGTAGTCGCACATGGGAGTGAATAGAGAATTTTTCTTTTGGAAGGGCTTGATGGCAGTAGGAAAATGAGACCCTCATTTTGTTTAATTTTTGAATGTTTTCATTCCTGTTCTCTATCACACCCCGTAAGAGGGCTTTGGAAGGTCCTACAAGGACAGCACCGGGGCTTTGTTGCAAAAATATCCTTGAGAGCATTAATGATGGAAAGAAGTATTGTGCACCTGCTGGCACTCGGGAAGAATTTTACAGAACTGCCTTTATGTTAAAAATGCCATGGCCATTCTTTAGGGATTAAAGAAGAGGGCAGGTACATGAAGATCTTGCAGCTAAATGGGGCTGTCTGGTATCAGGGAGGAGAAAAATGAGATGCAGAGGCCAAAGGCTAGAAGTTGGCCATTATCAATGAGTCATTTTCCCTGTGCCTTGGCTAAGCCAAGGTGACCAGGTAATTCCTGGGGTGGACCTGGCACTAAGGACCTCTTCACTGTGTTGCTTCCATATCTGAGAGTCCAAACTGATGCCCTTGAAAGGGATATCAACAACAGGAACGGGATACACAAGTTCAACATAAACCTGACAACAAAGGCCTTGGACTTGTTATTTGGAGACTCCCATGTCTAATTGGATTTATTCCTTAAACTTTTCCCCTGCCCCTCCAGAAGAGCACATGAGGGAGTTAGTGGTTGTGATTCCTGTCAGCCACTTTGTAATGCGAGGACCTTGCAATCTGGTGATGAAACTCAACTTGGAAAATTCCCTGGGCCAAGAGACAAAAGAGAAAATTGTCTCCATAATGTATTGATTCTGACTAATGACATAACTTGTTGTAGGGGATTTGGATTGATAGCCACTGGCTTGTCTCCAGTAAGACACCATGTCACATCTGACTCTGATCAAACTGTCTGTAAATCATTTTTAACTTGGGTCCTGTAGATTTTGTGTTCACACCACAACTATGGCTTGGGTTTGACATCATTATTCTTCGCTTGGACTGTCTTTGTTTAAGAGCCACTTAAAATTTTTGGCTGCTGGTGAATAGAGAAGCCTGTTAGCTGAGGAAAACATGTTGATGTCACACACTTGCAGGATTTTTTTTTTTTTTAATTTTGGTCAGGCTGTGTGGATCCAAGAAAGTGTGTGGTGTTACCCGTAATAGGGGGATGGCTTTAGGTTCAGAGGCTAGATTCAGATATGTCTGGATAATAGTTGGAAGTTGGAAGCCATCTCTTGGGACCCCGCATATTTACATCAGGGCTGATACTTCTTGCTTCTGGAGGGGCTTGTTATTCTGGGATGAACTTGTTTTCCAAGACAGCCCTCTTTGCAACTGGGGTCCACACAAAACCAGGTGTGTCAGAGAACCACAACTACCAACACCCTGCACTCATATTGCTTACAATCCTCAAGGAAATGGGTCTTGGACAGGATATGGAATCAAGATTTAGACCCCCTTTTTGCTTTTTTGTTTTACTCTTCATGCACAGGAACACATGAACTCAAAATACATGTTTGAATGGAGAAGAAAACAAGTAAGACGTGTACGTGGCATTCAGAATGCACGTTCCTCCCTGGCCCCCTCCTTGTTATTTGTGTTTAAATTAGGCTACTCTAATAAATATGTATTCCTTATGCCCAGGTCAGTTGGGCAAAGGGTAGAAGGACATGCTACAACTGTGGAAAATATGGTTTGGCTTACACATTTTTTAAGGACAGTTTGGAGAAGCTGTAATCTCCAGAAAGATAATTTTATTAACAATGAGCTTTTAACTTGATAAGAATAATGGGCAAATGAATTTTCCACCTGAAGGGGAATAGATACCTCTATTTGGTTCATTTTCTACTGTAGGTGCCCCTGGCGCTTGAGCCCCTTCCAAAACATATTTCATTTCTGTTAAAGAAAAATTCACAGTTTAGGAAAACCAGCATTATGAGGAGTCATCTCCAAGTTGGTGATTATTTGATTTTTTTCTTAACACCTCACATTAGGGCTGGGCGCGGTAGTTCATACCTGTAATCCCAGCACTTTGGGAGGCCGAGGTGGGTGGATCATAAGGTCAAGAGTTCAAGACCAGCCTGGCCAAGATGGTGAAACGCTATCCCTACTAAAAATACAAAAATTAGCAGGGCGTGGTGGCGGGTGCCTGTAGTCCCACCTACTCAGGAGAGTGAGGCAGGTAATTGCTTGAACTTGGGAGGCAGAGGTTGCAGTGAGCCAAGATCGCGCCACTGCACTCCAGTCTGGGCGACAGAGTGAGACTCCGTCTCAAAACAAAAAACAAAAAACCTCATATTTGAAGTGAGTGAGATTGGTTGAAATATCCCATAAATAGCAAATTGTAAAATTTATTTTAATTATACCAGGGAAATGGAATTCCTATCTTTTACATTTAAATTTTAAGCCTTCTGTTATAGAAAATTTTAAGACACATAAAAGTAGAAAGAATAATATAAATGATATGTACTATATCATTCTAGCTTGTTTCACACACTGTCTTTTTGGTTTTTACTTGTTACTTTCTGCGATTTTTCTTTTTCACGCATATGTGCAATGCAATATAGGGTACAATACACAGCTCTTCCCCACCATGTGCCATACATATAATGAAAGCAGAGCCTTGGGGTGTGTTTTTATATTGATCAATATAGGTACTTATGAATACACACATACTTAACACTTTTATGCACATATGGATAAACACATTTTTATATTTACGTGTGTGCATTTATATCAGTAGCATTATTCTCACCCACAGGTTTAACAGTCTAACACAGGGGAATTGAAAGAGATAAGGAAGATACCTTTAAGTGGACTTCATTAATTACATATTATAATCTGGTTTTCTAAAGAATTTAGCAGTGATTTGTCGCTGTGAGAAATAATTCTGACCACCCCAACAGCTCCATCTCTTGAGGCTTTTTGATGATGCTCTAGAGACGAAACAGCATCAAAGACCAAAGGCTCTTGAATATGCACAACAGTTTTGGTGGGCCATTTCATCTTTCATTAATTCATCTAGTGTGAGACGCATCTACATGTGCCCCCAGCAAAGCAGGAAATGTATAGTAACTGGAACATTTTCACTGGGGCCCATATTGATTGTTGATGTAACCAATGGCGCCTCTACAATTTTAATCCCTCATTCAATATCCCGAGGAGATCTGATAGATATTTATTCTGGCTATTTGTTCATGTGTACATAAAGGTTGTTTTCCAAGGCAGTGGTTTTGCTCTGCCTCCCATGGTTGGGATGATGGGCAGTACTACGTGTTTTACAAGCTTGCTTTTAGGGGCTCTGTGCTGAGCTCTGTGAAGAGAGCCACCGCTGGCCCTGAGGGCATAATTGGTTCTTCGATAGGAATCCCATTTCTTTAGAAATAGACTGCCCATCTGACAATAGACTTTCCTTCACTCAGGAACTCAAGTAAGGCCATGATGTTGAGGACTCTTTCATCTTTGAGCAAGGGTGGAGTCTGCCTATCCTGACTCAGAGATCCCTAAAACTGGAGTAACAAAGAGTGGGTGTTCATTTTCTCTGGGTGGCCAGTGAAGTTCTCCCTGCTCCTCCCTTCCTTAGATACATGAAGATCACTGCTTTAGGGAAATAGACACACTCAAAGTTCACCCGACCAGAACCCAGGAAAGGTGAATAGGCTGGGAATTGGGTTATTTGTGTTTATTCTGGTCTAGGTTTACCCTTGGATATGCCCCTGAGCTGTTGGTGTCTCATCCATAGAATGGGACCATACTACCTAGTCCTTTAAGTATTTGGGATGATTTTCTTTTCTTGCTGTTGGGTGCCATTTGCTTCTCAGACCTCCACATTCCTGACTGTAAGCCCTTCCATTTTGGATGCCATGTTTTGCATGAGACTCTGGAGTTGTAATTCTAGGCAATGAAACCCAGAGGGAAAGGGTAAGGAACAGAACTTGGGGGTAGACACATCAGGACCTGGGGCAAAGATGTTTGCGGCAAAATGGCTACAGTGCTGACACAGCTGGCTGCTGAGCTATGGATTTAGGAAAAAGAAAACCCAAATCAAAACCTCCCCCAAACAACAAATGAGAATCAGTCCCACTATGGGAAGAAAAATGGCCGTTACATTTTTACACCACAATTCATTTGCTTATAAAAAGATATCTTAGGCCAGGCCTTGTGGCTCATGCCTGTAATCCCAGCACTTTGGGAGGCTGAGGCAGGTGGATCACCTGAGGTCAGGAGTTCAAGACCAGCCTGACGAACTTGGTGAAATCCTATCTCTACAAAAAATACAAAAATTAGCCAGGCATGGTGGTGGGCGCCTGTAATCCCAGCTACTCAGGAGGCTGAGGCAGGAGAATCACTTGAAACTGGGAGGCAGAAGTTGCAGTGAGCTGAGATCACGCCACTGCACTCCAGCCTGGGTGACAGAGAGACAGTCTATCTCAAAAAAACTTTAAGCAAGCATTGTCTCTCCTTAGAAGCCAGAAAAACAACCTTATGTTTGCTCCTGGCTTTGTAGAACAACCCAACATATTGAAGAAATTCCTGAGCACCAGAAAAATGGAATGGCCATTCCTCCACTTTACGAAAAGTCCAGCCTCAGCTCATCCTCCCCTCGGGGTCTGCATCATTGTCCTTTGGCTCAGCCTAACCTTATGAGGTTCCCAAAGCCCTCGTCCTGACAGCAGCCGTTCAGCTTTGTCTGAGGCTGATGGTGGCACTTAGAGCTGGGTAAACAAAGCTTCCAGACTTGATTTTATTTTTCCTGTCAAAAAGAAATGGAAAGAGGCTACTTCAGATTCTACCAAAGTCATAATAAAACTAGACCTACTGGGTCACCATATGTGGGGAAAAGTTCTCCTGGGCCTTAGTGTAAACACTCAGGGAGGGAAATAAAGAAAGGGAAAGCCGCCGTTCTACTGGCAACTGTCGTTAGGTAGTATAAACAATGGCCCGTCACTGGCATGGAGTGGAGGCTCAGATTCCAATAGCACTCAACAGGGAACCTTCCTTAAAAAATTAGAAGAAGCTGGGCTGGAGTTGGTCCATGCTGGGAATGGCAGAAGAAGCAAAAACAAGAGTAAATGAATGGAAATTAAGCAGCAGGAAATGGGGATTTGGCACAAAGCTGGAATTTGAAACTGCAGAGAGGTGTCAGTGATAAGGTTGTATAAAGTTTCTGGCCAAAAAAAGAGAGAGAAGGAATGCAGATGTGTTCATTGAATAAAGTGCAGATGGAGAAAGGGGCAGGAAGAAAAAAAAAAATGCCGGGGAAATCATAATGAGTGGAGGTGCATTTATGTTTAGCAAAACTTTAAAAATTATTCTCCCTGCATGTCTGGATGAAATTACAGGTTGGTTCAGATTGTTCCAATCTATTGGAGAGATTAAGACCACGTTTATTTACTTTTACCTTTTCCTGCTCTGAGCAGACTGGGCTGTTTGTGTTGGGAGGCTCTGGGCAGGCAGAATCCAGGTATGAGTCTCTGTTTGGAATCTGCTCAGGAACTGCAGCCATCAGTTCCTCTTTAGATAGAAATAACCGGGATGCCTCTGGAGAGTTTAAATCTTTGTGCGGGTTTGTTATCTGTCTGGGAGGCTCATGAGAAGACATGCAGCAAAGAGATCTGACCCCTTGCACACATGAGCCCTCTCCCTTGGCTGTGCAAGGAAGCTTGCCTTTTGCGTTCTGCCTGCCTTCCTCACTCCCATCTGGCAGGGCTCAGTTACACTGCTCACTGGCTAAAGATGGTCTGTGCATCACAGGGCAATCCTATGTTTAAACACCATCTTATTTGGTAACTAACAGGCTGAAATTGGCCTCTCCAGTTGTACCTTGGTCATGCAATCATGGTTCACCACGATCTTGAACTCCTGGGCTCAAGTGATCCTTTCATCTCAACCTCCCAAGTAGCTGGGACTACAGGTGCGTGCCACCACACCCGGCTAATTTTTATTTTTATTTTTGTAGAGATAGGGTCTTGCTATGTTGCCTAGGCTGGTCTTGAACTCCTGGGTTCAAGCAATCCTCTCACCTTGGGCTCCCAGCTTGCTGGGATTACAGGCATGAGCCACTGCACCTGGCTGGTCCCCTCTATTTCTTGTCCAGCCTTGGATGTAGTTAAATAACTCAAGGGACCCATTCCAAACACTGTTGCTCCACAGGCAGTGGGGATGGGAGGCAGTGGGAAGTGGTGAAGAGGTGGCCTGCGGGGGAGGGGAAAAGGTCTGTAACCCTGAACTAGCAGATGGGATGCTGGCCCAAGTCACTTTACCATCCTTAGATGTCAATTTGTCATTTTCCCAATAAGACTAACACCTACCCAGTGTATTTTAGAGCCTTTGTTTGTTTGCTGAAACTCTTGTGAAGACATGTGTATGAAAGTACTTTGCAGAATACCCTGTATTATCATATGCAAAGCATCATGATCTTCATTATCTGTGGGAAAGAAAGATTTGCTCTTGGGGGGGAAATGGCAGTTTTAGCAAAGAGCTGAGGTGTCTCGAGGCTGGAAGGCAGTCTGGACATAAAATTTCCACAGCCATCCTTCTTTCAAACAGTAAAAGTGGGTGCTTTTGGATGTACACTTCTGACATTCTGGGGTTTTAAAAGCAATGTAAGGCACAGCAATAAATGTGGCCCTTGCCAGATATTCTCGATCTGTCAGTATGGATATTGGTAGATGCACAATGGTGGGTAATGCGTCAATCTGGCTTCCTTCCCTAGATGAGCGGTGTTTCCTTGGGGACAAGCACAAATGTCATGTTTTCTATATCAATGCTGTTGATATAATAGTCTGGATTACCTTCAGTTCTGATTGTGTGTCATCTTGGGAGAGAATACTGTTTAAATGTTAGCGCTGAATAATGAAAATTAGGTGAGGAGTGGATGGTGGGTGAATATTAAAATGTCGCCATCACAACGGCCCCACCTGCCCTGTAGGGCCCTGTCCCTGTCCATCTACTTTCTCTGCTGATTCTGGGTCAGAAATACAACATGTTCTCACTTATAAATGGGAGTTAAATAACTTGTACACATGGACATAGAGTATGTAATAATAGTCATTGGAGATTTGGGAGGGTGGGAGAGGGCGAGGGATGAGAAATTACTTAATGCATACAATGATACAAGGTACACTATTGAGATGATGGCTACACTAAAAGCCCAGACTTCCCACTCTGCAATATATCCATGTAACAAGAGTACTTGTGCACCTTAAATTTATACTTCATTATAATAATAATAATTTTTTTTTTTTTTGAGAAGGAGTTTCGCTCTTGTTGCCCAGGCTGGAGTACAATGATGCGATCTCGGCTCACTGCAACCTCCACCTCCCAGGTTCAAGGGATTCTCCAGAGTAGCTGGGATTACAGGCATGTGCCACCACACCCAGCTAATTTTGTATTTTTAGTAGAGACGGGGTTTCTCCATGTTGGTCAGGCTGGTCTCGAACTCCCGACCTCAGGTGATCTGCCCGCCTCAGCCTCCCAAAGTGCTGGGATTACAGGCATAAGCCACTGAACCCGGCCAGCAATTTTTTTAAAAAAGGAATAATGCTCTCCCTCCCCATCCCTGTGCAGACCTACACACCTGCCCATTTGGTACCACACATATTTGGGGGGACAAAAGGTACATTCATACTCCAATTCCTTTTTTTAAAAAATAAAGATGGGGTCTTGCTCCATTGCCCAGGCTGGTTTTGAACTCTTATCCTTAAGCTGGGCTTACAGGTGTGAGCCCCTGTACCTGACTAACACCTCAGTTCTTGGGAGAGCAGTGTTTCCTTGGGGACAAGCTATATTCCCAAACACAGAAGGTAGTCTCATCCAAAATATTAACTTATATTCACCAAACACAGAAGGTAGCACTTAAATGTAAGCCAGAATGAGACTTTCAAGGGGCAAACCTAGACACAACTGCAGTTAGGGACAAGTGCCCCTAAACATGGCTTGTGGCTCAAGCTATTGGGAGCATAAACATATGACTCCCCAAGCTCTCTCCTTTTTCCTTCCTTCAAATCCTTTATTTCTTCTCCTTTTAAAGACATCAATAAGCTATATAAAAGTATAGAAAATGTGTTAAAATAACAGTCTTTTAAGACTATCTTTAGAAAAATCCGTTTTCATTTTTTTTATGTGCCTGGACACAGGAGTATATACATTTTTTATAGTGGTAAAATCTCTATTAGGTTATTAATTTTTAGGCCCCTCTAAAATGCTTAGAGTCTCACAAAATACATAATGCTACCCACAAAATACCTCTGGAGCTTCTCCCTCTCCTCTAATTCTCAAGGCCCCCACCTGAATTTAGGGCCTTCCTCTCACCTTGGTGAATAGAATGGCTTCCAAGCTGGTTTCTTGCCTCTAGGCCCTTCTTATACCCCCAGAATTAACTTCCTAGAGCACAAACTTGACCCTCTGTTTAATGCCTGGCAGCAACTCCCAGCACCTTTGGAGGGAAGCCCCGTCCCCAAGGGTCCTTGTCTGTGGGCCCAGCCAGGCTCCGGGGAGTGTGGCGCTAGAGTGGTATGCTCTTGTCGCTGTGATCAGCCCTGGTTTCTTGTGTCTGCCGCAGCCCACACTGTTCTGGGGATGCGCTCCGTGCCCTCCTCGAACCCTCTGATCCTCCCAGAGCGTGCAGCCCCTGGGCGCCTTGTTTACAGCGGCTGCACAACCTGGCGCGCTGCGTCTGAGTCCTCGCAGCACAGACCCCAGGTCCCTAGCCAGCCGCAGTCACTGTGGTGAACAAATTAGGCACAGCTCCTACCTTCGCAGAGGCAGCAATCCATTCGGGGAAGCCAGCCATGGTATAATTAAAAGTGCACTGAGTATCCATGTCCTCCAGCACTGCGGGGTGCCATAGCAGCAAATAACCAGGGGACCCAAACAGGCTTGGGGAGCCGCGAGGGCTTTCTGTGCCAAGGGAGGGATGTCGATGAGAGTTCTGAAGGCTCCCTGGGGGAAGGGGCGGGGGCGGTGCTGGAAGTGAGTGGGGGCACTTTCCCTGAGAAGAGCCTTGAACGGTGAGTACAATCCAAATAAGCATGTGGGAAACGGTGGTGCAACACGACGTTTCCTCCGCATTGATTCCCTTCACTGAAGGCCCTCAAAATATGTGAATTTTGTTTTTCTTAGTGCCTCAGAGCTTGAGGCATTTGTGAAAGCCAAGACCCATTGCCCTTGACCTCTGGGGGTCTTTCTCTTTGGACCTGTGCTCTCTGCACCTGGCAGAGATGCACCCAACGAAGTAGGAATGGGCTCATCTCCCTGCGCGCGAAGGTGGGGCCGCTGAGCAGAGCGGCAAGGTGCCCTGTGGCTCTCCAGACTCAGGTGGTGCATTTAGCAGCAGGAAGCCACCAACGGGCAGCCCTCTGGGATGCTGTGGATGCCAGAATGGAGGCTCCAGGAAAGCAGTTTGGGTTTCCAGGTGGCCCGATATCACTCTTACTCCGCCTGAACTATTTTGAGACACTCCTGCCATCCTTCTCTCTCCCACACATACCCTTAATATGACTAGAATATAGCTAGTTCGAGCTAACATATGTTCTTATAATTATGTTGCTAGCATGATAGATTATTTATTCTACTCACTTTTTTTCCCGAGTCTCTGCACTGTGTAACCAAGACTAAGGAGCTTGTTTAAATAAAGAGATACTAACACACCTTGACAGCAGCCTATAAAAAAAAGGAAAGCCCAACCTTTAACAGGTCTCAAATCTGCATCCCATCTGTTTAATATGCAACCTAATGTGCTGCTGGGAGGCTCAGTTTCCTAGCAGCCGAAGGGAGAACCAGAGGCTCTGTCTACTAAGCCGCTGATCTCTGACGATGGAGGATTTGAGTGTCCAGCTCTGTGTGATGTTGCCCTAACTAGGGACTGTCATTCACCTGGAGGGGTGCTCAGTGAGTGGGCTTTGGAGCCAATAGGCACTGGAGCCAGAAGGAGTCTCCACAGCCTTTGGGGCCAGCCTTCTCTTATTGCTGATGGGGAATCTGAAGCCCTAAGCACAGTGTCTTAGGTGACACTGTCTCTGATGGTGACACAGAGACTCAGTGAAGGGTCAGATCCCGAATCAGCTGCCCTGACTGCATTCAGTGTCTTTTTTCCTCTGCGGTATGGGACTGGAAGATCAATGGAAATGGGTTCCACCACCCATTCTGGGAGGCAAAGCAGAAGCCAGGAATCAACCACTCCATCCATTTCCTATGACTTCTCTGAGGAGGAGCTTATTCTCTCTCTTCTTTAATTTAAATGCTTGGAAATGCAATTAAATGCAATAAAAGCCTATATGACCACCTTAAGGAAAATCATGTTTCCATTCATTCCTTTAATCGTTCATTCAACCAACATTTACTGAGTGTCTGTTGTGTGCCAGCCATTGAAGACATGGTGATCAATCCAGCAGAGCTCCTGTCCTCCAGGGCTTTCCAATATGGTGAATGAACAGCTAAGTAAACGAGGCATTACAGTCCACTCGCCATGGTCAAGAAATGCCACAGTGGTGTATGCAGAGCTGTGAAGCACACATGGTCTCATGGAGGCACAGAACAGGGGCCCCTACTCCAGGCTGTGTTAGAGCTATTGGTCTTAGGGAAGGCCCCTTTCTTTTGGAGATGAGCTTCTTGATCTGTAACTGGACCAAATGGTCTCTGTGAAGTTTGTTTGTTTTTCTGTTCTAACATCCTGAATAAGGTGTGATGGGAAAGAAGAGGATGGGAAAGAAGTACAAGAAATATCTCAGACTTTCATAAGTTTCAAGCCTAATTGGGAAAAGAACCCCCAATACTTATAGAATAAGTAGAGGAAAAAAAAACCCCAAAGCCTCATTCTATAGTTCAAAGCTATGTTATTTGATATGTACAATAGATACTAAGAAAATTCAGAAAGTGGGAAAAGTAGAATGATTTGGAGTTGGCAGAAAGAGCCCTGTGGGAGAGATGCACATTCACTTGGGTTTGAAATAGAGCATAAAACTTGCATAGATGAAGGGCTGATTGGGGAGGATATCTAGACATGAAGTGTAGGGGGGAGATTAGCAAAGTCTGTGAAAAGGAGTGAGCAGGGCAGGTTGGGCATGAGCCAGAAGGTGAAGTGATTTGTAATAGCTCCTTACCTAATGACTGCCTGGCCACTTCGCAAAATCCCCATGTAGACAGGGTGAGTACATGTTCCTGTTCACCCTGGACAGTTCTGGATCACATTTCTGTTGGCCTACTGTAATTATTTTATTTATACATTATTTTTATTTAAAATGCATACTATATAAATGAATAAATAATTTATAAATAGATAAAATAATAAAATAATTACAATAGGCCAACAAAAAATAAAAATGTGTAAATAATTACAGTAGGCCAACAGGCATGTGAACATACTAGAGTCTTGCTCTGTTACCCAGAGTGGAGCACAGTGGCCAATCATGGATCACTCTAGCCTCCAACTCGTGAGCTTAAGCGATCCTCTTGCCTCAGTCTCCTGAGTAGTTGGGACTGCAGTCACAAGCCACCATGCATGGCTAATTAAATAATTTTTTTTTGTAGATACACGGTCTCACTCTGTTGCCCAGGCTGGCCTGGAACTCCTGGCCTCAAGCAATCCTCCTGCCTTGGCCTTCCACAGGGTTGGAATTACAGGTGTGAGCCAGTGTACCTGGTCTTTTGTGTAATTTTTAACAGAGTCCCCTTTGAACACTTTTCAACATGTTCAAATTTAAAAATGATTAATATGATTGAAAATGATTAATAAAATATTAATCTTTAATAAATGATTAATGAAAAATGATTTCCGACGAATTCTGAATGTTCATCTTGACCTTGCTTGTTTCTCTTAGCATACAGTCTTGAAGTCACTGCTTTTCCTTTCTGTGCTTTTCCATACCTGTCTATAAAATAGGGGGAATGCTTGGTGCCTTCCCTTCTTCCTGGGAACATATGGAGCCAAAAGACATCTTCAACCTCATTCTTTCCTTGGTAGAATTTAACAATATACCCTTAGCTACAGAGAACTAAAAACTCTCTCATCTTTGCCCTAGCTAAGTGTGTGTATTCTCTCCCTTCCCAAGTGAATTTCCAGGTTCTCAGAGAGTCCTCTTTGTCTAAAAGGGTTGGAGCACTGAGTTGGATGACTTGGAAAGTATTTAAAAATTATTTGGACAGAGCCATCATGAAAATACCAGGTGGCCATTGGGAAGTGAGGGGGTGGATTCCATCCAGTGGTGCCACCATTTATCATGTTCAATTGGGTGGGCCAACTAGCATTCTGGAGCAGAGAAAAAAGGACTGTACGTTGTGGGACTTGGTTTTGCTCTCCCAGCTGGTAATCTCAGCTGGGACAGGCCTGGGCTCCAGCTCACATAACCACTCCTCAGGCTCCCGTCTAGCCAGCAGGGAAGATTCTAGTTGCTGGCACTGTCGATCCAACACCTATTTATGAGTACTAAATTTGCAAAAATAATACATGAAAATGAGGTTGTGTGTCATTTCAGCATGTGTTCTCTATAATGAAATAAGATGGTGATATCAAATTACTGGCTAATTTAATTGCCTGGAAAAATTAATTTCTAAAAATGCCAAATAATTTTCAAATCAGAAGGATTAGGGAAGCAGCATCTATTTTTGAGTTTCATTTGGGGAGAAAGCTATACAGAGATTTTATTTTTTATCCTTTAAAATCTATAAACATTACTTTGTCCTTGGCTGGGGTATCAGCTCATGAAAAAGGAGGAGGAGAAGCCCTTTTATCTTCATTTCATTTTGAATTGTACTTATTTTTAAAACTCTGCTTCCTTTTTTTTTAATATCAATTTGTGTTAAAACTGTAGAGGATTTAACTCATTAGTTAACAGCTTTACTGGCCTGTGAATTATGCATTTATGGTACAATTTGAAGCACCAAGGGATGAAAAGATGGTCTAAAGTTTGCCCAAACCCAAAGATCATGGTTCCATGCCTGAGACAGAACAACTAGGGGAAACCTTTGACCCTGGGTCAGTAGTTTAACAGACTTTAACCCATTCCTCCTTGAAGGAGACCCAATCTTTTTGTTTTTAGTCAGGCTCCAGTAAATCTTAGTCCTGTGCAACCACACTTAGGTGCAGCAATGGTTCCCTTTGTCCCCTCTTTGATGCGACTGGATGAGATTCTCAAGGCAGTGGCCAGTGGCGGCCTGGGTATCTGCCTCAGCAGCCAGGAACTTTCAGGAGCATGGAAGCATTTAGATTCTGAGGGCCCCTGCATTGCAGATGCGTTCTTTAAGCAAATACTTCACTTGTGCTTTCTAGCCTTTTACCGGAATTGAGAGACAAGTCCAATTTCATTGTACATTTCCATTACTTTTAATAAAAGTGTGTAAATCTAATATGAGGTAGGCATCAGTAATGGTAGCCATCTTGTTTTAGGAAAATATGGAATTTGAGAGCCTGCTGAAAGAGCTTAAAAGAAGAGAGGTCTTTGCAAAAGTAATGTAATCTAGCGAACATTCTGTTATTCATCAGTGAGTGATTAAAGGAGGAAACAGCTCAGTGGGGCACCTCGTTTCAGATGCTCTGATTAAGGTGGCCATGGTTTATAGAAGCTGGTCTTCGGATGATGTTCATTAATACGGTTCTAGACTGAGACTGACAAGCGCTGCCAGTGTTGTCTTCCTCAAGTAGAATCCCAGATCTCCTTGGCCTCGTGCTTGTTGGTACAGTTTTCATTTCTAAAGGTGATGAGGTTAATATTGCTAGAAATAACAATTTAGCCCTTACCTGATTTAAAACATTTCACCAAAACTGTCATCCTGTGTGGTACTGATGAATGCCTGCAGGCCAGCTCGAGGCAAAACTGTGAAGTAGGCCAAGTTTATTTTTGACTTTCCTGACTGCCTCCCCAAGTGGTCACCTTCCATTCTTTTCAGGGCACCTGTCTCTCCTTCTTTTCCTTCACTCCCATGACCACCCTCCCTCAACTTTCAATACTATTTTTTTCTCATGTCCTTACTTTGTTTTTTTCCTGATAATGAAGGAATGATTTGGAAACCTCATTCATACTAAGGTACTAATGTCTTCTTTTATTGCCCTTCTTAGGGACACTTGCATTTTAAAAGGACCTCATGGAGAGGACCAACTTCAAACTCATGGAAGGGATTTTTGGTGGGCGACTTTTGAGCATTGGTAGAAAGGATGTTTTATCAGGGCGCACCTCTTGTAAACTTTTTATCTAGCCCAATTAGTAGTTAATGAATGGTTAATCCTTGAGTGGTTTGGTTTTTTCCAAACCAAAAGAGGACCTATGTTAAATATAACAAAATTTTTAAAAAATGATCAAACTTCCAATGTGATTATGGGGGTACTTTTAGTAACCATTCGCTGAAAAGGGGAAGACAGCATGACGTAGCAGTTACAGAACGTGCTGAAGGCAGATTGCCTGGCTCGAATTGTAGCTCCACTTCTTTCTAGCTGTGTAACCTTGGGCAAGTTTACCTGACCTCTCTGCACCCCAATTTTCTCATCCATAAAATAGAAACAATAATGATTATGAACCTCATGGGGTAGTTACAAGGATTAAACAAGTTAATGTGTAGATAGTATTTGAGAAGTGCTTGGCATATGGTAGGCATTCAATAAATGGTATTGATGATGATGGTGGTGATGATGATGACTGCAAACATTTGAATAGTAGAAGAGTATATCTGTGCAAGACCTATTATTTTTTCAGCCCATGATTTTTGGCGTGTATTTGGATTCCTGGATGACTCACACGCAGTAACGCACAGCCGCCCAGGGGTCTGCAACCATAGTTAGAGTTTGGATTAAAGCCACACCCTTGCTGGCCTCATTTTGCAGAGATAAGGAAAAGCTGAGGCAGCCAGAGTCAACGTAGGATTAGACTGTGGAGCTCCCAGAGTTCCCAAACCCGGGAGTTCTGTGAGATATATTCATCTTTCAGTTAAGGCTCCATTTATTTCCCTTGTGTTCAGGGGCTCAAGGAGGGAACCACTGTTTCCTTTACTTTATGAGTCATGGTTCTGTTCTGTCATTTCGGGAAGGGCCTCAGGCCCCTCAACAGTGTCACCACTGTGCAATTATCTTGAGTGAAGGCACACAGCAAAGCGCATTTCCTTTTTAATGTAGTTATAAATGTCGCATCACTTGGAGATTTAGGAATCCGATCAGGAATTCCATTTCCTAGTCAAATAGGGTATAATTAGAGTGGGACTCTGGGCCCATCCCTCACCAGGCACTGTAACTGGGGAAGAGGAAGCAAGGAGCTATTCTGCTTCCTTTGGATCTGAGGGGCATCTGGAAAAGGAGAGGCATCACCTAAGCTCAAAGCCATAGAACTGGTTTGCTTCCCCAGAGAAATGAGGCCTGCTCTCCAGAGAAATAACAAGTTAGAGTTTTCATTCATCCACAGAGCCCTTGCGCTGGGGTGGAGGTATGCGGCAGGAAAGACGGTGCACCTTGTCATTTTTGGTTTCTTCAAGACAGGCCAAGGAACAACCAAGTCATTTTAGAAACTTGTTCCTTAGGGATTAGCCCCTGATGAGATCCTATGTCCAATGTACAGGAGGCCTATAGAATGACTCTATGAATGAATGAATGAATGAATGAATGCTTGGCCACCTAAGCCTTTTGGAGGAAACTTCTGGCATCGTGCGTGGCCTTAGGACACGTTTATTATGCATCTTCCATGTATCAAACCCTGCTCCAGGGATAAAGTTGTGTGTCATTGTCTTCTGCTCTGCAGCTAGGGAAACAGACAAGGAACCAAAAATGACAAAACAGAAGGTCATTGTTTATCAAGGTCTGCCCCGAATTTATAAGAAGGGCTTCTATTTCTGCCTGGGCAAAAAGTAGAATCCTGGGTAATTTTCCAGAGTGGTTGATGCCCAGACTGGGTGAAGATGAAGAAGGGTTACCTGGGCAGGGAAGAAAGGAACAGCAGCCCAGGGGGAAGGAACATATTCTCCTTGTGCATGTGCAAGAAAGAAGGGGAGTGTGTCGTGTTGCAACACTTCCAATAGGGTGCACTTAAGGGTATGCAGAACACTGAGGCTGCAGAGGCTGGCAGGGGCCAGACCATCAAGGGACTCCTAGGCCAAGCAAAGGTGTATGGATGCTGGTCTAAATGCAGTTGTGTTGGATGTGAGTGGTCAAGAACTGAAAGTCTGTACATGGAAGTGTGACCTGATTGAACTTCCCTTTGACTAGGGCTACAGCATGCGTGTATTAGTCTGTTCTCACACTGCTAATAAAGACATGCCTGAGACTGCGTAATTTGTAAAGGAAAGAGGTTTAATTGACTCACCGTTACACACGGCTAGGGAGGCCTCACAATCATGGCAGAAGACAAAGGAGGAGCAAAGTCACATCTTACATGTCAGCAGGGAAGAAAGCATGTGCAGGGGAACTCTCCTTTACAAAACCATCATGAGATTTACTCACTATCATGCGAACATCATGGGAAAAACCCACCCCCATAATTGAATTACCTCCCACCTGGTCCCTTCCATGACACATGAGGATTATGGAAGCTACAATTCAAGATGAGATTTGGGTGGAGACACAGCTAAACCATATCAGTGGGTCATGGGTTGAGCATCGGGGAGACAGCCTGGAGGCAGGACAAAAAAACTAGGGGACCATTATCAGTAATTCAGGCAAGAAGAGCTGTGTGAGGACTAAAGTGAATCAAATTGTATTATTGTATTAGGGATATTTGTTAAATAAGTAGAATTTAGCTGTGCTAGTCACAAAAAAACGTAACTCTGTGAGATGATAGACTAACCCTCTCCACTACAGTAACCATTTTACCATCTTAGTGTGTCCTATAATATCATGTTGTAAGCCTCAGATAGATGGAATACATTTATTGAAAAACAAAAAGAAATGATGGAGGCCTGAACAAAGACAGTAGCAGCAGGGGTTGAGACTAGGGGAGGATTTTGAAAGAGATTTTGAAGTTGAATCAGCAGGATTTGACTGGATATGAAAGGGAGGCAGAGGGAGTTGTCTGGGCTGCCGTCTAGGTTTCTCCCGTGATGCACAGGTGGTCAAAGAGGGTGTTGTCATTCAATGAGGATAGTTTAGGAGTAGGAGCTGGTTTGGGTAATGGAGATAAGGTGCAAGGAGGGAAGAGAAGGATAAACATGATGACATCTCTGCAGAGTCCAGAAGAATACATATTTTCCATTAGTGACAATTGCCCCTCACCTGCCACCCCAGATGACTGCTGGGAAAACTTGGAGGTCTTTGGTACTTTTCCATTTTCTTCTCAGTCACTTCACTCTCAGCAAGCATATTTAGGTCTGGGGTAAGATACCATGCTAGGCATTAGAGATACCGTTATGAAGAAGGTATAGGTCTTGCTCCCATGGTGTTTGCATGCTGGTCTCTTTCCCATGCACACTCCTTGGCCTGCTTATCTGTGTGCACAGTCCCATGCCCCACTCCCAAAGTGATTTTCTTCTTAGTTATTGCCTCATTCCACATACAGTGATTGATGAGAAAGGCATAGGAGATTTGGCTGTTCTAAGTGAGTTTAGAGCTTTAACGGGAGATTCTAGAAGTTGAAGAACTCATTATCAGAAATGATTACTTCTGACAGTGGCATTTCCCCATCACGCCAGGCAGTGAGAGAAGTGGCTGTAGTCTGGGATAACTTCCTGTTGCTCCGACAGGCAGACTGCCTAGGTGGTAGCTGTTCTGCCACCCTGGAGAGTCCTTCCAGTTCCAACTCCTTGCTCATTCTGAAACCAGACTTCAGCATTCTTTATTAATAGTAAAAAGTTCTCCCACCTTTAGAATGAAAGACCGTTTCAATAGGTTTAGGAGTCCTGAGTGCTTCTAAAGCTCCAAAAATATAAATTCTGTCTCTGCTGATCAATTTAGCCACCCTCCAGCAGCAGTAAAAATTTAACAGAGCTGGAATCAGAACCACCTTCCCTCCAACTCTGCATTTTCTTTTCATAATTTCAGTGACAGACCTATTATTCAGGGACATTCAAAGGATTGCATTATCAGAAACAAATTCCACAGGCTCTCATTGTACCCCCGAAACCAAACAGACCAAGCAGAAGAGGTCTACAGAAAGAGGAAGAAAGAAATAGTTGGTTCTGTGTGAATGATGCCATTCCTCCCATGTATCGGTACTTGGGACAAGAGACACCCTCAGTATTGAGCAAACCTAGGGAGGCTCTTTTTACTTCTCTAACCAGGTGATGCAAGATGCTTCATTCAGGCCAAGAGCCAGAGAAAAAAATATAGAAAAAATGCAGACAAGGGAGGCATCTTTGCCTGGGTTCCCTTAGCCCAGCTACCCACGGAGTTGCAGAGGGGAAGAAATGCTAGAAATTTTCTGGTCTGAACTATAGTACTATATAAATATAGAATGGGGGAGATATAGCTTAATAGAAACTCATGTGAAATAAAATACAGGTATTGAGTTCAACTTGGGGGATATAGCAGAAGAATACTGAAAAATTGGGGGAGCAGTTGGAATCATGCAGGCTATGAAGTCAGGTGACAGGAACTGTAGCTCAGGTCACAAGGCCTGAAGAAGCTTGGAACATAGGAGTCTGGGGTGGGGCGGGGGGGGCAACAGAACAATCTTTTCACGCTTGAATAATTGTCCCATGGAATAAGAGCAGGCATCAAACCCTTTGGCCTTAAAATCTAGTCCATTGCTTTGTTTTACTTTTGAAAAATCTAAAGCCCAGAGGGTTAAACAACTTTGTCAAGAGCAGTCCTGAACACTGGTATCCTGTCTTATCAGAGGCCACTTATCAGATACCACTGACTCCATAACTGTGTATACAACTGCATGTAATAATTAAATCACCATATGTGTATATATGTGTATGTCTATATAAGTGTGTATATAAATACATATACATGTATAATTATATACACAATATAATATATAATTATATATACAATATAATTGTTATTGTGTACATATAATCATATGTATATATAATTATACATAATATAATTTATATATTATATAATATACAATATGTAATTATATGTTAATATCATATATAATTATATAATGTATATTGTAGATTATATGCAATATAATTTATAGACTGTATTAATATTGTAATATATTCAATATATAAATAATTGTGTATATATTCTATAATATTATAGACTATACAATTTTCAAATATATATTTATTTGAATGCCTACCATGTAGAAAGTCCTGTGCTAGATGCCAAAGGGATTTCAAACCGTATACATTGACCTCTGCCTGCAAAAACTTCTAGTCTTATCAGGGGAGTGAAGACTGAGGCCCCCAAGGGATGAGCTGGCTCACCAGGCAAGACAATGGCCGTCTGAAGGGAGATGTAAGTAAGAGATGCTCTTACAAGTCTAGAGATGAGGGAGATCACTTTGGTGGAATGCTAGGTTATAAAGAGATGTTTATAAACTTTAGGATATGAGTTCATTTCTAGCTTGCTATCATCTATGTCTTTTCCTTCCATTAGCTCGTAGCTCCTTCCAGAGCTGGAACCCTGCCCTATGCTTTTTCTCTTATCTCCGTAGAGTACCAAATATCAGCCATACACAAGTGCTTAGCATAACTTAAATAGAAAACTATAAGGAGTTGACTTTTTGAAATGGAGATTTCCTCTTTCATAAAGCTCATCTGTTCAGATAAGAGCCCATTTCCGGGGATGGTTGGAGACCACGAGTCTGGGACACAACTGGGACCCTGTTCTCACCTAGGTTTTCTCCCTCTGGCTGAAAGCTGACAGACATTTGTGAGGCCTCAAGCTATCAGGGCAGTCTTGGGGATTATCTGGTATCTTATTCGGCTCTATGTATTTCCAACAAAAAAAATGGGAGGGAGGAAAATGACGTTCCAAATCAAAGTAAGCCCCTTTGATAGTGTTTTGATGTTTCAGCTGAGAATTATACTGGGGAGAACTGTATTTTTCTGGGGTTGTCAAGGCTCCCCAGCTAACCTCCACAGTTGCCGTTTTAAGGGACGAGGAGTTTTACCTAACCCATGGGGAAGGTCCCTGGAACTAAAGCAGTCACCATGTTTTCTGAGGGTGAACCAGGTACAAGATTCTGTGCTAGCAGGGTGGTATAGAGAAAAGGACATAGAACTAGGAGTCAGGAACCCTCAGGTTTTAAACATTTATTTAAAAAAATTTTTTTTTGAGAGACAGGGTCTAGCTCTGTTGTCCAGACTGGAGTGCAGTGGCATGATCATAACTTACTGTAGCCTCAAACTCCTGGGTTCAAGAGATTCTCCTGTCTCAGCCTCCCAAGTAGCTGGAACTACAGGTATGCATCAGCATGCCCGACTAAATTTTTTTCTTTCTCTTTCTTTCTTTCTTTTTTTTTTTTTTTTTTTTTTGTGTAGAGACAGGGGTTATGTCTTGCTATGTTGCCCAGGCTGGTCTCCAACTCTTGGCCTCAAGCAATCCTTCCACCTTGGCCTCCCAAAACCCTGAGATTACAGGCATGAGCCATCCCGCCTGGCCTTGTTTTAAATGAGATGTTTCAACTAGGTGGCCTCTGAAGTTTCTTCTAGTTTAACAATTTTGTTCCATAGGAGAAACAAGTATTTAACTATTCACTCAATTCAGACCCTGCAGAGTTGAGACAATGTGCTCAGGCTTGAAGGGAGAAGAGCCCTGGGAACTTTCGCATTAGAATAAGCTCTAGTTTTCACATAGGTTTCACGGAGGGAAATCCTGAGCTCCAGGAGGTTACCACTGCACTGAGGTAGACCATGCACCACGCACTCATCAGTGACATGTCCTGTAGTTCATTCCATGCAAAAATCTGCAAAGAGGCCTGTGAACAGCAGAAGAGCGTGGAAAATTCTCATTAAGCTCTATGGTGCCAAGGAAGGAGGAGGCCCTAGCTGGGGAGGTAGGCGAGCCCGCAGGAACGAAGGCTGTTCCGGTTTTCACAGCTGCTCTGCACCTTGGCCACTCCAAACTCCTCACTTTACTGTCAAGGAAACGAGATATGTGCAGAATCTCCAATTTAGGCTGAAGTCGAGTTAGACAAGCCTTTCAGTTTTTGTTGCCAGAATGACTTTGCCATATATGTCACTCTAAAGCCGCCTGAGGAGGGGGCTGGGGTTAGACTCTGCCCCAGTGACCTAAGACAGCAGTTAATCTCCATGGAGCCTCTCCATAAGGGGGATAGGCCCCAAGGGGACATTGTGTCCATTTACTAATGACTGTAAAAGGCTGTGAAAATCCCAAGTACTGGTGGAATGCTGCTCACAGCAAAGGGAGAAGGAAAACAATGTAGTTCCAGGACTCTGCAGCCTGAAGACTTTCTCTTTGCTGGGAGGAGCAGTGTGGACACTCTAAGTGCCCTAAATACACTGACTTGATCACTATGCATTATGTACATCTGATAGAATTGCACATGTACTCCATACATTTGTACCAATAAAAAACCTTAAAGAATACAGGTTGCTGGAGGTAGATTTTAAATGTCTAGTTTTCCAATGGGAAGGCATGTGAGAACCATTGCATGTTCCCAGATGGGGCTTGTGCTTCCCCCTGCGTGTTTCCGGTGCTCTCTGTGCTCACCTCTGTCTAGGGACTCAGTACATCATCCTCTTACAATTTTCCCCCAGTGTTCATGCTCACTGGACAGGGAGTTCCCTGAGGACGGGAACATGGTTTTCTATTTCCAGCCTCTAGCACAGTGCTTCAGGTAATAGATACTCAAGTAATTGTTTGTTGACTGAAGAAGTGATCCATTATTAAGCCACAGCATGGACTAAAATGGACGAGAACCCTGGGCCATCTTAGGAATGGGAATGGTTCCCTTTGAACATCCACATTGCATTTCCACGTGTTTATCAGGGTGTCATAAATAATGAATTAGCGAGAGCAGGAGGTTTTATATAGCAGGGGAGGAGGAGGAGCAGCACCTGTAGGGGCAGGTATGGGTGTGGGTCGGGCTCTCTGACAGCAGCCAGTGGTCCAGGACTGCTGAGGAACCCTTCTGGTCAGTCTGCGTGTCTTTCACACTCCTCCGTAGCTTAGGGCACAGACTAGGGGCTCAGATGGAGGAGGAGTCATGGTTCCCATTGCACCTTCTTTTCTGGACTCCTTTGCTAATCTGTGGTACTATCATCCCATTCCCCAAAAAGAGTCAGACGGGAAAGATGAGCAGAAAGGAGGGAGAGCACAGCTGGGCATAGTGGCTCACGCCTGTAATCGCAGCGCTTTGGGAGGCCGAGGTGGGCAGATCACTTGAGGCCAGGAGTTCGAGACCAGCCTGACGAACGTGGCAAAACCCTGTCTCTACTAAAAATACAAAAATTAGCCAGGCATGGTGGCAGGCACCTGTAATCCCAGCTACTCAGGAGGCTGAGGCAGGAGAATCACTTGAACCCGGGAGGCGGAGGTTGCAGTGAACCAAGATTGCTCCACTGCACTCCAGCCTGGGCAGCAGAGCAAGACCCTGTCTCGAAAAAAAAAAAAGATGGGGGAGCAGCAATCACTTTGGGGCTTGGGGGTGGGGAGGCCCCAGGGACTGCAGAGGAGTAGCCACTACTGCTGCCATTAGTTGCCTTCCACTCTCCATACTCATGAGATTTGATGTCATACTCCCAATGCATGAAAATATGTTTTAGACATAGAGTGCCCTATCAATAAAAAGGATCCTTATAATTGTTATTAAATCTTGCCAGAGTGAAATATTTCCTCTAGGATGAAGTTGTTTGGCACATGGGAAAAATAATCCCTGCTGTCAGCCTTGCAAATAGCTAGCAAACATTTACTAGTCTACCGTGTTTTGGGGGAAGGGGGAGGCACTGGTGGCTGGGGGTCTGTCTCTGTATATACATATTCCACATGCCTTCCCTCAAGAGGCACATGGAAAATGCAATGAATGAAATCATTCTTGCATTCACCTGGTTTAAATCATTATTTGCCAGATCAAGTGGGTGGGTTGCCTATTTAAGATCTTTGAGGAATCAAGCAGAAATCAAAGTTTTCATTTTGGATGGCCCACTAAGAAGATGACTGCTCCAAGCCTTGGTTTTGTGGTTTTTTTTTTATTTTTTTTTTTAATTTTTTCATTTTTATTTTTTGGTAAAATGAAGATGGAAGGAAATGATCACAGAGGTTGCTTTCTATCTCTGGTAACTGATGAACCTCTATGGCTAATAATGTTACATATCTCTGGGATGTGGCAGGAAATAACTAAGACTAAGTGAGAACTATTCAGAGATCCTGGAAAGAAAAGTGTCAAAGGAACAAGTCTCCTGCATGGGGTCTGCCCTGAGTTCCAGCCTTGACTCTTCCACTTGCTATCTATGGGGATATAGGCAAGTCACGTCAACTCCCTGTCCTTGGTTTCTGCATCAGTAAAATGCGCAGCTAGTAATTCCTACCTCAGAAGACTACTGTGAGGCTCAGAAGAGGTATATGAAAAACTGTTGTGTAAAATACTCTTCAAACATAAGTCATAGCAACCCTGGTTCTGCCACTAGCTTTAGTAGAATGTAGGGGCTGCCCGTATCTCTTTTTCCTTAAGGTCTCTTCCAGTTCTAATAGTCTATTCTTTCATCATGATATTGCCAAGTGTTTTTGTGAAATACCCTATTGGCTAGCTATGTGTTTATAATCAACAGGTGTATAATATATTGGAAGGGGCTTAGATATCATTTGCTCCAGCCTACTAAGTCATGCAAAAATTCTCTTTATGGCACCCTTGACAATGGGTTCTTTATCATGATGGGGAAATCATGCCTAACAAGGCAGTCTGTTTTGATTTTGAGCAGTATCATACTTTCACAGGTTTTTCTCATATTGAATCAGATCTGCTCCCTGGTAAATCCTACCTACTGGCCCTCATTTCTGTTCTCTGGAACTGTGAACACTCCAAAGCAATCAGTAATCAGCTTTATCTCAAACTCCTCTCTTTGTTAATTATTCTTTCCCTGATTCACAGATAAGGAGAAAGAACAAAAGTTAAGTGATTTGTCCCTGGTCACATAGAGGGACACATTAGAGTATGATGGGAACTTGGAGCTGTAGGGGTTTGAGGTTGTTTCTTAACCCTCCTGAGCCACACAGAAATAGTCTCTGAACTTATGCAGAGAAGCCCCTGTTCCATTTTACCAATAAGCACAATTCATTGCTTTGTTTTAGAGTCTTCTGTTTAGCCAAATGTTTTCATTACATTAATTGTAAAAGGTTTTTTGGGCTGACCCAGACTGACTCACAATCACACTAGTGCACACACAAACACACACGGACGCAAACACAAATGCAAAACACACACACATACACACGCACACGGAGACCCAATATGTAACCAGAGTGATGTGTCAGGAAACTCTAGGAAAAGCTGTCACATGTTAAGTTTTTTCCATTAAGCTTGAAACAATGTCAGGAAAATAGATTATATGTAAACATAGAAGAAATATCTCTAAGTTTTAAAGCAATGTTCTCAACTCAAGTAAATCTAGTGATGTAAAAGAAAGGAACTAAGAAAAGAAGATCACAGAATGGAAAAGTTTGCAGAATTTGAGCTTTGTTTGGATAGGATATGGAATATCATCCTTGGTTGCTGATTTTTTAGTTTTTGATTTTTGTCTTGAGCATGAAGTTACCACATAGAAAAATGCACAGTAGTGAAGTTTGTGTAGAACAACAGGGAAAAGGGAGAGACTGTCCCATTTCCTAACTGTCCATGGAGGGGTTCCCAGGTCTCTGGGAAGCTCAGCTGTAAGAGGAAGAAGAGCAACAGTCCTTGACTCCTTGACGTGAATGGTGAGCTTTGTGCTTTGGAAGATTTTGTAGCATCCTAGAGAGAGAGGTGTGCAGGTGACTTAGGAACCCCTGTCCTTCTCCCAATACCAGCCATATTTTCCAAGTAATGAAATTGAGGCCCCCCACATCACAGGGACTTGTGACCCACCATTCAGCAGAGCCAAGACTAGAATCCAGCCCTGGAGTCTTAGTCCAGGGTTCTTTTTACTGCATCCCTGAGCAGAGTATTTGACTTCCTTCTTACTGCCCGGAAGACGGACACCCTAAAAACAGTGGTCCCTTCCATCCTTATGAAAGCATGAAGAATTATGCCTTTCATTAAGGCACAAAGAAAATCTTATCATGATTTCTGTCAATGATCATAGCTCAAAGTCACGATTGTTTCAGATGTATTTCTCATATTTAGACTTAGTATCTTACACGGTTAAGGTATTTGTCTTCTATATTGGCTGTAAATGAAGGAAGAATTTTAACAGCTGTCCAACTAGAGCAAGAAAAAAACTGAAAGACAAAAAAAAAACTAGGCTTTTTTTTTTTCAAAGTAAGAGAGGAAAAATAACATTAACACAAAGGAACATTCTTACTAAGAATAGGTGGAGAAAGGCATCTGAAAAATAATACCTCAAGATGCATTGAAACATTTTAGGGAATTAGGGAATTCTGATCTCTTGAAAAAAAAGAAAATTAATATTAAAGACAAGCTGTGAGTTTCCATCTGGCCTTGCTGCTTTCCACTAACGCTTCCATGACGGAATTCATCTGTCCATCAACTGTCAAAAATTCTCCTGTCAGTAAATCCCACGACACCCCAGCGAGCCCACCCTGCTCAAAATATTCCATGCCACAAACTATTCCGAATTCTGAATCCTTTTTTTCAGATCTCTGTACTATAAGACATAAAAGTTACTGCTTTTTTTCTTCCTTTTTTTCTCTTTCTTTTCCCATCATCTTTTTCACCCCCACACTCTGTAGTATGGAGGTAAAGCGAACTTGGGTGGAAAATTTGGGGAGCCCTCAGCTATTTGAAGATTATGTTCCCACCAAGTCTCTTCTAAGCTTTTTCACTGGAGTCTGACAACAGACAGCCCACATCTGTTTTAAAACACCAAGTGCTTGTGAAGTGTGAACTCCCCACTGTTTAATGTAACTACATGACTATTTAATGTACACAGTGGTAGAGCCACTCAGAATGCCAAACTGTTGTGACATGCTTGAAGGACATATATAAACATAATATACTGTGGTTTATTGTGACAAAGAACATCTATGCCACAAATAGGAAGATCTGTTTGCTTACCAGTGTAGTCAAATGAGGAAGGAAAAACGTGTACAGTACCCTCTCCCCCGCCCCATCGCCCATGTCAATAGTGAAATTGATACCAGATTGATGAAACAATAAATCCAGAATAGGCATTTTATAATGTTCTATGGTAATAATTTTAAGCCTAGGATTTTGAAATGAGTCATTCATTAAATTAATCTGAATATATAATGCAGAGAGAATAGAGGGGAGATAGAAAGTCACTACAGGGAGGGCTGCTGAGAGTTTGGCCTCTTCTAGAAACTTTGTTCCCTTGTATGGGTGTCGGGGACATTTTTGGATGGTAGAGACTTGGGTAACATGTTGGTGCTGCTTTTGGCCAACTTGGAGATCGTAATTTTCTGTACATTGTTACCCATGGAAAAACATCCACGGTTGCTTCTTGTGTTAATAAATGAAGAGAAAAGACATCATGGCTTTGCAAACACATTTCATTTTTAATATTTCTCCCAAAGGTGGATTCTTATACCTTCTGACATCTCATTAATCAATCGATCAGAATGTGTTCTCTTACATCTCATTGTTACAATTCTAATTAACCTTTGCTAGTTAAATACTTACCAAAAATCAGCTCCAATTGTAATCCCGTTTCCTCTAACCCAAGCATTTCAATAAAAGCTTTTCTTTTTATCGGTCTTTAATAGGAATTAAGTGGAGAAGAACTATACTGTGTGTGGTATCTGTTGCTTTTTAAGGGATTTTGAAATTCTAGAATAAAATCTTTAGGCATGAAACACAGATGAAGATGATACTTTTAGTAAGCCTCCAGAGTGTAGACAAGGCTATTCTTATATATACTTTTAGGAAAGTATTAACCTTTTTTAAATTCACAGTTATCATTTCTCAGAAAATAACTACTTCCATGGAAGACATAACATCCCAAAACAAAACAACAACAACAACGAAACCCTCTTGTAAATGATACTAAGAAAGAGAACAGAGATCTAGTTCTATAATAAAATTTAAACTGCTATTGTTGTTGGCATTTAAGTTATACTGTTATGGTACAGACTAATACTCAACTTCATCCAATATTTCTAGATTGAAAATACCAGTGCAAAGTCCTGGTCATTAGAAAAACTTACTCCTGCCTCTGATTATTACAATTTGGGGTTCCCATGGTTTGGATATTGCTATATCCTGTGGCTCACATAATTTCCCATAATAATTTAGCAGTCACTAAGGGAACAAATCTGAGAAGGCCTTTATAAAAAGTGGTGCCTGCTTTCCTGTTTGCCTTAGAACTGCAGCCCACGTCCTGGAGCATCGGGGGTGCTAAGGACTTTTCTTATAATGGAAATTTTAAAAGGACAGTTTAAGGAAAGCTCAATAGAGGAGCCAAAGATAAATTCAGCAATACAGCAGTGAGGAGCAAAACCACTTTTGCAGAGCAGGGAGAGTTTTAGTATAATGTCTTTTGGGATCAGATTGTTGCTTTAAAAATGTGGTGAATTAGCCTGTTTTGCTTCCACATGATTTCATAGCATACTCTTCTCTACTCCTCTGCTGCCTCTAACCACACTGAACACTGCCATTCCTGAGCAACACTTCACATCGGCTCCTAATGCGCAGAAGTTTCTGGTTACACGGCTGCAATTTCTGTCTAACGTTACCACCCTTCCACAGCCGAGCGGACTTGAACGGGCTTTTATTTTAATTTCCTTTCTCCCACCGGTCGCAACTTTGGAAAGCCACGCAAGCCTTGCCACACAAACAGGGTTAGTGCCTCTTTAAGGAATATTTAAATTGCATTTCCTACTGTCAGTTAAATCTCATCAATCATGTTTTTAATTAAAAAGAAGGACATCTACATCCCACTTTCGACTCAAAGTGCATAATGAAATCATAGATTGGGGCAGGGCTGGAGAGTTTCAGCTTTGCTGGGTGCATTCAGCAGAGATGCGGGGAAGGTCAGGAACACTGGTGCATATGCAAGTGGCAAACAAATAACACTCCTGATAGGGCCGGGTGACATGTGTCAACCCTTGTCATTGAGAAACAAGAAAGGCAATGTGCCCAGACAAAGGGTAGGGTGGAATCCCTACACACTGGCAGAACCTGACCCACGCGCAAGGGCTTTGTGTAGCAGATGCCGTTTCTCATTGTTCTGTGCCTCCCTCCCCAGTACCCCTGACAACAGCCACTGCCGCTGGCATTCCACCCTGACATCTGTTCAGCTTTATTGATGCGGCCCTGGAGGAATTCCCAGTGTAAACAGGGAATTCTCTAAGGGAACCCCATGTTGTAAAGGGATGAGCTGCATAATGCAAAGATTTAACCACTATTTAAAGGTGTGACACTTGATTGAAAGTGACTTGCTTTTCCCCCCCTTTCCAATCCCACCTCCCTCTCCATCCTTAACTGTATTTGGCACCAACTGGCTGCAGCAACACCCCCACTTCCCCCTCCATCGCTTTGTTTTCCTGATGCATAACTGTTAGGAAGAATGAAGGATGGGGGGCCTTGGGTACCACCATCCAAAAAAGCCACTTAAAAAAAATTTCTGGGTTACAGTCAATTGAGTCTAGTTGTCGCGTTGGGATCCTGCCCGCTGCCCACCCACACTCCTGGCGAGAAACAGCTTGCAAGTCGCTTGGTCCTGTGGCTGAAGCTAATGGGGTGGGCTTGGTGCTCCTTGCTAGAAGCAACTGCGGCAGTTCGCAGTCCCTGAGCAAAGCCTGGTGGTACTAGTTCTGGCAGTGCTAGAACGTAGGGGATTTGCCTTTGGGATTTTGTGTTTTTGGCAATGGCGCCGTAGGATATTAATAAGGATTTTTTCAAAAAGCAGACCTGATGGGATACGGGATGCATACGTCATTGCCCCGGCAAACGTACGTGTGCTCTAAGGCACCTCTGAAGTGTCACACTCTCACTCAACTTCCTGGCCGATGTTCAAGTACAGGGAGTGTCGTGCGAGCTCCAGCCATGCACATTGTGTCACTTTGGTTGAGCATGCAGAGACCGGTGAATAGGGCCCTATGCAGCAGGACCGCCTCTATTAGCAGTAAACTCGACTTGTGATACGACATGGACAGAGTCTATTTTGTGAGTCCATGGGCTGAATTTGGATTCGTGTGCTTCCAACTCTCTTCCCTTCCAAATGACTGGTGGAGAGACAAAATTTGAAAACGGCAATGATGTCTTCCTGCAGTGTTTCAGAATAAATGAGGTTGTGGGTACCACAATAAGGGCAAAATAAAATAGCAGAATTATCAGAGGATGAAGTCAAAAGTCATAAAGGGAAATCCGTCTTTCTAAAGGCCTGAAGTATTGCTGACCTATGTTTTCAGAGAACAGATATCAAAAACAAGATTGGTGTGTGTGTGTGTGTGTGTGTGTGTGTGTGTGTGTGTGTGTGTGTGTGTGTATGCACATGAAGTCAACAATAAGCAGCAGCCTGGTCCTTCACCTGGAGTCCTAAGATTTGCTCTTAGCTGACCATTCTTTTTCCCTCAAAGGGAGGTGCACTTCCATCATGTAAGGCAGTGAAGCTTTAAGTCAAGAAGCCAGCACACCATTCAGGAATGCAGACTTTCCTTCCCATTGCCACAGATTGAATTTTTACTTAAAACAACCAAAACCCTCTAGAGAGATTTTATCTTTAAAATTAATTTATGTATTTTCTTCTGACCCAAACAATGTATGGTCATTTTAGAAAATTTAGAAAATATGGACAAATAAAATGAAAATGGCCCAGTAACTTACCGCTCAGAAATAATTGGTAATTATTCCAGTTTTGTCTCTTATCTCTCTCTGTATTTAAACAAAAATGTGATAATCTTATGTTTACTGTTTCGTATTTTTTTATACTAGACTATCTCTTGGTATTATTAGATGTTATTCTATAACATAATTTAAATAATTATGTAGTATTTCTTTGTATATCATAGTCAATTATCCATTTGGGGACAAATTTGTTTTCCACCATCGTATTTATTATAAACAATGCTGCAAGGAACATCTTTTGTAGATAAAGCTTTGGGTATATCCATGACTCTTTTTTTGGACAAATCCTTAAAATAGAATTGCGGGGTCAAAGGCTGTATGCATTTTTAAGACTTTTGATCTATATCGCCATACAGCCAGAAAGATTGAACTAATTTATACTCCCACCAGCTGTGGATCAGAGTTCCCAAAATGGAAGTCTTTAGGGCATATTCCTGTGTGTCCCCATAAGGTGGAAGTCTGTGTGGTGAAGCTACGGTCCCTTTTCCGTAGATTCGTGGCAGCATGTCTAATTAATATGTCCATTCTTAATGCTTTCCCATCTGTATTTCTCTGCATGCAGTGACTGAAAAATACCATCAACAGCTCAGCGCTGATAGATGGTTCAGAGTCCAGCAATGTCCTACTTTCCTTCCTGTCCACTTTAAAATGAAAAATAAGTTAACTTTGACATTTTTAGCAGTCACAGATTTAAAGCAAACTGGAAATAGAATCCAGGCCCAGTTCTAAAAAGGACACGCGAACGCTCCAGCATGCCTACGAGACCTGTTGGAAGGGGGAGAAAACAAAACAACTCACAACGTTTCCAGTGAATGCACTTCCATCAGAACGTGCTACTGATGGGCTGCCCCTTTAAGCACAGTTTGCCTTCACTGAGTTTGAATATACCTTTTGGTATTCAAATAATTTTGCAACAGTGGATACAGACCTTCTTTATGTGTTATTGGTCTGGGAACAGCAACAGATTAAAAAAAATATTACCAGGTCAAATAACAGCTGTTATTATTAAGTTCAGCTTTTATTATCAATTTTGCCAGTAGATTCTGGCAGTAAAAAAAAAAAGTCTGCTTCTGAGCTTTTTACTAATCAGTACTCTCATTTTGCTAATATTCTAACGACTGTCAATTTACTTCAGTGCTGCCATTTGCAGAATTTTCCAATTAGCGGCAAACCTGTTCCACCTTCTCCTGTAATTACGGGGGACTCAGTTCAGATCAGCTGCGGCCAGACAGCATATGATGTAGTTGCCAAAATCTGTGCAATGTTGTTTTTAACCTTTGCATGTGCTGGCACAGTTTTAACATCTCTGTTTGTAGGCAGGAGGCTTCTGCCGTAGTGGTAAGTGTCAAAATATCAAAATTATTTTTAATAAACACACAACGAGGATGAAAACACAAATAGGAGCATATTTGGGTTTTGGATCAATTTAATGTCTGCTCCAGATTCAGTAGCATCCCGTACGCTGCCCGTTCTTTTTTTTTTTTTTAATCAAGAGACTTTTGATGAGGAACAATTGAGAGTTGCTGAATTGCATCAATTTCAACCTGTTTCCTTTCCTAGTTAAAAAAATGGTTGAAGAGTCTGAAAATTTAGAATGGAGGGGTCCTAATGATCACTTATCATAAACCTCTCATTTTTATAAATGAGGAAACTAAGGCTTAGAATGGAGGAAGGACTTACCTAAGGTCGCACAGCTAGTTATGTGCAGTTCTGGGACTAGAACCCAGGTCTTCTGCCTCCAGTCCAAGGTTTGTTCCACTACATCATACATTTTCCCCCTTCTCCTGGTGGCTTCTCAATATGGCAGAAGACAGAGCAGGGAAGCCTCACCCAGATCCCTTGTTTCATAGAATGCCTTGCTAGCAAGATCAAAGCCAATCAAACTCTCTGAAAGCTGCCTAAACAGCTGACATTGCAGTAATAACAATAGTGCAGCAATAACTATTATTGCTACATGAAAAAAATATATTTAATAATAAGCTCATTGATTTTTAACAACATCTCTGTGTTGCCTAATTGATGGGAAGTTGTATGTTTGTGTAGCCGATGGGCGTTATGAATTAAATATGGCCGTCTTTCCTTGAGGCGTGCATGTCAATGGACGAAAGATGGAAGATCTACATTTCCCCCAAGCAAAATAGTCCCCTTGTACCAAAGCAGGGAAGACTGAAATGCGAACAAAAATAAAAACCATCCATCACTGTTTATTAAGTGCTGCTACTTGAAGGTAAAAGGGATATTGAACTGTTTTTAAATTGGAAGGAATGTAGCTGGACAAAATATTGATGGTAATATTAGCTAGGTGACAAATTTTATTCTTTTTGTCCACATTCATCAAAGGAGCAATTTGGAGTGAATTATTCTCTCTATGCCCATAAACCAATTTTTCTTCCCTTTTTATTTTTTAAGCACACATGTTTATTAAGGAACATGGCATAGGAAGGATGCTATCTTCTGGTTCAAGTCGTCCAAACCTTGCTGCTTGAGTCAAAGGCTCCACAATTGCTTTAGACCAGGCCATGCATTGATCTCCAAGGTGCTTATATTAATATTAAATTTTATATGTGCTTAAAGATTGAGGCAGACTGAGTCTGTTCCCACAATTTAAAAGAAAAGGGGTGGGTCAGATTTGATTTCATTTTTAGCTGTGGTTTTCAAGTGGAAGTTCTGAAGCATTTATTTATTTTTCCAAATTTATAGTGTGCCCCTTCAGTCCAGTGTTCACTGGCTGCTGTTCAATGAAAACATCCAAGTTTCTATGGCAAAATGGGCTGAGGCAGGGAAATGAACATTGAAAATATCGTCTGACAATGGGGAGAATTTCAATAAAAATTTAGTTTGAAGTTTCATTCGCTTCAACTCTGTTCAACTTCAAGTCATTTTTGTTTTTATGAGGCCATATAATCTCTGAGATGTTTCATGAAAATCTTACCAGGCAGTCCATCATACTCAGTGATAGAGGGGGATTGCTGGATTTAAGACTCAATCCAATCCTCAGTGTTGTTCTATATGCCTACTGTGTGTCCAGAGATGGCCTGGAGGTTGGCATCCCTAACTTCTTCATTTGGATTTCTGGAATCAAGCCTCTTTCATCCTCAAATGTACAGGTAGCCAAAATGACAGTCTCATTACTTCTGGCAGATCTCATCATCCCAACCAAAGCTAGTCATTGAGCAACAGAAAGAGGTTTGTTTGCAAGTACATTTATAAACCTAAAAGTCCCTTGAATGAGGCTGCTGTCAAGCCGAGTGGATTTTCTTGGATGTCATTGACTTCCATAGCTATCTCTTTCTCAACTAAATGAGGACACTTTTAAGGAAGCTGGCTGGAGTTAATTAATCAGTCGATCAATCAACAAGATTTTAATGAGTCCCTGCAAGGCACTAAGCGGTGGTAACATTTATGTAGCACTTAATGGTTGCCAATGCACTTTCCCATGTATTGTCTTATAGGTAGATATTCTTATAGATAGATATGAGTGAGGCTCAGAGAGGTTCAGTGACTTCCCTAAAGTCACACAGCTATGAAGTAACGAACTCTACTTCAGATCTTCCAGAACTGTTTTTCCTACACTACTTGAGACAGTGCAGGTGACCATAAGATTACCAGCCAGCTTCCTCAAGTGTCCTCATTTAGTTGCGAAGGAGATAGCTAAGTCCCAAATGAGTAGTATGGTCAAGAAGTATACCTGATTCTGGATGAGCCCTGGAGATGTAACCTGAATAAAGCCAGAAGTCCATGTGTCCCTGCCACAACGTGATGTCACACCCAAACATTTCAGCAGCTGAAAGTAATTGAAAGCGGTTCTAGTTTTTCTCTGCATTTTTCAAAGAACATTGAAGTAATTATAGAAAATTCACTTCATAAGATACTGCCTCATTATTTTGTTCTCCATTCGGCTCCCGCATCAGCCACCCTAAAGTCTATAACCCTCATTCTCCATTGTCCTTCCCCAGGTCTCCCCCTTACTTTTTCCCTTCTGTTTTTCCCCCTCTCTTGTGTGTAAACCTTAGCCCTTTCTACCCCATTTCCACCATTTTCCCACTGATACCCGGATCTGTGCCAGGCCGGCGAGCTCAGTGATGGGGAAGTAGGTGTGTGAAGAACAAGACTGTGAAGACTCAACCAGGATCAACATGACCTTACTCATGTGTGTTTAGACGTCCCAAGGAGGGAGTCATTGTGGACCAAAGGATCCTGACTTACAAGGGAGATAGCATTTGTGTGTGCTCTGAAAGAGGAATAGAACTTAGAAGATTTTTTTTAAGCACACATGTTTATTAAGGAAGATTTCAAAAGTGGAAAAAAAAAGTACCCGATAGGAAGAAATGAAGGCACATAGTGAAAAAATCTTGAAATAGAGAAGCTCCTTGCCTTAAAAACAGAGTAAGCCCACAATAAAAAGCCTCGTCGAGTGTCTGCTCTCAATAAGCATCGTACTAAGTGCTCTAAGTCACCATAGACCCTGACAAAATGTTTTCAGAAGGAAAAAATTTGCACTGATTACTTCTCTCTCTAACAGGAGTTGGATTAGGACAGTGTGTTTTAAACAAGCAAACTGTGGAGCCAGGATGCCCTGTTCACATCCCGTCTCCACCATCTGGTAGCTGTGTGACCTTGTGAAAGTTCCTTAACCTCAGTTTCCTTGTCTGTGTAAGACAGGGATATTGATGCGATAATATCTCACAGGACTGTCGTGAGTATTTAAATGAATCAACATGAGCAGATCACTGCTCAACACTGAGGAAGCATTAATTGTATTCTTCACTCTTATTAGTTGTAATATTACTTTCCATTGAAATCTGTCTGCATAGTTCTTTTTGAACTGATTATAATAATATAATACAACTCCTGGTTATTGAGTGTGGAGATAGAGGCATCTCACTGCGTCAGCACTTAATACATGAGATTTTGTTTAATCCTCGAAAGCATTCTGCATGTTAGAGCCCTCCTGTGTAGCAAGTAGGAACTCCTTGCTGGTCTGTTTGTAGTTTGGCCAAGCCTGGTCCACTTCCTGGTGGAAAGAGGTGTCCTCTAGTTCCTTTCTCCTCTCCATTTCCCTGGTTTTTTTTTTTTTTTTTTTCATTTAAAAATCATTTTATTATTAATCATTATCCCATGTAGCCTAGTGCCTGACATGTATAAGGAATGTTGGTAAATACTTCATTTAAAGCTTCTTTGTACATATTTCCATTGTTAAACTCTGAATTCACATAAAAAGTTAAACTTAATAACTCATATTTCCTTCTCTTGTAACAGGCACGTATTGGTAGAATATAAATATTCTTGGGCTCTGGCTTCGTTCTAAGTGAAGACAGTAATTGATCACATGGTACAGCTATTGACAATAAAACCAAGAAATTGTCAGCTGGTGTCCTGGCATGGACTAGTGCTGAGGTGGGAAATAGAAAATTCACATTTGGTTTCTGGGCCAAGTTGGGGCAGGAATGGTCGTGGGGAGAAGAGGACAGGGAATGAGTCAGATGGGAGCATATGAAAGATCTGCATGGGTTCTCTTGCTGTCTCTTGCAGCTAACCCAGATAAGCCTTAAGTTTATGAAGACCAGGTTTCTAAGAGGTTCTTCAATTCCTGCAGCATGTGGAAATCCAGCGTGTGCACCTTAGATGGCAACAGTCTAAAGAGAGTGGGTACATGTCTCAGGAATCCACACTAGCTGTACTTCTAATTTTTTTCAGTATGAATTCAACCTAAAAAAAACCTTTTACTCTTACCAGATTCTAATTTATTCCTTTTCCCTTTTAATTAGGGGAAACCCATTTCTGACAGATTCGCAAAGTTTTGGCTACCTTTGTGTGGAGGATAGGAGAGGAGACAAGCCGTGTTCCTTATCTGATGGACTTTTTTATAATATATATATTTCTATTTTAATCAAGTGGAGTAAATACATTCTGGGCTTTTCCTGAGGCAATGTGGGCCAGGTTTTATTCATGACAGGGCTTTCTTATTAGAGTTATGAAATCCTTGTAGAAAAGTCGGGGATTTCTCAGAGAAGATTTTTAAAAAATGCAAAACTTGACACACTTTAATTATTTCTGCACTATAATAACAATATTATATAAACCCCACACTGTTTAGGACTTAAGTTCCAACTGAGTACATTTTAGCATGATATATACAAATAAGAGTGTTCTAAGGCCATAGCCAAGCCAATCACAGGACTCCTCTGCCATCCTCTCCCCTGTCCCCTCTTCTAACACTCAGAGGGAAGCTCCTGTGAGGTTTAATGTGCACCAGGAACTCCAGCAGGAGTTGCCCACCCTAGCAGAAAGGACCACATTATTTGGTGGTTTTACGTTCTTTTGTGTTTTCAAGTTTCTATAGTGATAGAAGTTCTCTCTAGAGTGGAAATTTCCTGTTGGTCCTTGAATCAGCCAGGGTTCTCCAGAGAAAAGGACCAATAGGAAATGTATATATATCATGTATATTATATATGATATATAATATACATGATGTGTATATAATATATATAACATACACGATAGTATTATATATAAATATATATGATATCTAGATATATAAATACATGATATCTAGATATATACAAGATAAGGAATTGGCTTATTGTAGGGTGGGGTGGGGTGGGAGATGGCAAGTCTGAAATTCATAAGACAGGCCAGCAGGCTGGAAACCCTGGCAGAAGTCAATGCTCCAGTTTTGAGGCAGAATTTTTTTTTTCTCCAGGAAACTTCAGTTTTTGCCATTGAGGCCTTCAACTGATTGGATGAGACCCATCCACATTATCAAGGGTAATCCCTCTACTTAGAGTCAACCAGTTTGTAGATGTACCTTCAGTGTAACACCTAGATTAGTGTTGGATTAAGTAACTGGGTGCTAGAACCCAGCCATGTTGACAAGAACTAACCATCACAATCCTGAAACTCTCTTTCATCTACGGAATCCTTGGACTTCTGAATCCTCTTGCTGGCCCGGAAAAGATCATGTGGACCTCCTCCTTCATTCCAGGGGGATAATCTGATCTGTTGGAGATCCTTTGCTCAGATCTTCAGGGCAGTTTGGTGAATTTACGTTGCCTCAAAGGTGATGAATAGAACTCTCGAATGTACTTTCAAAGTCTTGCTGAGAAATCAACTCCTGTCTGTGTTGAATGGTAGTAAAATCTCTTAGGAAAGAGCCTGGGAATGTGGAGAGGACTCATGCTTCTGGGAGTTTTTATGCCTGGACTTTGACAAAGTGGAACATATGGAGGAATCAATGAGTGTCATAGAGATGGGATCAATATGCAGACTTTCTGGACTAAATGGACACCCTCAGTACTGCACACTGTGAGTCAGAGAAGGTGATGCATACAGACAAAGATACATCCACATTGTCGAAGTATAAAACCGATGTCCAGCTCACAGAGGCAAGAGTCTTCACCTTTCTGAGCTATTTCCTTAGAGACTTGATCATCATCTCATCTAAGCAATAGTTTATTATTTCTTAGCCAACTTGGGAAGATTATTAGAAAGGTGGGGGTGAGAGGAGACACATCCCAGGCCCGACACAATGTTTCCAAAATACTCTCTTTTCCCAATGGCACCAGTGAAAGTGGGGGAGCCAGCCTGCCTTGGATTCAGGGCCAGAGAATACACAGAAACCCTCGACTTCTCAACCAGGCCACCATACGGCGAGAGCAACGAGATCTCCCTCCCATGTTGTATTGTGGCCCACTGGTACCTGGGGACACAGAGCCCTCACCTGGTGGTCTTGCTTCCCGGTAGAAGGACTCATAGTTCTCTAGTTCCCTTAAGCCCTTCGAGCTGACCACGTGTTTGAGGCAAGACTCTTTAGAACACCTATTGGGACTTGGGGGCTGAGGGATAGCAAAGAAATAGACAAAAGAGGGCATATCAAGGAATTGGCTGGTACCTGCACATATCAGTCGCACTTCAGCAATATTTATAATCAGAGTCTGTGAATTTCCAAACCCAAATATAGGGACAGTCACATTTGACCTTTAAAAAGCATTCCCCCACACGGGCTATAAGGGCTCTGCAAAAAATCTTCCTATTATGAAAATGAAAAAGCTGAATGCTTTTTCCTTTGCCCCAGATCGGCTGTGAAGGGATTTGAGGCCCCACAGCCCATCGTGACTCACAGGCAGCTGCTCTGACCCGAAGTTTGCACAGACCTCCGAAGAAGACTGTCCAGAGGCTCGGCTGCCCAGTGATGAGGCCCCAAAGAGTGATTCTGTGTTCCTGGCTTTGACACACACACATGCGTAGACACACATGCACGCACACACTGCACAAAGGCAGCCGAAGTGCATTCATGACGATTGGCTGAAGTAATGTGATGGTGGGTTGGGGGGTGAGAGCATACACTCAGGAATTAGAGAAACAAAGGCTGACAAATGATAATTTCCTCGGAGCCCCCTCTGCAAGGTTTCAGGTGCTCTGTTCACACCTTGCTGTATGTCTGCATGATACACTTACTGTAAGGCACCTCAGGTTCTTGGTGGAGCCCAAGACTCTTGACCCATTGCCCTGTTTTTGTCCTCACAAGTCACTCTGATGACCCCTCTCAGCTCCTTCTGTGCACCCCGGGTTTTCTGAAGTTCTCAGGACTATTTAGGGATAAAATATGTCATGAGTATAACTCTTCAAAATTGCAAGAGTTACAAGGGAAAAGATGTCAGAATTTCCAAAAAAAGGAGAAAAATATTCTCGGGACTGAGGTGAAAATACCACCAGGCTCCTGAGTGTAGTGCCCCGCTTGGTTCTGTAATCCCAACAATAGGAAAATGACCAGGGTCACAGAGCTGCTGGGGAGCTGTGAGAACAGCACTGGCTTTTGAAACTCCTGTTAAGACTGTCTCCCCAGGACCAAAGCAGGTGATTCCAAAGCCCCCAAAAACAGGTCTGGGAAAAGGCTCAGTCCTGTGTTAGAGTGATTTCCTTATTTTCTGTGCATCTGGTGTGTTTCTGGGCACCAGTGGGTACAGTTGTAGCTATATAGGCACTTTAAGTGTCACCTGGCTTCTCTGATATTCAGCATGTATGTTAAAGGTACAGAAATAGCTGGACTTGCAATGTCTTGTGCCAAATCATATATTTGCAAGAATCAAAATTCAGGTTTAGACGTCTGATCATCAAACCACAGAACTTCGGGATTAGTCATGCTAATGAAAGCCATTTGGCCCTGTTTTCTCTGCGAACAAAGCTATCTGTGTTGGTTCATTTAATCTAGCATATATCTGGCAATTATTGATATTAAATTGATTTAGTGTTTCCAAAGATGTTTCAGACACCAAACACAAAACTCCCAGTTTATTTTACAGCTGAATACAGAACATGGATTCCTTCCTGATGTAATCAGCTTTTCGTTTAACCTCTAAAGTGTAAGCATTGATCCCTCCCTAACTTGGTGACTTAATTACCATCCATCGCGCCCTCCTTCCGTGTAATTTATTTTCTGGAAATAAACAGAACCCTGTGGGTGGAGGGTCACTTGCCTGAGCTCTGGGGAGGATCACTTTTACTGAGTAGGAAGACAATTGCTAAGTGTGTCATGGTTACTTACCAGAGGCTGATTTTACGGTAGGAACATTAACAATATCTGCTATTTCACAAGAAAGTTCTAAAAGGTGTTTTAAGCTGTTTCCCAAAGCACCTAAGTAATTCTCCCAGCATCTCTCAGAGGCATTACCCAATTTTACAGGGAAGATATGTGAGGGGACTTGTATGAGGGACGAGAGTAGGCAAGTGAGACACAGAGAGATGAAAATATTGTCAGTAATATAAACTGTAATTGAACATGAGTGCCTTCCTCTTAAGTTTTATCCTCTAGGTCACACTGCCTCCTACATTACATTATCGGTATTAACATAAGCATGGGAGATTAATTTTATAGATCACATGAAAAGTAGATGACATTTATCTTCACTTTTCAATGCATCATCTCATTAGGAGAAGCATAAACATTCAGCCCAGGTTAAAAGAGCTAAGAACAAAATTAATCTGCTAACTGCTTTATCATTAAAAAAATGATCAAAGTCAATTGGCCTAGCTTTGCCTACTAAAAAAGGCTTTGTTATTGTTGTCTTGGGTTAGAAAATATTCCTAACAGAATAATAAACTTCCAGATGAGGACAAATTGTGAAAAACCATGACCTGGCCCTCACTAGGCCCTTTGGTTGAATTCTATCAAACTTGAATAAAAAATGCTCCTGTACCCACAACCCTGGCTAACAAAGCAGGGAGATAGGAACACCTTTTGATCAGTTTAGAACTTGTATTGCAAAACAAACAACAACAAAAAAAACAAAACTTGAAGCAGGCTTATCACTAGGAGTGACGAAATCTGCTTTTTTATAGACATATATGTGTATACATTTACAATAGAATCATTGCCTGGTTGTGTGTTCTGCATGATTTTGATGTGATCACCCTGGCAAGCTGAGAGATGGTAAAGAAAACAAAAATACCGGGCCTGATTTTTCAGGTTCTGTCTTAATTCAAGGCAGAGTTCTACCAGGAGGAATGGTGGAATTGTAGCTTCAATTTGGGTTGAATGAGGAGCTCATAAATTCTGACTCATGTATGAAACTAGATGATTTCCTTATCATGGTGTTGGGCCACAGGACTCTCTGGGCCATTTCTGGGAGTGGTTATCCTGCCTATGGGCTTGCCAGGGAGAGCCTGATGTCAGATCCCTGCACAGAGTGGCCTTTCTCCCAGCGTGGCTGGGGCGACTCCACGGTGCGCCTTCCCGAGGGACCTGTGGCTGTCTCTTTCCCATGCTTCCGGACCCTGTCCTGCTGCTCACTTGAGTCCTGGCAACTCCCTGAGAAAGCAGAACAGGCTCTGTGGCCTCTGAGTGAAGGGCTGAGATGTTTTACTTCCAGGTCAGCTGCTGATTCTCCAACGGATGAATTTTTTTTTTTTTTTCCTTTAGTAGTTGTATTCCATTATTCACTGTGTAGGGAGAAACCACAAACCCAACTCTAAACTCCAGGGTCAGAAAGAATCATGTCAGTAAAATGGTCTCTGGCTTTTGCAGATTATTGGATACTGAGCGTGTCAATTAGGCCTTTCCCCCACCACTGATGTTAAAACATTTTGTCATTTATTTAATTCTCTGCCTCATTCCAAAAAGAGCTTGAGAGGGCTCATTTGGTTTATCAGCACTCCTTTCAAAGGCAGTAGAAGGTGACAGAGCCAGTGACACTGAAAGTTTCAACTTTTGGGGACTAGATGCAACTTTTACATTTTTTGTTACCCTGCCTTTTATGAAATATATGGATGTGAGTGTGTTGACTTAATAATGATATCTGTTCTGGCAGAGGAAATGGGTGGCTGAACTATTTTAAAGTTTAGGATCTATGTAGATATCTAAAAGCCCCACATTCTTTTTCTCAAGAAAGCTTTTCTTATTTGACTCATCCTTATTATATGATCTTAAGTAAACGTACTGTGTAGAAACACATTTCTACCACACCAGGCTTTGAGAATCAATGTCATTTGATGAAAGGTAGGAATAAGTACCTAAAATAAATGCTAATTTTTAGAAATTATGCAGATTTATAAATGCAGATTTATAAAACATTGTGAAACATAAAACCAGGTGTTTTTTTTGTTTGTTTTTTTTTTTTAAGCAAAAACAGCCTCATCAGTTTGGAAGTTATTTGGAAAGTTGAAGTTTGGGCTGGGCTCAGCCAAGCACTTTTGAAACTTCAACATAAACTCAGGTTCTGGTTTTCAGCAAAGTGGGGCTGATTTATGGGAGTCCCATGAATCTGCCCCATTTACATTGAGCCTTTCTTTGAACCTGGAGTGAGAAATCCTAGTGACTCCAAATGAGATGGGAGATTTCATGCCTAGCCTCCATTTTTGAAACAAGGTGGCTCAGTTTCACCTTGTTCCAAGAATCCAGCATATTTCTGAGCAATAATGTGATATGGCATGGGAAGAAAGATTAGAAATTCCAGGTGCACAGAAGCAGTGCCCAGGGGCTGCGCCTGTTCTCAATGGGAGCGTGCTCAGGTCTGGTGTAAGCTCTGGTTCTCCCATGAGACGTTTCGTTTGAGGAGCAATTTTTTAAAGAGAAAATGAAAGAAGAGATTCTGGACATCTACTTAGGAGCAAAGTAAAAATTAATTAGGTAGTGTCCTCTGCAAGATGACCAGAGTTAGCACAAAATGCAATGGGGTTACAGAGAATAAAGAAACGTGAAACAGATAACATTCTCTTGTGGTATATTTAAAAGAAAGATTTCATTTTTGGTACTAAGATGTGGAAACCTCCAAAAAGTTGATAATTCCCATAGAGTTAATAGAGGCTTTAGGCTCAATAAAGTTTGAATGACAAAAAGAACAAATAACTGATTCCTGATTCCTGGAATCTTGTACAGATATAGGGGTTGGGTAGAGCTTAGACCGATGTGATCATTGTCTGCTCTGTTGACTACACTCGGGAATATTATTAGCCTTATCTGAATGCCTTTTGTATCAAATTCTTGACCTGATTTTTGTCCCAGTTTCTCTTTTATATCATCTAGGTTTAGTTCTTCTTTAAGGAAAAAAAAAGAAAGTTAAAAAAATTCTAATGAAAGTCGGCTGACTCTACTATGAGTAATATAAGAAAATCTGTTTTGCTTAGGGAATGACAGAATATTGAAATACCTGGTTTTATATTTTTACATGGGTTTGGCAAATGCATCTGAAAGTGGCTAATATGATACCTGACCCAGTGTTAATAGCCAATGATAATTCCATAGGTACCAACTGCTACCTGTTAGCCTACAGGTGCTTTCTTTTTTCCTTTTTTTGGCACAAAGGTTATATGTACTGTAAATGTGGATCTTCATGGCTGAAATGGAGGCAAGCCACCATAGTTTTCAGATAAAATTGAGCCTAGCTGTAATTACCATCTCGGTTTCTCTATTTCAGTCATCCCTTCTTCCCAATTTACTGCTCCCCACCCCCACCAACTTTTAGGTAGCACATAAAAAAAGCACACTACATCATTCAGAATTTGGAAACTTGGGAGAGAGCAAAGATAGGTGAGAAAGGAGGAGGCAGAGAGACTGAATCACAAGAATAAACTAGAAGTGAGGTGAATGGAGGAAAATCCTCCTGCCAAAATATAAAATTAGAGAAATTTCCTGGAATGTGTATATTAGGTGAAAAAAAAAA